>NC_000014.9:101732714-102035714 GCF_000001405.40 Homo sapiens
AGATGTAATTATGCATCTAATATGCAAGGTACATGTGCATGTAGAAGTGTGCATTGTGTAAACAACTGTATCAAATCAACTGCATGTATCTGCTTGGCTCACGTCCTACAAGCACAATTTTCATTTTATTCCAGTTACTTCTTTTTTTTTTTTTTTTTTACAGAGTCTCACTGTGTTGCCCGGGCTGGAGTGCAGCAGCGCCATATTGGCTCACTGCAACCTCCGCCTCTCAGGTTCAAGCAATTCTCATGCCTCAGCCTCCCAAGTAGCTGGAATTACAGGCATGCGCCACCACACCCAGCTAATTTTTGTACTTTTAGTAGAGGTGGGGTTTCACCATGCGTTGGCTGGTCTCAAACTCCTCACTTCAGGTGATCTGCCCACCTTGGCCTCCCAAAGTCCTGGGATTACAGGCATCAGCCACCATGCCCGGCCTTCCAGTTACTTCTTGCTGGCTAATAAATCACCCCAGAACCAAGTGGCTTAAGACAGCCATGAGTGTTTTGTAACAAGCATTGGATGACTATTTCCCCCAGCCCTGGGGACTAACTAGGCTCAGCTTATCTGGGTCTTTCATCCAGTTGCAGTCAGTGGCTTGTGTTTGAGTCATCTGAAGGCTTCCTCACTCACACAGCTGGCATTGGTGTTGCCTGTTGGCTGGGATCCCAGCTGGGAGTGCTGGCCTCTGTGTGTGGACTGGGCTTCCTCCTAGCATGGCGGCTGTGTTCTGAGGCCCAGCGTCCTGAGAGAGGTGGGCAGAAGGTGTATTGCCTTTTACGGCCTAGTCTTGTCAGTCGTGTAAGTTTTACCAAACTCACAGGCCAGCCTGGTTTCAAGGAAGGGAACATAGTCCTACCTCTCAACAGGAGGACTATCATTGCCACATTGTAAAAAAGAGCATGCAGGATGGGAGGCCTTATTTTGGCCACCTTGGAAAGTGAAACCTGCCACACATACCTTCCAAGTATGAATAGTAAATCATTGTGTTTTCCTTAAACTTCATCTCTAAGGAGGCCTGCTGGATGATTATTTGTGAATCTAGTGGTCATCACTGTCTGTGTTATGAACTTACAATTAATGAGCATGCATTTTCTTGGACGATAATAATCCATAATTCTGACTTCTTACTATTCAGATTAATCTTCTTCCCACTTTCCCGGTAAGAGTGACTTTGCTGTATTTCGGGGCAGATTCATCCTCCAAGTTACCCTTGCTGCTCCTGAAGCTGAGCAGATTAGCTCCCCAGAAAATAGCATTTTCCCAGAGGTGCAGGTTGATTTTCTCACGTCCCTCTTTCCGCATGGGAAACAGACTGCAGTTGAGATTCACATGCAGCAGCCTTGGGCTATTTCGTTGAGAATCAAATCCGCAGAGATGTGGCATGAAAGGAAAGAAGGCGAGTGCACAGCATGCTCTGGGCTTTCAGGTCACTCAGTGCTCCTCGGAGCCGCACCAGACACAGAAGACAACACAGGCTCCACCTGGGGGACAGGTTCCACACGGTGTGGCCCAGCGTGACAGTGAGGGTTCCTCCCATAACCAGCACGGGGCTCTATGTAAGGCCATTCCCTCCCAAAGGAAACTCTTGCGAGATCATTTTTAAGGCTAGTTTCTAGTCTTCTAGCAACCGGGCTGGGTTAGAATTCATGCATTTTTTTAGACTTCCATCCTCAGCACTGAAGGCCCACTTCTGAGTGTGCTCCAAGCTGTGCCCAGGGCAGGGAGATGATTCAGACACAGCTGTGCCCTCCACAGGTCACAGGTGGGTGGAGAAGAGTCATCCCTGCCCACAGGGACAGTTGGTAACAGGGAAAAGGGAAGAACAGGGCTAAGGGAACCCAGGAAAAGCCCGAGTCAGGTGTTAGAGAAGCAAGCAGCCAGAGTGGGCTGAGGCGGGGGGACGCGGGGGGACGCAAGGGGACGTGGGGTGACGGGAGGCCTCCAGCAGGGGTGCAGCTGTGGAAACCCAAGGAGCGCTGCAAGCAACGTAACTAAGGCTGGGCGGGGAGGGGAAGAGATGAAGCTGAAGTCAGTGGAAACCAGATGGCCAAGGGCCTGGAGAGCCGAGCCAGGGGTGGAACTTCATCCTGAGGGCCGTGGCGAGCTACTAAAGGGATTTCAGGAGGGCAGTAATACCATAAGATTTTGGAGTTTTCATTTTTTGTTTTTTTTTGGTTTCGGGTTTTTTTTTCTGACATGGAGTCTTGCTCTGTCACCCAGGCTGGAGTGCAGTGGCGCAATCTCGGCTCACTGCAACCTTTACCTCCCAGGTTCAAGCAAGCCTCCTGCCTCAGCCTCTTGTGTAGCTGGGACTACAGGCGCCCACCACCATGCCAATTTTTGTATTTTTGTATTTTTAAGTAGAGACAGGATTTTGCTATGTCAGCCAGGCTGGTCTTGAACTCCTGACCTCAGGCGATCTGCCTGCCTTGGCGTCTCAAAGTGCTGCGATTACAGGCGTAAGCCACCAGGCTCAGCTAAGATTTGGGTTTTCAAGGGGTGGTGCTGGCTGCTGGGCACAGTGGAATTGAAGGAAAGAGAAGTGGATTCTGGGGAGGGCATGGTGGCCACTTCAGAAGCTGCAGGATTCAGAGTTTGAGAAGCCCCAGTGTGCATCAGACCCAGCACGTTGAAATGTACCCACTACAAAGAAAAGAAACTTTTTATCTGAGGAAGGCGAGCCCCCTTTAAATGATCAGGCCTAGAGAGGCACTGGAATGAGACAGCTGTCACATCTCACTGCCCCACCTGAGAAAAGAAATCTCCTGAGGCCGCTTGCTGTGTGGGCTCTAGGCTGACTGGTACCAGTAGCTATGGATGAACCTAACAATGCCACACACTGGACACCATAACCCGTGCCCTGTAGTTCAACAACATATAGATAATCACTCATCAATGTTATTTCTGTAAACCGATGAGAATTCCTGAAAAACAATTTCGCAATCGCCCCTTTCCTGATTTGTCCTCTTGTATTTAAAAGCTCGAGCCTCTCTTCTCTGGAGCACTTTCCAAGGTAACTTGGGAGTGCTTCCTGGACTACAGTCCTCAACTGTGGCCCAAATAAACTCTCTACCTGTGTTAATTTCGCTTCCATCTCTTTCTATTGGTCAACACCACAATCTACATTTGAAATGTCATTCTTCCATGCTAGAATATGTATTCGGAAAAAAAATTTTTTAATTTTTTTCTGAAGTTCCTTGGCTGTAATACATTTCATTGACTCTCGGCTGTGATCTGTGGACAATGACTGTGCACACCTACAGACTCACTCCTCATCTTCGTGAGGCTGGGATAAAGGTACACACGGAGGCTGGTCCCACATCTGTAAAGGCCTCACATGCATGGCTACGGGCATCTCGGCCCTCATGTCCGAGCTCCATCCACCCTGCCCCTTAATCAACTCTCCCAACCCCACCCCACCTCAGGTCCAGGATGAACATTCCAGCAGTGTGGTCTGCCCACAGGGGAGACCCAGGGAAGAGGCCTGCACAGTCCTTAGAAAAAGGCTTAGGGTTTGAGGGTGAGGAATCCCAGGATCCCAGACACCTGGTGTGGGCTTCAGGTGGGCTCGTGCCCTTGGCCTTCCCAGCTAAGTGGTTCTGCTGGAGGAGGCAGACCAGAGTGGGACCCTCAAAGTCACAGAGCCCTGGGCCGAGACCCCCAAATGCTCAACTTTAAGGGTGATACTATCCTCAGGAATCCTTGCAAAGTAGGAAAATTGAACCCAGTGATTGTTTTCAAGATAGCTTTATGTTAATACTCAATTTAACCAATTAAAGAAATCGACATAAAATCAACTAACCCCATATGTGGTTTTTTTTTTTTGTTTTTGTTTTTGTTTTTTTTGGCCCCTGACTTTTGTGGAGACCCATGAGATGCTTGGTCCTGAGCCTAACGGATGCAGGGGCCTGGCTGGGACCCAGCTGGGAAGCTGATGCTGTTCTCCAGGTGAGCGCTTTACCAAAGGCTGCTCGGAACACTGCCTGCCTCCAAACTGCTGCTTTCCTAACAGGTCACAAACACTTTGCAAGAAGCTGCAATCCGTCATCCCCTTCTGCTTGCATCCCCCCTCACATCTGCGGGTGGGAGAGAGGACAGAGCAGGGGGAAGCAGGAACTCTGAGGCTCCCACCTGGGGCACCCACACTTTGATGGGCAGGAGGTGCTCCTGGCCCGCTGGGTGGGACCTCTCCCAAGAGGTCCATATGCCAACCTGGACGCTGGGGACACACCGAGCTCTCCCTTAGCCTGACCCACCTTCCTAGAAAGACAGCTCAGGATTCATTTCTGCCCAGGGCTTTCGTCGTGCATGAGAAGTCCCTTCTGCCTTCTATTTTCTCTGCTCCAGGAAACCTCTCTCCGCAGCCCGAATTCATGACTTCGAACTTTTCCAAGACTTCCAGCACCAAAGACTCAGGACTGACTGATTTTCTCAATATACTACTCCCCCAACTCCACCTTTGGACTCCCAGTCAATCTCCCTCCCGCTTTTTCCCCCTGTAAAAAACCTAAACTGCTCAGTTCTTCTCCCTCAACCCCCAGATCACATCAGCCCCTTTGAGAGCTCCACTATGGTCCACCACCTCCAGCAGAGCCACTTAGCTGGGAAGGCCAAGGGCACAAGCCCACCTGGAGCCCACACCGGGTATCTGGGATCCTGGAATTCCTCACCCACAAATGCTAACCCTAATTTTAGAACCTGATCACAAAGGATTTCATCCTTGGAAGAAACTGGTCCAGCAATCTCGATTTCGACATGAGTCTGGAAAGGATCTTGAGTGCCACGTGGGTCCCACTGGGGTCCCACTGGGGGTCTCCTCCCAGTGGCTCCTGCTCCCTCCTGGCACGGCTGGCCTTTGCTCTGCACCTCCACTCTGCTCTTGTGGTCCCTTTGGCTAGTCCTTGTGGAGGGGCCCCAGGAGACAGTGGGGAAAGCACAGGCTCCCCCCAAAAGACTCCAATGTGAGCTCAGCCTAGTCATGTGACCCTAGACAAGCTTTTCACTTTCCTGGACCCCACAGCACAAGTAACCGCCCCTGCTGTTATGGGTTGAGTTGTGTTCCCCCAAAAAAGATCTGTTGCAGTCCTAACCCCCAGAACCTGAAAATGTGACCATATTTGGGCATAGGGTCTTTACAGAGGTCATCAAGGTAAAGTGAGGTCATTAGGATGGGCCCTAGTGTGATACGATTGGTGTCCCTACAAAAAGGGGAAATTTGGACACGGAAACAGACAGGCATTGAGGGAAGATGATGTGAAGAAACACAGGGAGAAGATGTCATCTACAAGCCACAGACAGAGGCCCAGAGCAGACCCTGTCACTGCCTTCAGAAGGAGCCAGCCCTGCCAATGCCTCGATCTTGGACTTCCAGCCTCCAGAGCTGTCAGACAATAAACATCTGCTGTTTCAGCCCCCATCTGTGGGACTTTCTTAAGGCAGCCCTAGCAACAAACCCACCTGCCTTGTTGACTTCCTGAAACGAGACAGCCACACGGTGGTGCTGTGTAAAGGGCAAGTGCCACGGATTCATTCATGCCATGAGCAATCATTGAGCACCAACAGTGTACCAGGGACCATGCCTGAGCACTAGGGGTCTGCACCACCAACTTATATAAAGTCCTTTACTTGCTTCCTTTACATAAGTTATTCTCCCAGCCACCATGTAAACGGAATCATCTAAGACTGCTACAGTCCTCACAGCTCCTAGCTAATCATTAAGCACATTGTAGGTGCTTAATAAATGCCTAAATAATTGACTTAATACAGATTCGTAATGGCTACAAATTATTCAGTGTACAAGTCTGAACGTGGGTGTGCTGAATATTTTACAGTCTTCAGCAACATCCAGAAGAACTAATCATAGTTTGGGTCCAAAATAACCTCATTTATTTAGCGCCACGACAGGCTTGGCCTGTTCTGTAGGGTGTAGAATATTGAGCCCGAAGGGATGGCATCTCGTTTGCTTTCATGACCTCCTCCCCTCTTGCATGGATACAGATCATGGCTTTAGACAATTTTTGAGGTGAGGTTACATTTTCTGGGTGTAGCCAACTGCAGATAAAAGATATTTTCTGTAATGCATCATGCAGGATCTTAATAATTCTAGGAGCTCATTTGAAAGTCATTTTAAACTGGCCTTTTGAGAGTTCTGCATTATTAGAAAGAAAGGGAGAGGAGAGGGGGGAAGTGGAAAGGGGGAGGGGAAGTGGGGAAAGGAGAACACAGAGAGGGGAGAGGGAGAAAAGGAAGGAAGGAAGAGAGGGAGAAAGAAATCAGTCCCTACAGCATGTGGACATTGTGTGCTGCTGGGCAGAAGGTTTTCAGCACGACAAGAATGAGAATGCCAAGCGCATAAATTATAATGCCGTCTTTTCCCTGCAAACAGTGAATAATTATAGATGCCAAGTGTCTCAGTGAAATCTGCTGGGCATATGGCCCCTTTTTGTCTTCATGCCACTTTTCTTTGCTCCTTCAGGGCAAAGAAGCCAGCATGAATTAGCACCTGGCCACAGTATCCTGACCTGTGAGAAAAAAATGAGGGCATGTTTTCAATTTCCAGGGAAGTATACATCCATGTTTGATTCAAAACATATTTACTGAGTACCTAAAATATCCCAGGTCCTGTGGAAATACAGGAAGGGCTCGTCACACAAGGAGTGCACAACCTTAACTGACAGCCCAGCACCACAATCGTTTATTGAGTGACTACTGTACACCAGGTGCTGTGCTAGGTTGGGGGTGCAGATGGAGGCACCAAGATGAATATTCCATCATTCCTGCCCCCAAAGGGATTATAGATTCATGAAAAGGGAGATTCATAACGAATCACGTCTTTTCCTTTCATTCTCATAGCAGTCTACAAAGGCGGCACAATCATTCGCCCACCTTGCAGATGCAGCAACTGTGGCATGCAGTTTCAGTCACTTCCTTGCAAAGGGGACTAGGAAGTGGAGGAGGTGGGTGTGAACATAGCCTGGCTGTGCACACTGGGCTGACGTGGTCGTCTCAGCACAATGGAGCAGGAGGTGAGGGTTGTACACAGGCAAGCAGCCTGCAAGGATTCAGGAGAGGACAGAGAAAACACTTCCCAGAAGTGCAGAGATGCTGTCCTTGGAATCCAGAGGAGGGAGTGATTCCAACAGGAAGACTGACAGAGGCATTTGGAATGGGGTGGAACTTCAGTAGGTGAGGAAGTTGGGAAAGGCCAGTGCAGAGGCAGGCAAGAGCAGAGGCAGGCCCATGGGGGCTGGGGATGCCAGGGAGGATGAGGGGCCTTGCGGGATGCAGAGGGAGTGGAAGCAAAGTTGGAGCTCAGAGGGTCCTGCTGGCCTGCTGAAGAGCTGGATGCATCTTATTTGTGCTGTCTTAGTCAGTTTCACACTGCTATAAAGACACTACCTGAGACTGGGTAACGTATAAACAAAAGAGGTTTAATTAACTCACAGTTCAGCATGGCTGGGGAGGCCTCAGGAAACTTACAATCATGGCAGAAGGTGGAGGGGAAGCAAGGCATTTCTTACCATGTGAAGCAGGAGAGAGAGAGCATGCAGGAAAAACTACCAGTTTTAAACCATCAGATCTCATGAGAGCTCCCTCACTATCATGAGAACAGCATGGGGGAAACTGTCCCCATGATCCAACGACCTCCCACCAGGTCCCTCCCTCAACACATGGAGATTACAATTTGAGATGAGATTTGGGTGGGGACACAGAGCCAAACCATGTCATTCCACCCCGGCCCCTCCCAAATCTCGTGTCCTCTTCACATTTCAAAACCAATCATGTCTTCCCAACAGTTCCCCGAAAGTATTAACTCATTCCAGCATTAACTCAAAAGTCCAAGTCCAAAGTCTCATCTGAAATAAGGCAAGTCCCTTCTGCCTTGCCTTCATGAGCCTGTAAGATCAAACACAATTTAGCTGCTTCCAAGATACAATGGGGGTAAAGGCATTGGGTAAATGTTCCCATTCCAAATAGGAGAAATTCACCAAAACAAAGGGGCCACAGGCCCCTTGCAAGTCCAAAACCAGGCAGAGCACTTATTAAATCTTAAAGCTCCAGAATGACCTTCTTTGACTCCATGTCTCACATCCAGAGCATGCTCATGCAAGGAGTGGGCTCCCAAGGCCTTGGGCAGCTCCACTCCTGTGGCTTTACAGGGTACAGCCCCCATGGCTGCTTTCACAGGCTGGCATTGAGTGCCTGCAGCTTTTCCAGGTGCATAGTGCAAGCCATCAGTGAATCTACCATTCTGGAGCCTGAAGGACAGTGGCTGTCTTCTCATAGCTCCATGAGGCAGTGCCCCAGTGGGGACTCTGTGCAGGGGCTCCAACCCCACATTTCCCCTCTGCATTGCCCTAATAGAGGTTCTCCATGAGGGCTCCAGCCCTCTGCAGACTTCTGCCTGGACATCCAGACATTTCAAATCCTCTGAAATTTAGGCGGAGGCTCCCAAAGCTCAACTCTTGTCTTCTGCACACCCAAAGGCCTAACACCATGTGGAAGCTGCCAAGGCTTGGGCTTGCAACTTCTGAGGCCATGGCCCGAGCTGCACCTTGGTCCCTTCTAGCCATGGCCGGAGATGCAGTGGTTGTTGGGACACAGGACACCAACTCCTGAGGCTGCACAGAGCAGCAGAGCCCTATGCCCAGCCCAGGAAACCATTTTTCCATCCTAGGTCTCCAGGCTTTGATGGGAGGGGCTGCCATGAAGGTCTCTGACAAGCCCTGGAGACATCTTCTCCATTGTATTGGCTACTAACTTTCAGCTCCTCATTGCTTATGCAAATTTCTGCAGCTGGCTTGAATTCCTCCCCAGAAAATGGGTTTTTCTTTTCTACATGGTCAGGCTGCAAATTTTCCAAACCTTTATGCTCTGCTTCCCTTTTAAACATAAGTTCCCATTTCAAACCATCTATTTCTGAATGCATATAACTGAACACTTTCAGAATGAGCCAGGTCACATCTTGAATACTTTGCTGCTTAGAAATTTCTTCCACCAGATATCCTAAATCATCTCTCTCAAAGTTCAAAGTTCCACAGATCTTTAAAGCAGGGGCAAAATGCCACCAGTCTCTTCGCTAAAGCATAGCCTGAGTGACCTTTACTCCAGTTCCCAACAGGTTCCTGTTCTTCATCTGAGACCACCTCAGCCTGGACTTCACTGTCCATATCACTATCAATATTTTGGTCAAAACCATTCAACAAGTCTCTAGGAAGTTCCAAACTTTCCCACATCTTCCTGTCTTCTTCTGAGCCCTCCAAATTGTTCTAACCTCTGCCCATTACTCAGTTCCAAAGTCACTTACACATTTTCAAGCTATTCTTTTTTCTTTTTTTTTTTTTGAGACAGAGTCTCACTCTGTCACCCAGGCTGGAGTGCAGTGGTGCAATCTTGGCACACTGTAACCTACACCTCCCAGGTTCAAGCGATTCTCATGCCTCAGCCTCCCAAGTAGCTGGGGTTACAGGCATGGGCCACCACCCCCAGCTAATTTTTTTTTTTTGTATTTTTAGTAGAGACGGGGTCTCACCATGTTGCCCAGGCTGGTCTCAAACTCCTGAGCTCAGGGAATCCATCCACCTTGCCCTCCCAAAGTGCTAGGATTACAGGCGTGAGCCACCGCAGCCAGCCTCAGATTATGTTTATAGCAGTGCCCCACTTCCAGTACCAATTCTGTGTATTAGTCCATTTTCACACTGCTATAAAGACACTACCTGAGAGTGGGTAATTTATAAACAAAAGAGGTTTAATTGACTCACAGTTCCACATAGCTGGGAAGGCCTCAGGAAACTTACAATCGCGACAGAAGGCAAAAGGGAAGCAAAGCATGTCTTGCCACAGCAAAGCAGAAGAAAGAGCACAGGAAAAACTGCCACAAAACTGCCACTTTTAAAACCATCAGATCTCATGAGAACTCCCTCAGTATCACGAGAACAGCATGGGGGAAGCTGCCCCCACAATCCAATCACCTCCCACCAGGTCCCTCCCTCAACATGTGGGGATTACAACTCAAGATGAGATTTGGGTGTGGACACAGAACCAAACCATATCAGTGCTATTGAAGGTGCCTGAGGAGGGATGTGGCATGATCCAGCCCATGTAGAGGACAGTAACTGGTAACCACAGGCAGAATTCATTACAGAAGGGAATCAGGTAAGAAATCATCAGAGATATGGGATCATTTAAAACAACTATTGATCCTCCAACTGGGTACACCAAAAGGGTAACTAGGATGATGCTATGAGGGAGGAAGATGAAACAAAAAAGCAGTTTCCCAGGTAGAAGCATCCATAAGGTCCAGGGCAGTGAGTTAAGGGTGCCACCACTTGCTCACAGTACGTTGAGTGAAACTCAGATGCAAAACTAGGTTTAGTATAATTACATATGTGTCAATGAAAAAAATGCATACAGGCTGGGCACAGTGGCTCACACTTGTAATCCCAGAACTTTGGGAGGCTGAGGTGGGTGGATCACTTGAGGTCAGCAGTTCAAGACCAGCCTGTGAGCATGGCCAACATGGTGAAACCCCATCTGTACTAAAAACACAAAAAATTAGCCAGGCGTGGTGGTGCACGCCTGTAATTCCAGCTACTCAGGAGGCTGAGACACTAGAATTGCTTGAACCCAGGAGCCTTTGCAATGAGCCAAGATCATGCCACTCCACTCCAGCCTGGGCAACAGAGCAAGACTGTCTCAAAAACAAAACAAAAAACAAATTTAAAAATGCATACGAAAAAGTGGAAACATATACACAAAATGAGAACAATAATTGCCTTTAGGAGATGGGATTATAAATTTTTTTAACTTTCCTTTCTCTTGTTTACCTGCACTTGCTAAGGTTTGTGCAGTAAATATTTTACTTTTGGAGTCAGTTAAGTTTTGAAAAAGGCAGAAAAAGCCCACAACTGTAACAGGTTCGTCCTCTCCGTAGCAAAGCTGATTCAAACAGCAGTCTTTGAACACAGTAGTATCACGCTGGTTGGTATCGTCTCGGTAGCAGAATGAGAACACAAAATCATCTAGGGCAATAGGAGCAGCAATGTGTAGCAGAGAAAATAGCCCAAGTCAAATTTATGTCCAGCCAAGACCACTAATGAAAGCTGAAAACTAGCATCCTTGCTTCCTCTGCCCACCCCATCCCATCCCACCTTCACATACATCCGCCCACACCCATTAGCCAGAGCATTCCTTTGATGGCCTAAGTTAGATGTCGTCTATGCCCCAGGGCCTTTGCACCAGCTGGTCCTCAGGTGCCAGTGCTCTCTCCCAGTGTCTCACGTGGCTGACTCCTTTGTCAGGTCCCAGTTCAAATTTACCTTCTCAGAGCAACCTTCCCTGACCATCGTAGCTAATATAGCCAACACCCTCTAGCAGGCACCCCATAGAGTCTAATCCAGCTTTGTCCATAGAATTTTCTGTGACAATAAGACTCTTCTGTGTCTATGCTGTCAACTCGCCACATGTGGCTATAAGCACTCAAAATACGGCTAGTGTTAATTAAACATGGAATTTTACATTTTATTTCATTTTTTATTATACATAAGTTCTAGGGTATATGTGCACAATGTACAGGTTTGTTACATAGGTATACATGTGCCATGTGGGTTTGCCGCACCCATTAACTCGTCATTTACATTAGGTATTTCTCCTAATGCTATCCCTCCCCCTGCCCTCCACCCCACGACAGGCCCTGGTTTGTGATGTTCCCCACCCTGTGTCCAAGTGTTCTCATTGTTCAATTCCCACCTATGAGTGAGAACATGCAGTGTTTGGTTTTCTGCCCTTGTGATAGTTTGCTCAGAATGATGGTTTCCAGCTTTATCCATGTCCCTGCAAAGGACACGAACTCATCCTTTTTTATGGCTGCATAGTATTCCATGGTGTATATGCGCCATTTTCTTAATCCAGTCTATCACTGATGGACATTTGGGTTGTTCCAAGTTTTCGTTATTGTGAATAGTGCCGCAATAAACATACGTGTGCATGTGTCTTTACAGTAGCATGATTTATAATCCTTTGGGTATATACCCAGTAATAGTATCTCTGGGCCAAATGGTATTTCTAGTTCTAGCTCCTTGAGGAATTGCCACACTGTCTTCCACAATGGTTGAACTAGTTTACACTCCACCAACAGTGTAAAAGCGTTCCTATTTCTCCACATCCTTTCCAGCATCTGTTGTTTCCTGACTTTTTAATGACTGCCATTCTAACTGGTGTGAGATGCTGTCTCACTGTGGTTTTGATTGCATTTGTCTGATGACCAGTGACGATGAACATTTTTTCATGTGTCTGTTGGCTGCATAAATGTCTTCTTTTGAGAAGTGTCTGTTCATATCCTTTGCCCACTTTTTGATGGGGTTGTTTTTTTTCTTGTAAATTTGTTTAAGTTCTTTGTAGATTCTGGATATGAGCCCTTTGTCAAATGGGTAGATTGCAAAAATTTTCTCCCATTCTGTAGGTGGCCTGTTCACTCTGATGGTAGTTTCTTTTGCTGTGCAGAAGCTGTTTAGTTTAATTAGATCCCATTTGTCTATTTTGGTTTTGTTGCCATTGCTTTTGGTGTTTTAGTCATGAAATTGCACATGCCTATGTCCTGAATGGTATTGCCTAGGTTTGCTTCTAGGGTTTTTATGGTTTTAGGTATAACATTTAAGTCTTTAATCCATCTTGAATTAATTTTTGTATAATGTGTAAGGAAGGGATCCAGTTTCAGCTTTTTACATATGGCTAGCTAGTTTTCCCAGCACCATTTATTAAATAGGGAATCCTTTCCCCATTTCTTGTTTTTGTTGGTTTGTCAAAGATCAGATGGTTGTAGATGTGTGGTGTTATTTCTGAGGCCTCTGTTCTGTTCCATTGGTCTATCTCTCTGTTTTAGTACCAGTACCATGCTGTTTTGGTTACTGTAGCCTTGTAGTATAGCTTGAAGTCAGGTAGCGTGATGCCTCCAGATTTGTTCTTTTGGCTTAGGATTGTCTTGGCAATGCAGGCTCTTTTTTGGTTCCATATGAACTTTAAAGTAGTTTTTTCCAATTCTGTGAAGAAAGTCATTGGTAGCTTGATGGGGATGGCATTGAATCTATAAATTACTTTGGGCAGTATGGCCATTTTCACGATATTGATTCTTCCAACCCATGAGCATGGAATGTTGTTCCATTTGTTTGTATTCTCTTTATTTCCTTGAGCAGTGGTTTGTAGTTCTCCTTGAAGAGGTCCTTCACATCCTTTGTAAGTTGGATTCCTAGGTATTTTATTCTCTTTGTAGCAGTTGTGAATGGGAGTTCACTCATGATTTGGCTCTCTGTTTGTGTGTTAATGGTGTATAGGAATGCTTGTGATTTTTGCACACTGATTTTGTATCCTGAGACTTTGCTGAAGTTGCTTATCAGCTTAAGGAGATTTTGGGCTGAGAACAGTGGGGTTTTCTAAATATACAATCATGTCATCTGCAAACAGGGACAATTTGACTTCCTCTTTTCCTAATTGAATACCCTTTATTTCTTTCTCTTGCCTGACTGTCCTGGCCAGAACTTCCAACACTGTGTTGAATAGGAGTGGTGAGAGAGGGCATCCCTGTCTTGTGCCACTTTTCAAAGGGAATGCTTCCAGTTTTTGCCCGTTCAGTATGATATTGGCCGTGGGTTTGTCATAAATAGCTCTTATTATTTTGAGATACATTCCATCAATACCTAATTTATTGAGAGTTTTTAGGATGAATGGTTGTTGGATTTTGTCAAAGGCCTTTTCTGCATCTATTGAGATAATCATGTGGTTTTTGTCATTGGTTCTGTTTATGTGATGGATTGCATATATTGATTTGCATATGTTGAACCAGCCTTGCATCCCAGGGATGAAGCTGACTTGATCGTGGTAGATAAGCTTCTTGATGTGCTGCTGGATTCAGTTTGCCAGTATTTTATTGAGAATTTTCACATCGATGTTCATCAGGGATATTGGTCTAAAATTGCCTTTTTTGTTGTGTCTCTGCCAGGCTTTGGTATCAGGATGATGTTGGCCTCATAAAATGATTTAGGGAGGATTCCCTCTTTTTCTATTGATTGGAATCGTTTCAGAAGGAATGGTACCAGCTCCTCTTTGTACCTCTGGTAGAATTCAGCTGTGAATCTATCTGGTCCTGGACTTTTTTTGGTTGGTAGGCTATTAATTATTGCCTCAATTTCAGAGCCTGTTATTGGTCTATTCAGAGATTCAACTTCTTCCTGGTTTGGTCTTGGGAGGGTGTATGTGTCCAGGAATTTATCCATTTCTTCTAGATTTTCTAGTTTATTCTCTGATGGTAGTTTGTATTTCTGTGGGATCTGTGGTGATATCCCCTTTATCATTTTGTATTGCATCTATTTGATTCTTCTCTCTTTTCTTCTTTATTAGTCTTGCTAGTGGTCTATCAATTTTGTTGATCTTTTCAAAAAACCAGCTCCTGGATTCATTGATTTTTTGAAGGTTTTTTTGTGTCTCTATCTACTTCAGTTCTGCTCTGATCTTAGTTATTTCTTGCCTTCTGCTAGCTTTTGAAGTTTGCTCTTGCTTCTCTAGTTCTTTTAATTGAGATGTTAGGGTGTTGATTTTAGATCTTTCCTCTTTCTCTTGTGGGAATTTAGTGTTAAAAATTTCCCTCTACACACTGCTTTAAATGTGTCCCAGAGATTCTGGTACATTGTGTCTTTGTTCTCATTGGTTTCAAAGAACATCTTTATTTCTGCCTTCATTTCATTATTTACCCAGTAGTCATTCAGGAGCAGGTTGTTCAGTTTCCATGTAGTTGTGTGGTTTTGAGTGAATTTCTTAATCCTGAGTTCTAATTTGATTGCACTGTAGTCTAAGAAACAGTTTGTTGTGATTTCTATTCTTTTACATTTGCTGAGGAGTGCTTTACTTCCAACTATGTGGTCAGTTTTGGAATAACTGTGATGTGGTGCTGAGAAAAATGTATATTCTGTTGATTTGAGGGGAGAGTTCTGTAGATGTCTATTAGGTCTGCTTGGTGCAGAGCTGAGTTCAAGTCCTGGATATCGCTGTTAACCTTCTGTCTCATTGATCTGTCTAATATTGACAGTGGGGTGTTAAAGTCTCCCATTATTATTGTGTGGGAGTCTAAGTCTCTTTGTAGGTCTCTAAGGACTTGCTTTATGAATCTGAGTGCTACTGTATTGGGTGCATATATATATTTAGGATAGCTCTTCTTGTTGAATTGAATTGATCCCTTTACTATTATGTAATGGCCTTCTTTGTCTCTTTTGATCTTTGTTGGTTTCAAATCTGTTTTATCAGAGACGAGGATTGCAACCTCTGCTTTTTTTTTTGCTTTCCGTTTGCTTGGTAGATCTTCCTCCTTCCCTTTATTTTAAGCCTATGTGTGTCTCTGCACGTGAGATGGCTCTCCTGAATACAGCACACTGATGGGTCTTGACTCTTTATCCAATTTGCCAGTCTGTGTATTTTAATTGGGGCATTTAGCCCATTTACATTTAAGGTTAATATTGTTATGTGTGAATTTGATCCTGTCATTATGATGTTAGCTGGTTATTTTGCCCGTTAGTTGATGCAGTTTCTTGCTAGCATCGATGGTCTTTACAATTTGGCATGTTTTTGCAGTGGCTGGTACCAGTTGTTCCTTTCCACGTTTAGTGCTTCCTTCAGGAGCTCTTGTAAGGCAGGCCTGGTGGTGACAAAATCTCTCAGCATTTGCTTGTCTGTAAAGGATTGTATTTCTTCTTCACTTATGAAGCTTAGTTTGGCTGGATATGAAATTCTGGGTTGAAAATTCTTTCCTTTAAGAATGTTGAATATTGGCCCCCACTGTCTTCTGGCTTGTAGGGTTTCTGCTGAGAGATCCGCTGTTAGTCTGATGTGCTTCCCTTTATGGGTAACCCAATCTTTCTCTCTGGCTGCCCTTAACATTTTTTCCTTCATTTCAACCTTGATGAATCTGACAATTATATGTCTTGGGGTTGCTCTTCTCGAGGAGTATCTTTGTGGTGTTCTCTGTATTTCCTGAATTTGAATGTTGGCCTGCCTTGCTAGGTTGGGGAAGTTCTCCTGGATAATATCCTGAAGAGTGTTTTCCAACTTGGTTCCATTCTCCCTGTCACTTTCAGGTACACCAATCAAATGTAGATTTGGTCTTTTCACATAGTCCCAAATTTCTTGGAGGCTCTGTTCATTTCTTTTTACTCTTTTTCTCTAAACTTCTCCTCTCGCTTTATTTCATTAATTTGATCTTCAATCAGTGATACCCTTTCTTCCACTTGATCTAATCGGCTATTGAAGCTTAGGTATGTGTCACGTAGTTCTCATGCCATGGTTTTCAGCTCCATCAGGTTATTTAAGGTCTTCTCTACACTGCTTATTCTAGTTAGCCATTCATCTAATATTTTTCCAAGGTTTTTAGCTTCCTTGCAATGGGTTCAAACATCCTGTTTTAGCTCGGAGAAGTTTGTTATTACAGACTTTCTGAAGCCTACTTCTGTCGGCTCGTCAAAGTCATTCTCTGTCCAGCTTTGTTCCATTGCTGGTGAGGAGCTGTGATCCTTTGAAGGAGAAGAGGTGCTCTGGTTTCAGAATTTTTAGCTTTTCTGCTCTGGTTTCTCCCCATCTTTGTGGTTTTATCTACCTTTGGTCTTTGATGCTGGTGACCTACAGATGGGGTTTTGGTGTGGATGTCCTTTTTGTTGATGTTGATGCTATGCCTTTCTGTTTGTTAGTTTTCCTTCTAAGAGTCAGGTCCCTCAGGTGCAGGTCTGTTGGAGTTTGCTGGAGGTCCACTCCAGACTCTGTTTGCCTGGGTTTCACCAGCATAGGCTGCAGAACAGCAAATATTGCAGAACAGCAAATATTGCTGCCTGATCCTTCCTCTGGAAGCTTCATCCCAGAGGGGCAACCTCCTGTATGAGGTGTCAGTCGGCCCCTACTGGGAGGTGTCTCCCAGTTAGGCTACATGGGTGTCAGGGACCCACTTGAGGAGGCAGTCTGTCTGTTCTCAGAGCTCAAACACCGTGCTGGGAGAACCACTGCTCTCTTGAGAGCTGTCAGACAGGGACGTTTAAGTCTGCAGAAGTTTCTGCTGCCTTTTGTTCAGCTATGCCCTGCCCCCCCCCAGAGGTGGGGTCTACAGAGGCAGCAGGCCTTGCAGAGCTGTGGTGGGCTCCTCCCAGTTTGAGCTTCACTACTCAAGGGAAGCTTTGTTTACCTACTTTGTTTACCTACTCAAGCCTCAGCAATGGCAGACACCCCTCCCACTACCAGGCTGCTGCCTCGCAGGTCAATGTCAGACTGCTGTGCTAGCAGTGAGCAAGGCTCCTTGGGCTTGGGACCCGCCAAGCCAGGCATGGGATATAACCTCCTGGTGTGCCGTTTGCTAAGAACATTGGAAAAGTGCAGTATTTGGGTGGGAGTGTCCCGATTTTCCAGGTACAGTCTGTCATGGCTTCCCTTGGCTAGGAAAGGGAAATCCCCTGACCCCTTGTGTTTCCCCAGTGAGGTGATGCCCCACCCTGCTTCAGCTCGCCCTCCATGGGCTGCACCCACTGTCCAACCAGTCCCAATGAGATGAACCAGGTACCTCAGTTGGAAATGCAGAAATCACCATCTTCTGCATTGATCACACTAGGAGCTGCAGACCAGAGCTGTCCCTATTCAGCCATCTTGGAACAGAATCTCTCATTTTCACTAATTGAAAAGTAAATGTCTATGTGGCAAGTGGCTAGCATAATAGACAGCATAGGCCAAACCATTACCCACTTGTTTCTGTTTTCATAGCATATCACTGTCTGAAATGATCTTTCTCAACTGTTTACAAATTTACAGTTTGTCTTCCCCCATTAGAATGTAGGTTTTGGGACTGGACCCATCTGTTGTTAGTCATAAGCTAATTTACTGTGAGTTAGAACTCATTTACAAGCCTGTAGCACATGCTGTTACATACCTGAAATTGTAGGAAATTTTCATCTTCAAGTCTGGATTTGATATCTACAAGAGCCAAGAGTAATGTGTGTCAAGTTGCATAAGGTAGAGACTAATGTCTGGGTTTACTTCTGTTTAAGACAGCAGCACCGAACACAGGGCTCATGCCTGTAATCCTAGCACTTTGGGAGGCTGAGGCAGGTGGATTGCTTGAGCCCAGGAGTTCGAGACCAGCCTGGCCAACATGGCAGAACCCCATCTCTACTAAAAATACAAAAATTAGCCAGGCGTAATGGTGCACGCCTGTAATTCCAGCTGTAATTCCAGCTACTCAGGAGGCTGAGGCAAGAGAATCACTTGAACCCGGGAGGCAGAGGCTATAGTGAGCTCAGATCATGCCACTGCAATCCAGCCTGGGCGACAGAGCGAGACTCTGTCTAGAAAAAGAAAGCAAACTGGCAATGAAGTGAAGTAATAGCAACAAACTAGGGCAATAAAGTCATCAAAACTTATTATTCCAAAAAGATACTCTAAAAATCTGAGAAAAGCACATAGTTATAAAAGGTACATCACCTTCCAAAGTAAAGAACTATTCCTCAAAAAGGAAATTTGTTTGGCCATAAAATTTATAACATTCATTCTAAGAAGGCAGCCTCATTGAATCAGTAATCAAAAGCCTCACAACAATGAAAAACTCAGGCTTAGATGGCATCATTGGTGAATTCTACCAAACATTTAAGGAATTTACACAAACCCTCCTCAAACTCTTCCACAAAATTGAAGAGGAGGGAACACTTCGTAGCTCATTCTATGAAGCTAGCATGATACTAAATTCAGACAAAGACATTATAAAGAAAGAAAACTACAGACCAATATCTCTGATGAATATCAGTGCAACAAGCCTCAATAAAATACTAGCAAACAGAATTCAACGGCACATTAAAAGGATTATACCCCATGACCAAATGGGATTTATTCTTGGAATGCAAGAATGGTTCAACATACAAAAATCAATCACTGTAACACACTACATTAACAGAATGAAGGAAAACAACCCCATGATTATCTCAATTGGTGCATAAAAGGCATTTGCTAAAATTCAACATATTTTCATTATAAAAAAAAACACCCAATAAACTAGGATTAGAAGAAAACCACCCCAATATAATGAGGGTTGTACATAAACAGCCAACAACTAACATCATACTTAATGGTGAAAGACTGAAAGTTTTTCCTCTAGGATTAGAAATGAGGTAAAGATGCTTATTTTGCCACTGTTATTCAACATAGCACTGGAAGTCCTACACAGAACAATTAAACAAGAAAAAGAAATCAAGGCATCCAAATTGGAAAGGAAGAAGTAAAATTGTTTCCACTTGCAGATGATAAGATTACACACACACACACACACACACACACACACACAGACACACACACAAACACATAAAACAAATCCTGTTAGAACTAATCAATGAGTTCAGCAAAGTTGCAGGATACCAAATCAACCCACAAAATCAGTTGTGTTTCTTACACTAAAAATGAAGAATCCAAAAGGGAAATTAAGAAAACAATTCCATTTACAACAGCATAAAAAGAATAAAATTATCAGGAATAAACTTAACCAAGGAGGCAAAAGACTTGTACACTGGAAACTACAAAATGTTGCTGAAAAAAATTAAAGACAACTAAATGGAAATACATCCTGTGTTCATGAGTTTGGAAGGCTTAATAGTTAAGGTGTTCATGCTACCCAATGTGACCTATATATTTAATGCAATTCATACCAAAATTCTAATGGCAGTTTTTGCAGAGGAAAACTCCACCTTAAAATTCATATGGAATCTAAAGGGATGCTGAATAGCCACAACAGTCTTGGAAAAGAAGACCAAAGTTGGAGGACTCACACTTCCTGATTTCAAAACATACTACAGACATCAAAACAGTGTGGTACTGGGATAAAGACAGATATATAGACCAATGTAATAGAATAGAGAGCACAGAAACAAAATGTCAAATGATTTTTGAAAAAGGTGCCAAGACCAATCAATGGGGAAAGGACAGTCTCTTCAACAAATGGTGCTGTGAAAATTGGATATGCAATGCAAAAGAATGAAGTTGGACCCTTACCCTATACCATACACAAAAATCAACTCAAAATGAACCAAAGACCTAAATATGGGAGCTAAAACTGTAAAACTCTTAGAAGAAAACATAGGGGAAAAGCCTCATGACATTGGATTTGGCAATGATTTCTTGGATTTGACACCAAAAGCACAGGTAACAAAAGTAAAAATAGATAAATTGGACTACATCAAAATTTAAAATTCCTGTAAATCAAAGGATATAATTAACAGACTGAAAGGCAACCTACAGAATAGGAGAGAAAATATTTGTAGATCATATATCTGATAAGGAATTAATATCCAGAATATATAAAGAATTACTACAATACAACAACAACAGCAGGAAGAAAAAACAAATAACCCAATTTAAAAATAGGCAAAGGACTTGAATAGACATTCCTCCAAAGAGGATATACAAGTGGCCAAAAAGCATATGAAAAGATGCTCAACATCACTAATCATTATGGAAATACAAATCAAAACCATAATGAGATATCATCTCACACCTATTAGGATGGCTACTACTGAAAAAACAAAACATAACAAGTGTTGGTGAGGATGTGGAGAAAGGGGAACCTTGTATATGGTTGGTAGCAATATAAAATGGTGCAGGCTCTATAGAAAATAATATGGAGGCTCCTCAAAAAATTAAAAATAGAATTACCATATGATTGAAGAATTCCACTTCTGGGTATGATACGGTTTGGCTCTGTGTCTCTACCCAAATCTCATGTAAAACTGTAATCCCCACATGTTGGAGGAGGGACCTGGTGGGAGGTGATTGACTCATGGGGTTGTATTTCCCCCTTGTTGTTCTTGTGATAGTGAGTTCTCACGAGATCTGGTTGTTTAAAAGTGTGTAGCACCTCCCCCTTCTCTCTCTCTCTCCTGCCACCATGTGAAGACGTGCTTGCTTCCCCTTCACCCTTCTGCCATGATTGTAAGTTTTGTGAGGTGCCCCCACCCCCCATAGCCATGCCTTCTGTACAGCCTGCAGAACTGTGAGTCAATTAAATCTATTTTCTTTATAAATTACCCAGTCTCAGGCAGTTCTTTATAGTAGTGTGAGAATAAACTAATCCAGGGTTATATACCCAAAAGAATTGAAAGCAGGGTCTCAAAGACATATTTGCACACCCATGTTAATAGTATGGAATTAGACCACTACTTCTCCTGCTGACCTTCTCATCTTTTCCACACCCCCCATCCCCGTTTCCCTAGTTTATAAGACAGGAGAAAAAGGAGAAAGCAAAAAGTTGGAAAGAAACAGAAGTAAGATAAATAGCTAGATGACCTTGGCGCTACCACCTGGCCCTGGTGGTTAAAATAATAATAATAATATTAACCCCTGACCAAAACTACTTGTGTTAGCTGTAAATTCCAGACATTGTATGAGAAAGTACTGTAAAACTTTTGGTTCTGTTAGCTGATGCATGTAGCCCCCAGTCACATTGCCCACGCTTGCTTGACCTATCACGACCCTTTCACATGTACCCCTTAGAGTTGTAAGCCCTTAAAAAGGCCAGGAATTTCTTTTTCCAGGAGCTCGGCTCTTAAGATGTAAGTCTGCCAATGCTCCCAGCCAAATAAACCTCTTCCTTCTTTAATCTGGTGT
This sequence comes from Homo sapiens, assembly GCF_000001405.40. Lineage (NCBI taxonomy): Eukaryota > Metazoa > Chordata > Mammalia > Primates > Hominidae > Homo > Homo sapiens. The sequence goes on from NC_000014.9 coordinate 101,754,375, forward strand.
CTGAGGAGTTTTGCCTGTGGCTTGCCCTGCTACAATAGCAGCATTGTTCACAATAGCCAAGAGGTGGAAGCATCCAAAGTGTCCACCTACAGATGAATGAATAAACAATACAATACATGAATATTCATACAATGGAATATCAGCCTTAAAAAGGAAGGAAATTCTGACACATGCTACAACATGGATGAACCTTGAGGATATTATGCTAAGTGAAATAAGCCAATCGCAAAAGGACAAATACTGCATAATTCCACATTTGAGGCACCTGGAGTAGTCAGTCATTGAGACAGAAAGTAGAATGGTGGTTGCCAGGGGCTGGAGAGGGGCAATGAGGAGCGGTTCGGTTGGAACAGATATGAGTTTGGGAAGATGAAAGTTCTGTAGGTGGATGGTGATGATGTTTGCACAACAATGTGAATGTATTTAACATCTTAGAACTGTACACTTAAAAAGGTTAAGATAGTAAATTTTATGCTGTATGTATTTTGTCATAATTTTACAAAATTAAAGGCAGTCTCATTAGTTCTCTGTTATAACTTGGATGCCAGTTCATGCAGAAAGGCAATCTCTTCAGGTCTCGCAGGATGGAGTAGTGACCTGGAAGAGAATCCTGCTCACTGGAGCAGGGCGCTGCTCTCTTTTGAAGATGCAGTGGAGGTTGTCTCTTTCTCCACACAAAGGGCAGGAAAGACGACAATGGCAGGGTGTGGGGGGAGAGGCAGTGAAGTGCATTCAGCAAACTGTGGAGTTCCATCCAGATCAAGAAATTCTCCTTACATGAAGTCTGTGGTACAGTTCTGGCTTTCATGCCCACTGTCTTCTGTGATGCTCTTGGTAACCAGCAGAGAGGGCAGGGCAGGTTGTGTCATATCTGCTTTTCGTGAGTTTAGACAGGGGTTCTCCACCTCAGCACTATTATCTTTTGGGCCAGAGGATTCTGTTGTGTGTGGCTGTCCTGTGCATTGTTGGATGTATAGTGGCATCCCTGGCTTCTACCCACTAGATGCCAGTAGCCCTCCCTACCCACCCAGTTGTGACAACCAAAAATGTCTCCAGACATCACCAATGACCCCTGGGGGGCAGAATCACCCGTTTCAGAACCATTAGGTTAAAAGTTTTGAGACTCACACAGAGTCTGCACAAACCCAAGTCTTCTAATTCCAGATCTCCCATTCCACCATGACACCAAGTTATTCTCCACCTAAGGCCCCCTTGACAGCCACTCCTCACCCTTCTCCTCCCTAGAGCAGGACATCAAGGGATGCCTCGCTGGGCTCGCTGGGCTTCCTGGCCCTCTGGCTCAAGTGGGTCAGCAAAATGGGAGCCACTGGTGAGAGAGAGGAGGGGAGAAGCAAGAGGGTGGGGTGTGTCTTCACCTGTCCTGGCCCCCCTCCCTGCACACCGATGGGGACTATGACAATGAGTTGGCTACACCAGGCTCTGGCATGACCTCTGCCTCCCCCTGCCCAGTGAGGCCTGGGAACAAGGACAGCTCCCACAGCCACAGCCCCTGCCTGCTTCCCACTGCCTCGTCCCTGGTGTGACCCTTGCATGCCTCTGTGCATGGACCTTTCATTCATTTATTTCCAATTAAACACTTCTGACTGGCTCATCTGTTCCAGCCTGTTAAAACCAATCACCCCAAACTTAGGACAAGAACTAAAAGTCAGCACTTGAACACGCTGCAGCTGATTATCCACACCCTCCCTTCCAGCAAGCTCTCTGCTGCTCTATTGAATACGTCTCCCCTCTCTGAAAGCCCCTAATCCTGCTCGCTAATGCTCTTACGGTGTGCTTCTCCCACCACCTTGGGTTAAGTTATTTCTGTCCCATCTTATCTCCTCCACTGGACTTAGGGATTTGGGAGGAAAAAAGAAAGGGATTGTATTTCACTCCATTTATATGAAAATGAATTATTTTGTGTTGTTTTCCATTTTTCTTCAATACTTGGATACAAAATTTTATTAAGATATTTTTAGAATTATTTTGAACTTTCACAGTTTTTAGAATAATCTATGAAATTTTCAGTTTTGGAAACTTTCACAGATTTCTTTCTACCTTTTGGATCTCATTGGGAAAGTACTCCAGGCACTCGTGGCATTACTCTCAGCTGTTGGGGACTAACTGGCTCACGGCATTTTTCAGAGCTCTACAGGGGCCAAACAAGATGCCCGGCTTAGTCTAATAAGCTCTCTGGGTGCCCTTGGGCCTGAAAATACTAACTTTTGGGTATTTTCTTGGACTCCTCAGAACCGAATGGCACCTCACTTCAAATCATGGTCCACTTGTTAAACTTACTGAGTGCTTGATACGTGCCTAGAGTGTGATCCGCACTCTTAATATATGGATAATTAATTCAAATGTAATCTGACTTAACATACTCTCTACTCCAACTCTGCAGGCAAATTTGTAGTGGAAGGAGTCTGGTGCATGAATAAATAGATACAAATTCAGTACAAAATGCGTGTTTCATGACATTTTCATGGAAAGGAAGTGAGGAAAGTTGGGAGGAGTAGATGTGATGAACATCTAGTTTTCGGGGAGGCCTCAGGGATGCCTGAAAGGAAGTCACTACCCAATCCAGGTAGCCCTGGGCCAGGAGAGGTGAGGAGGAGGGGCTGAGCACCTGGGGGAGCTAGTGACACAGACAGAGGAGGGCCCATAAGCACACCACAAAGCTGGAGAAAGACAGCAGTTAAAGAAAGGCGGCATAAAGTCAGAAACAAGTCTGAGATGCAACAGTGTCTCGCTCTGTTACCCAGGCTGGAGTTCAGCGGCATGATCACGGCTCACTGCAGCCTCCATCTGCAGTGATGGCTCAAGCAATCCTCCTGCCTCAGCTTCCTGAGTGGCTGGGACCACAGACGCGTGCCACCACGCCCAGGCTGCTCTTGAACTTCTGGGCTCAAGCAATCCTCCCGCCTTGGCCTCCCAAAGTGCTGGGATTATAGGCGTGAGCCACCACACCCAGCTAGAATTAGTTTCTTCAAATGCTAGGCACTGAGTAACACAGAATGCCTAAGACATGATCACTGCCCCTAGGAAGCTCAGCTGAATATCCAAGTATGCAAGACTGCCTGGATGCCCAGAAGGCCTAGGAATGACATGAAGAAACCTAAGCCCACAAGCCGGGGTCTGTGAGAGCCAAGAGAGAAGGCTTTCTGGGCAGGGTGACCAAAGCTGCAGCCTGGCAGGCAGGGCAGCTCTACACCAGCCTCAGAGGAGCAGGCAGGGCCTACTGTGCTGCAGGCATCTTCACAGAGAAGACGCAGGAAGGGCTTCTGAGGGCAGACGCAGGGAAGGGTGCGGGGCTGATTCTCAGTCAAGGGCCATCTTCTCTCTGCCCTGCTCATATGTGCCACTGATGGTATCCAGAGTGAAGCAGTGAACAGTGTAGGGCTGCGGCTGGTGGCTGCAGTGAGGTCAAAGACCTCAGTCCTCTGGGAACCTCTCTGATCCTCCAGAGACCTCAGGGGCACAAATAAAGCAATCCAACATACAGAGAAGACAGACATGGAAAAAGTATGTTTGGGTTTTTAGAGACTGTATTAGTCCATTCTTGCATCACTATATACAAATACCTGAGATTGGGTAATTTATAAAGAAAAGAGGTTTAATTGGCTCATGGTTCTGCAGGCTGTACAGGAAGCCTGGTGTTAGCATCTGCTCAGCTTCTGGTGAAGCCTCAGGGAGTTTTCGTTCATGGTGGAAGGCGAAGGGGGAGCAGGCACTTCACATGGTGAAAGCAGGCTCAAGGTGGGGGGAGGTGCCACATACTTTTAAATAACTAAATTTCATGTGAACTCCAAGCGAGAGCTCACTTATCACCAAGGGGATGGCCCAAGCCATTCATGAGGCATCTTCCTCCGTGATTCAAACACTTCCCAGCAGGCCCACCTCCCATCGGTGATTACATTTCAACATGGATTTGGGTGGGGATAAATATCCTAACTATATCAGGGACCATCTCAAAAAAGTGTCCCAGAGGAGCAGGGGTTGGAAGAAAAGGAGTTTTGTGTGATGCGAGCAGTGCCTTCATGAACATGGAATGTGGGGCCATCCTGGAAGAGGTAACCCTCAGCCACACACACACACACACACCCACATAATGGCTTTATATCCTATCTCAATAGCTTGTCCTGAATCCCTTCTTTTGGGAGCAGGAGCTATATCTATCTTTAGCGTTCCTGTAAATACCACAGCACCTAAGACACTGCATGAAACCCAGTGTGTTCTACGGGTAGTCGGTAACTAACTGTCCTTAAAGATGGTCCTCCCTAATGTGGGCAAATGAAGCCAGTCCAATGGCCAGTGACGTACACATGCAGTTGTACAGGTAATGGTGTTGAGTCAGATTTCTCTGGTTGCTATGGTTTCAAGGTCACTGGATGTTAATCAGGCAGCTTTGCTTGTACCCTGTCCCTATGCTTTCCCTAAAACTCTAAACTGACCTGAGAAACCTCTAACCTGACATGCAACTAGTCCTCTATGCTATATTTCCAGTTGCCATCTTGGACACCTCTACCTACATTTTGCGGACACAGCAACGTGTCCCAAACTGGAATCTTGTTCCCTTGCAAACCTGCCCTCCACTTGCATCCCTTCCTCATCATTCACTGTGTTGCCCAAACTACAAGCATGAGCATTCGCTTTTTATCCTCGATTCTGGCTCTCTGTCGCGTCGGCGATCCTTCCCCCCGTTGCTGTGGAGATGCCTCCCTGGCACGCACCTGAACCATAGCTGGATGCTGATTGCTCTTTCTGCCTCCTGCTTTTACTTCCACCCTCACCTCCTCCACACTCCTGCCACCGATGTCTTCTAAAATGCAAATGTGAGTACATCACTCCCCACTTCAGTATCTGTCAGTGACCCTGAAATGCATTCAAAAAGAAGTACAATATCTTGGCAAGGTCTACCAGTCTTAATTCAGCGTCGCTGTTCCTTCAGTCTCATCTCCGGCCATAACAAAACGTCCTGTGCAGTGCTCTGTCATGCTTCCAAGCCTGACCCCCCTCACCCCAGTCCTGTAGACTTGTCACATGTCATGTCCTTCTGATTGCTGGTTTTTTCTATTTCCATGCAAGCATGTGAACTGCTTGAGGACAAGGGTAGTGCCTTGTTCACCATGAAATTTCTGGCATCATGCTTTGCACATAGTAGTTATCCAACAAATGTGGGTCGAATGAATGAATTGTATGCAACACCGGATCAGGAGATATGATACAAGGATTTGGGTGGCAAAGGATTGTCTCAGAGATGCCTCTAAGCCTCCCTAAGAGTTCATGGCCATAAACCAATAGTTTCAGAGCTACTCCTTTTTGATATGGATATATCCTGGACTTATTAAATTGACAGCACATATTTTATTTTTAAAATGTTATTAAGTTAACTAGGGGCATCGCTCTATCCTCAAAATTGTTTTGGAGACACCATTAACCCACTTAAATTATTAATAAAAAAGCCACTTATTCCGCACAAATAGTTGAGACTGTCCTGCTTACCTACAGATATTCGTCTAAGAGCCGGCAGACATTCAGATACCCGCAGACAGAACTTACTTTCTGGACCTCCCACAACATTCCTCCCTTTAGATCTTTTTTTTCTTACCCCGTCTTTCAGCTTTCTCATTGCAGAACTGCTGAGAATAATGGAAAATGCTTTGCCTGGAAACTTCCAAGAACAAAACTCCGGGGGCTAAGAGAACGCGATGATTTTTAAGCTGCCAGTTAAGATGCAGCTCCTTCATCATCACAGGTGAAGCACCAATGCCTCTCGCACGTGAAATCCGTACGCTCCTAGAGTCTTACTACCTAATGCATTTCTGCAATCTGGGACGCCTGTCCTTAGCGTCTTCAATAGTTTTGGGCACGAGGTGGACCGCGGAAGTATTGTATTGAAAAGTTAACGTTTTTCCCTTGGACACCCTCTCCTCACAGCTATTAACAAGCTGAGAGAAATCAGGTGACTCCCAGTCATGCAGAGGTTTCCTCACCATTTATGATCAAGCCAAATTAAAGAATAAAAATAAAATCCTATTGGCGCAGCGGCCACCAAGTCTTTGAGGCCTCGCCTCGGTGGGCGGGGCCGACGCCGGAGGAGAGGGGCTGCGCATGTGGGCGTGACCTCGCGGAAGGAGCTGCGGAGGGCGGGGCCGACTGGAGAGGGGCGGGGCTGTCGGGTGGGTGGGACCTCGCGGCAAAAGCTGCGGAGGGCGGGACCAACCAGGAAAGGACGGGACTGTCGGGTAGGCGGGACCTTGCGGGAGAAACTGCGGAGGGCGGGACCAACCAGGGAGGGGCGGGCTGTCGGATGGGCGGGACCTCGCGGGAGGAGCTGCGGAAAGCTGAGCTGGTGAGGGGAGGGGCTGGTCGAGGGGAGGGGCTGGTCGAGGGGAGGGGCTGGCCGAGGGAAGGGGCCGGCCGAGGGGAGGGGCCGGTCGAGGGGAGGGGCCGGTCAAGGGGAGGGCCCGGCCAAGGGGAGGGGCCGGTCGAGGGGAGGGGCCGGTCGAGGAGAGGGGTTGGTCGAGGGGAAGGGCTGGCCGAGGGGAGGGGCTGGCCGAGGGAAGAGGAGGGGAGGGGACGGGCTGGTCGAGGGGAGGGGAGGGGAGGGCAGGGGACGGGCTGGTCGAGAGAAGGGGAGGGCAGGGGACGGGGTGGTCGAGGGGAGGGGACGGAGGGGAGGGGAGTGGAGGGAGAGGAGGGAAGGGGAGGGGAGGGAAGGGAGGGGAGGCGGGGCCCAGCGGTGTCCCGCGAAACTGCCGCTCGCTCGGTTCCCGGGCCTCCCCGTGCGCCTCAGTGCAAAGCGTGCCAGGCACTCTTGACTGCAACGAGAGCCGCGGCGGTGAGGGGGCAAGGCCAAGAGGCCACGGTTCGCGTTTCGCCGGCTGCAGAAGTTGTTGCCATACATTTCAAATGTGCATTTCCTACGTCTCACGCTCTGTCTTGCGCCTCCACAGCGGGCCACGGCCCTGTCACCGCAGTCGCAGCCACATGCTCCCTCCCCTGAGTCGGCTCAGCTCTGCTCAGCGGTCAGCCCCGCGCCAGGAGGCCGCGGCCTGCCTGAGGCCGGCTCGCAGCGACTCGGGACGGAGGGCGGGGGCGTGAACGGGTCGCGCGGAGAGGGTGGGGGGAGCGGGGAGCGTTAGGGTACGTGGGGGCGCGTCGACCAATGGCAGGGCGCTGTTGAGTGCAGCGGGGCGGGGCCGGGCGCGGGGGTGGGGCGAGCGGCGGGCGGGGCGGGGCGGCCGGCCGGGGGGTGGGAGGAGAGGGGCGGGGCGGGCCGGCCGGGGGAGGGGCGGAGAGACGCCGCCGCTGCCGCCGCCGCCGCCGCCGCCGCCGCCGTGGCTGCCGCAGCCTCTGGGAGTCTGGAAAAGGGGAAGCGAGAGCAAGCGAAAGACTCAGTCCCCGGGCGGCGGCGGCGGCGGCGGCCGCGGGGGCGCGACGGCCGGGGCGGGGGCGCTGCTGCTGCGGGGGCAGGCGGCGGCAGGGGCGGCGGCGGCGGCGGCGGCCCGCTCCAGCCATGCCGAATAAAAACAAGAAGGAGAAAGTGAGTCCGGGCCCGGCCGCGGGACGGAGGGAGCAGGGAGGGACTGCCGGGGGAGGGCGCGACGGCACCGGGGTCCTGCGCCCGGGCCCCGGCTCAGTTCCCCGCCTGACGCCGCGGGCTTCGCGTCCCCGAGGGCGGCCGAGCCAGGCATCCCCGGGCTTCTCTCGGCCTCATGCCCGGTGGGGGCGGGGAGCCCGGGGATCGCGCCGGAGCCGCGGGGCGCAGGCCCGGGCCGCTGGGACCTTCGTGATGGGCCGGGGCTGGGCGTGGAGGGAGGGCGCGGCCCGGGGAGGGGGTCGGAGGGGCGCCCGTTTCCGACAGCGCGCCGTGGGCTTGGGCGGGCAGGTGCGGCCGCCGAGGGGGTTCGCAGCCTCGCAGGCTCCCGGAAAGGAGCTTCAGGGATGGGGGCTGTAGACGCCTGGGGAGGGACCCCTGTACGGGGGAAAGGGAGCGAGAAGGGACCCCGCTGAGAGCTGGTAAGGAATTCTCTGCCGCCCCGGAGGGACGCTCTGGGGCTCTCGAACACTATTATTATCCTGGGTGGCGGCGGCGGTGAGGGCTGCGAGCAAGGGTGCTGCGTTTGCATTCGGGGGGGCGGGTATGTTTCTGCTTCAGGTGGAGCTCTGTAGCGTTTCATTATCACCCCAGAAATCCTCACTCATAGGGTTTAGGGTGGGAGGGTAGAAAGGGATGTGATGTGGATCTCAAAATGCCAGAAGCACTGTATAAAATTGGATTTATCTGTTTTCTGCTTGAAGTTTTCAACCTCAAATGCAGATAAAACGAAAAGAATCTGAATGGGGGTTGGGGGGCATTGCACTGTTGGAATCCTAAACGGTATGATATAGAATTTCCTAATGGTATGAATTAAAAATATCAGAAGCTGTAGTTGTATAAATCACTTTTAAAACTGCATTTGGCTTATCTGATGTTTACCTGTCTAAAAAGTGAGAAGACTAATTGACTTTGCTTGATGTTTACCAGGAATCACCAAAAGCAGGGAAGAGTGGAAAAAGTTCAAAAGAAGGACAAGACACAGTAGAATCAGAGGTAACTGTCATCAAATATTGACTTTGTATTTTATACACAGCTTTTAACTTCAGGTAGAAAAACCGAGAGTGATAAAGCCTAGAATCTTCTAAAATGTTTCCCTATGTGAGGTTTTTTTTTTGTGGTGTCTTTTATAACCCTCAATTTTAGTTGTTTAGGTATTTACTGTTTTGCTTTGGAAAACTATTAATGATTTTATGAAAATTGTGCTTGCCTATGGGGTTTGTTTGTGGGTCTTTTGGGGTTTTTTTTGTTTTTTATTTTTTTGAGACGGGGTCTCACTTTGTCACGCAGGCTGGAGTGCAGTGGCGCAATCTCTGCTCACTGCTACCCCTTGCCGCCCAGGCTCAAGTGATCCTCTTACCTCAGCCTCCCAAGTAGCTGGGACCACAGGAACATGCCACCACACCCAACAAATTTTTTTTTTTTTTTAATAGAGTCTCACTCTGTCACCCAGGCTGGAGTGCAGTGGCGCGATCTTGGCTCACTGCAACCTCTGCCTCCCGAGTTCAAGCAATTCTCCTGCCTCAGCCTCCTGAGTAGCTGGGATTACAGGCACCCGCTACCACGCCCGGCTAATTTTTGTATTTTTATTAGAGACGGGGTTTCACCAGGTTGGTCAGGCCGGTCTTGAACTCCTGTCCTCGTGACCCGCCCACCTTGGCCTCCTAAGGTGCTGGGATTACAGGCCTGAGCCACCGTGCCCATCCTGGATCTGGTATTTTTAAGTTCATTTCCCACACCTCAAACCCAGCAACCCTCCTGTATAGATTGGTCTTATGCAGTCTATGGTGTTGCTATGTTGCTTTTAGCTTTAGGGTCATCTCCCCACCGCCACTTCCATTGCAAGCTGCCAGGCAACTCAGTGGTTAGTTCTTTTTCTTCCATCACCTTGTTTTCCTTCAAACCACCTCTGCTACTGACGTCCTGGGCTAGCTCCCTATTTCTGTTGACGGTCCCTTGGCCTCTTTCTCCAATAATGTTGGTATTTGAAAAAATTTACCTAGTTTTGGTATTTTATTATTGTTCACATTGTGTGTGTGTGTGTGTGTGTGTGTGGGCGCGCGCACTTGCGCGTCGGCCACTTGTAAATTTCTTTGCTTCTTGGCTTTGGCCTCATTGAGGAACAGCTGGAATGCCAAGTGAGCATTGCATCTACTTGACCAAGGTTGATGCTGTTCCTTCACACCGTGAAGTGCCTTCAGAGGATTTGCAGAGTCACCACTTTCCTTTGCCTTTTCTTCCTTGTGACTAATTGTTGAACTAGAGCACCTAGGGCCAAGGGTCCAGGAGCTGCGTGGACCCAGGCAGAGCCAGTAGGTCCTTTTGAATCCATGGGTAGCACATAATTGGGTTAATAGAGTGTCAGTTATCCAGAACTGGATCATTGAAGCCCCAGTCTTATCACAAATGACGTTTATTTGCCAGTGTCAGACTTCTTCCTGTAAGCCAAATTAGAATGAGTTCAGTTCTGTCTGGGAAACACAGTTAACTGGCGATGATCTGCAGTGGACTTTTTTTTAGCCCTGCATTCTCTCTTTTCTATCATTTGGTGTATTCTGAACCTCCCTCCTCTTCAGCAGGTGGTTTATTCCAGCAAATCTGTTGCCCTCCCCAAAGCAAAAAGCAGAAATCCAAAAGATTCCTTAAATGTCAATAGTTAGGATCATTTGTGCCAGTCTGTCCCTCCCTGTCTTTATAGCAGACAACTGAGGTTTACTGTGCCATGCTGGGATTTGACTTGTTTCTTTCTTCCCTGTCACCCTTTTGACTAAATTCATTTCGATGAAGATGAAATGTAGGTGCTTTATGAAGGTATATGCTATATGCCTTTTTTTTTTTTTTTTTTGGTCTTTTGATCTTTCATTAAAACTGCTAAGATTTCTTCTCCCCAGAGCTTTCTTGCTAATGTGCCTATATCCTCTTACTTTAGCTATATTCCTTATACAAAGGAGCATCAGTGTGTATATATCATTTATTTCTATTTTTAGTGGGAAGATCCTGGCTGTAAGGATGAATAATGTTAAGTTTAAACCTGAAAAATCTCAGTAGTTCAAAGATACCAAAATCACTACTATGTGAAATGTGTGTTTTGAAAGCAGTTTGCCAGCCGTGTGAGACCTGCGGTGTGGCCTGCAGTGCCTGAGTATGATGCCCCACTTGTCTTTTTGTATTTTTTCTAGTGCTACTGTCTAAGAGCTGGAGCTACAGAGCTTGAAATTACCACTGAAAACACTGAAATGTTGGGCCCTTCACTGCTTCCTCATAAGGATACCAGAGGCAACCTGGCATATTAAGCTTGACACTTGGCAGATCACTGTGTAAATTGTTTTTCAGGAATACAAGTTGGGACACTTCTGTTCATTTGACCTTTGAGTTGACCCTTAAATTTTATTATTGTTTTTTTTCCCCTCAGTCTTCAGCTCACTGCTTCACTTCTAGTTCCACCCACTTACCAAATATGATTGACTCATGCAGGTGAATTAAACCATTATTGCACACTTTTTCCCTCTCCTCTCTCTCAGTATTACTCTTAACTTGAATATTTTAACCTGAACAATTTAAATAGGCTTGACATTCCCATGCTGCTTTCAAGCCTTTTTTTTTTTTTTTTTGAGACAGAGTTTCACTCTTGTTCCCTGGCTGGAGTGCAATGGCACAGTCTCGGCTCACTGCAACCTCCACCTCCCGGGTTCAAGTGATCCTCTTGCCTCAGCCTCCCAAGTAGCTGGGATTACAGGCTCCTGCCACCATGCCCAGCTAATTTTTTTTTTTTTTTTTTTTTTTTGTATTTTTAGTAGAGACGGAGTTTTACCTTGTTGGCCAGGCTAGTCTCGAACTCGTGACCTCAGGTGATCCGTCTGCCTCAGCATCCCAAAGTGCTGGGATTACAGGCGTTAGCCACCATGCAGCCCCTTTCAAGCCTTTTAACATCATGTCACCTTCACAATGAGCAGTTGCTCCCATTACCCAGTGAACTCACCTTCTGATGGGACAGTTACCCTAGTTGGGGCTTCTCAGCCTTGAGAGATGTGCAGAGCAGGGACCTGTCCAGGGCAGAGCAGCCAGACAGCGTGGAAATAATCCAAACAGAGAAAGCATTCAAGAACTTGGCCTCTGGTTGACTTAACACACTACTTCAAGTATATGGCAGGTCTGTATAATAAACTCCTGCCTGTCTAGTCTTCAGCCTCATAGAAAGCAAGAAAGCAGGTGGCGTATGTTGCAGAACAATTCTTGGGTAGAACAAGGGGACATTTGATGGTTTGGGTTTTTCAGTAAGAAAGATGAAGTCCTGGAGTATAGGGTAGAGTGGTACAGTGGAAAATATTTCAGCTTGGGGGTTAGAAAATAAACATGCCGATTCTTGCTTTGCCATAAATGATGTCACCTAACTTGTGTGACCCTGTTTTCTCATCCCTAAAATGATTTGATAAGTTTAAGATTAGGCTATTTTTAAATGTATGGAAGAAATTGGGTGTTACCCTTCTTGAAAGACATTTTCCCTGCAAGTATGGCAGGCTGTATCTTTCAGTGTAACAAAGTTCTATTAAAGGTCATAACTGCTGCCCTGTAACTTTTGCCTTATTCTAGAAACTTCTACTCCTTGAATGACATGTGTTGGTACATGTTTCTTCTCTTTCAGATAGAATGGTTAATTTTGACTTGTTGCTTCTGCACACGTGTCCTGGAAATAAAAGTTTCTTCCCACTACTTATTGCTGATTTATTTCATAGGAAGTCTTAAGGAAAGAGGCAAAAAACGGGCTCATGGGTCACTTGAAGTTGGAAAATTCTGTGGAGATTGACAAAGGAGACTCACTTTTGAGCATCTGTTCTCAGTGTAACCTTCAAATCTGTGGAAACATAACTAGGCACATTTTATGATTATTTAGAATGTTAATAAATTGCTCTGAGTTTCCTCAAGTCCATTTTGTAAGATCAGACCATAGGTGGGTGTTGTTTCTTTTAAGTGTGTGTACTGTGTCCAATGTTACATTTTTAGAAGTGTTCATGCTTTTTGTAAAGTGATTCGTTTTAAGCACATTAAAGGTCGTTTGAGTATTGTCATGTATTTTACACCTGCTTCAGCTTAGTTTTGTTTGAAAGTCTCTACAGCAACTCTTACATAATATCTGTTGCTGAAGAGAAAGAACAATCCTCTCTCCAACTCGTTAGCTAGCTTTGCCACCTTCTACCTTTAGTAAATTTTTTCCTGTTATAATCTGTCCCTTTACATTCCAGTGCCACCACTCCCTGATGGTCTAGACCTAGGGAGACTGACAGTCGCCTCAGGTCGCATAGGTGCTAGGCGGAAGGGTAATTTTTTTAGAAATTAAAATTGAAATTTTAAAAATATTTAATAATACACCCATTAAATGTTAACAACATTGTTATGAAAAATATCTTTGCAAGAAATACTCCTTTTCACAGTCTCTGTAGCAAGAGTTTTTACCTGAGTAAGGAGGAGGACAAGGACAGTCATTTTGTTCGGCACAACTCCTCCAAGGAGAGCCCCTGACACCCCTGTAGGCTCACTTCTGAGCTTGGGGCTTTCGCTAGAACCTCCCTATGCCTTAGCTTCCATCAGTCTCTTCCCACCTTTTTTTCCATACAACCCTAAGCTGAACTTGAGTGAAAGAGAAGACCAAGAGAAGTAATACTTTAAAAATCTTTTTGAAATTCATATGTAATGATTATGGAGTAAATGGAATCATTTGCTTTTAATTGCCACGTCTTGGCTCCCTCTTCCCAGCGCCTCCCCATGGTCTTTCCTTAGAGCCCAGGGGCATCAGAAAGAGGTTCTGCGGGGAGGATCCATCCCTGGCAGCCGCAGCCTCAGCTCCCGAGCTTTGGGGTTGTTAGGAGGCAGATGTCCTGAGCTTGCTGCCCTTGAGGCTTGAGGGAGTGGTGGGTTCTTCCTTAGGCAGCTCCCTTCTCTAGCCCCCATTCCTGTCCTACATCACAAGCTGCAAGGTCGGTAGACCCCAGGTACCTCCTTTGTGACCTCCACTGCTCTAGACCAAGGGTTCCCATCTGAACACTTGACTGTGGGGCAAGATATTTTGTTGTGGGGCTGCCCAGTGGTCCTCTACTTTGTAGGACATTCACCAGCATCCCTGGCCTTACCCCTGGATGCCAGTGGCCCACTGCCCCCACCAACTGTGACAACCAAAATGCATCCAGACATTGTCTGGACATTGTCTAATGTCTCCTGGAGGATCAAATCGCCCCCTGTTGAGCCACTGCACTATAAAGACACCTTTCCAAAATATGTACATTTGCTTACAAACCATGCCTGGCACATATTCATCTGAGCATTATATTTCCTTTAGAACAGCAGTGAGTGCTCACACAGAAGGGAGATCACTCCTTTATACTCTTCACAATTATCAAGCACCCCAAAGAGCTTTTATTTAGTGAGTTATATCTATCTACCGATATTTTTCCTTAGAAATTAAAGCTGAACGTTTTTAAATAGTTCATCTAATAATAACAGTAACACCCATTACATGTTGACATAAAAAACATTTATGTGGAAAGAATTTTTTTTTTTAATTTGCTGAGAAAAGTGGCATGGCTCTGTTTTTGCTAATCTGTTTAACGTCCGGCTCCATCGAAGGTAGCTGTCTGCCCCTGCACGCAAGCTGTTCTGATTTCGTATGTGTAGCCTGTGAAAAACTCCCCATAATGACGCTTTAAAGGGCAAATCACATCTTCATGTTATCATAAAAACCGTTTTGACCTTGTGGACCCCTGAAAGGGTCAAGGGACACACCCCAGACCACACTTTGAGAACCCCTCTTTTAGAATGCTCTACCCCCATTCTCTGCTGGCCATCTGAATCCTTTCATCTTTTTTTTTTTTTTTTTGAGACGGAGTCTTGCTCTGTCACCCAGGCTGGAGTGCAGTGGCGCAATCTCCGCTCACTGCCAGCTCCGCCTCCCGGATTCACACCATTCTCCTGCCTCAGCCTCCCGAGTAGCTGGGACTACAGGCGCCCGCCACCACGCCCGGCTCATTTTTTGTATTTTTAGTAGAGACAGGGTTTCACTGTGTTAGCCAGGATGGTCTCGGTCTCCTGACCTCATGATCCACCTGCCTCGGCCTCCCAAAGTGCTGGGATTACAGGCGTGAGCCACTGTGCCCAGCCCCTTTCATCTTTTTAGCTCCAACTCAAGCTCATCTATCCAGAAACTTCAGCGAAGCTGTTTCTCACCATCTTGGACTGTGTGTCTTCCATATTTTAAATGCTTATAGCAATTACTTACTAGACCAGCGGCTGGCTGTATGCAGTTCTGTGTCATGTACACTGTGTTAGATGACCTTCGTTCCCCTGTGACTTGCCTTCCTAGCTAGATGCAGTCCTTGAAGGCATCAGTTGAGCTCGAGTCTTCTTTGATCTTGCCATATATATTAGGGCCTAGAGTCAAGAAGTATTGAGTTGGTGGGTTTTAAAAGTACTGAAAAGGAGACCTTGAAGTCAGTTAGGTTGCTGATTTTTCTGATACTGTAAATTAGCAACAACAATAAAAAACTTGTTTATTAAGAGGCTTATTTATCACTTTTTTGATCCAATAAGGGAACTCTAATGTAGAATTTTTATTCAGTGTAATTCATTTTAAATAAATAACAGTATACTAAAGCAGAAGATTATGGTACTTAGGTTTTTTTCTAATGTCTTGGGAAAATTTTAAAAAGTAGAGTATTTTGGTTTTTTTCTTAGTTTTCTTTTACATATTCAGTGGAAAAAAGTGTAGTCTCATAAGATCTTGGTTAAAAGGTCAGTGGTAAAAAGTATAGCCTCATAAGATCTTATTTTAATTAAAGCACTTCAAAATAAGATTTCCATTTAAATACAGTTATGCATCACTTAATGAGGGGGTACGTTCTGAGAGCTGTGTTGTTAGGCAATGTTGTTGTTTTGTAAACATGATGGCATGTGCTTAACACAAACCTAGGTGGTAGTCTGCTACACACCTAGGGCATATGGAATAGCCTGTCACTCCAGGCTACACACCTGTACAGCATGTCATTTAACTGAACCCTGTAGGCACCTGTAACACAATGGCAAGAATTTGTATATCTAAACATAGAAAAGATACCATAAAAATATGGTGTTACAATCTAAGGCACCACCATCATTTGTGCAGTCTGTTGTTATCTGAAATGTCATTATGTGGCAGTGACTGTAAAGGTTTCTCTGTGATCTTTTATGCTTTGTGTTTCTTAATTTATTTTGGGAATGTTTCTCAGTAGAGCATAGCTACATATATATTTAATATGTTTTATAAGATAGGGTTTGTTTTGAGCATGTCTTGTTCTGTGCGAGCACTGTGTTGAGGATTGAGGAGATAAAGACCTGTTAGGAACTGAAGTAGTGGCTGTTTCCATCATTTTTGAAGTGTAGCACCTGTTGCTTCTGGACATCCAGTGTACTTGGGAGTAACTTGGCCCCCACTCAGTTAGATCTTATTGTCCTTGAGTGGATGGGACAAGATGGAACCCATTTCATGTAAAGAGCCACCTGGAGCTTTGGGTGAGAAAATCAGATGCTTTAAAGCGTCTAGGGAGACACGGGCTTACCATAAAATTATGGAGTTCCAGAAAGCACATTGGACCCTAGGGTGTGTATCATGGTTAAAGCCAATAGATAAGATCAGCATTCCTCTCCCTCTTCAGTAAAAGCTTCGCTACGGTATATGCAATTCTAGAAAGAGCTCATCAAGCAAATGATATGAAATCTAAAATTTTCCAGTTCAAGAAAGAAGCTCAAAGTTCCTACATTAAAGCAACAGCAGGGTGAATGGCAACTTATAGCCCTGCCATGTGATGGTGGAAAGGTTTCCACCTGCATCCTTAGCGGAGCTGAGTGAGTCAGTCTGCCACCAACATGAAATGCGGTGATGTTTTCCTAAATCACAGGGAAGATTCATCTGGAATATTTCAATTCGAAGATGGGTCTCCAGTGTTTCCTTAAACACTGGGTACCTGCCAAAGGGCAGGGCACAGCGGTGTCTGGTTTAGCACAGTGTCCTCTCTAATCACCTCACACGTTCCTATCAGTATGTTGTTTTAAGCAGAGACTCTCCAGTGCTCCTGCAGTGAAGGAAGTGCTGCTTCCCAAATCCAAACAGCGTTGTCATCTTCATGTTCTCCACCTGGGGGAGTGAGAGAACAAGCCTAGAAATTAAGCTCTCCAGAAGGGGAAAAAAATGCTTTATTAAGGGCATTTGGCTTTTTCTTCATCTCGTGTGTGTGTGTGTGTGTGTGTGTGTGTGTGTGTGTGTGTGTATTTTTTTGAGACAGAGTCTCACCCTGTCGCCCAGGCTGGAGTGCAGTGGTGCGATCTTGGCTCACCACAACCTCCGCCTCCTGGGTTCAAGCTATTCTCCTGCCTCAGCCTCCCAAGTAGCTGGGATTACAGGTGTGTGCCACCACACTATCTTGTATATATTTCCTTAATATAAGATTGAGCAGCTGGGCACGGTGGCTCATGCCTGTAATCCCAGCACTTTGGGAGGCCCAGGCGGGTGGATCATGAGGTCAGGAGTCAAGACCAGCCTGGCCAAGATGGTGAAACCCTATCTCTACTAAAACTACAAAAATTAGCTGGGCTTGGTGGCAGGCATCTGTAATCCCAGCTACTCGGGAGGCTGAGGCATAAGAATTGCTTGAAAACCTGGGCGGCAGAGGTTGCAGTGAGCTGAGATCACACCACTGCACTCCAGCCTGGGTGACAGAGTGAGACTCCATCTCAACAACAACACAAAAATGGCCCCCAAGAGATTAATTTCAGATACCCTGCAGCCTGCAGGTGTTAGCTCTGACCAAGGGCTGGCATGGCCCGGTGGTAATATCAAATTACTAAGGGGCTCTGAAGGGGTTAGACCTGCCCTGGCCAAGATGTTTGTTGTTTGCTGCATATGGCTATTTTAAATTTAAATTTAAATTAATGAAAATTAAAATTATGTAAATAATTCAGTCCCTCAGTTGCACGGGCCACATTTCAAGTGCTCAGTAGCCACATGTGGCCAGCAGCTACTCTGTTGACCAGCAGATGTGGAACATTTGCAGCTTCACAGAAAGTTCTGCTGGACAGAGCTACTTCAGACCCTACCAGTATTTTCCAAAATAATTCTTATGGGAGTGTATTTAATTTAATTGAACTTATTTTGTTACCTATCAATCTTCTTAATATGAAATATCAAATTTAAGGTTAAATTTAAAGGAAGAGAAGACTTATATTGGCAAAAGAGAAGGAAGTAGATAAAATTAAGGAAAGAGGAGGGCAAGAAGAAGAGGGAATGCATGGTGAGACGAGAGGGAGGCCCTGTCTACTGCTTGGTCTGTGGTTGGCCTACACCTGATACCCACACGAGAAAGACTCCATTGCCCATAGGAGCGGGACTTGGACAGACCCAAGAGCAGTCACGACCTTTTGTCCTCCTAGTCTTTCTTTATAGACATTTTCTCTTATTTATTTATTTATTTTGGGTTCAAAACACAAAATTTATTTTGGGTTAAAAAATAAAGTAATGCGGCTGGGTGCAGTGGCTCACGCCTGTAATCCTGGCACTTTGGGAGGCCGAGTCGGGTGGATCACCTAAGATCAGGAGTTCGAGACCAGCCTGGCCAAAATGGTGAAACCGCATCTCTATTAAAAATTTTTTTTAAAAGCCGAGTGTGGTGGCATGCACCTGCAGTCCCAGCTATTCAGGAGGCTGAGGCAGGAGAATCCCTGAAACCCAGGAGGCAGAGGTTGCAGTGAGCCAAGATTGCGCCACTGCACTCCAGCCTGGGTGACAGAATGCAACTCCGCCTCAAAAAATAAATAAGTAAAAAATAAAGTAATACGGAAATCAAGGTTCTCCCTTCACCTTCCTCCCATTCTCAGACCTGCTTCACAGAGCACAGCCACTTTGTCCTGCTGATTATGAATGGGGCCACTGTCCAGAACACGGAAGCTGTGCAATGTGGCAGAGGCTGGGCTCTGGAGTCAGGTCCCCCTTCTGTCCCCTGGAGGGATCATACCCTCTCTCGGTATCATGTTCCTGTTTATCTTGGCCGATTTCTCTGACATTGCGGCTTCCCTCCAGGGGATTCCTTCATTCTCAGTCATCCAGCAGGTTCATTCTGAGACCTGGCATGTGCTGAGCACCATTGCGGGTGCAGAGTTCCTGCACTCGTGGAGTTTGCCTCCAGTGAGGGCACAGAAGTGGAGTGTGGAGCTGCAGGTGTTTTCTGCGGGGCACTAGTGACATTGGGCGTGAGAGCGTCTCACCTTTGCAGAGCAATGGCCCTGGGGATCTCAATACCATGATGACAACCAAAACCACTCACATAGCTCCACACACCACTGGTGGACAGGACCCTCTGGCAGCCCCTCTGCTGGAGATTGGGAGGCTGCTTCAGGTGGTCAAGGATGGTCTCACCAAGCAGATGACATGAAAAGTGAAATGTGAATGTCAAGAAGGAGGCCACAGTGCAAAGATCTAGGGCAAGATATTCATTCAGCCAGAGGCAGCAGCTAGTGCAAAGGCCCCATGGAGGAAGTGAGTTTGCCGTGTCCACTGCCAGGTGTTCAGTTGACTAAGGAAAAGTGAGGGTAGGCAGAGCAGGAGGGATGGAGGTAGGGAGCCGAGCACAGACAAGGTAGGGTAAGATCTTATAAACAGCCTGCCTAGACAGGGTTTTGGGATTTTGGCAGGGAGGGGGAGTTGTTTTGGGGTTTTGTTTTTAGAGACAGGGTCTCACTCTGTTGCCCAGGCTGGAGTGCAGTGGTGCAGTCCTAGCTCACTGCAGCCTTGAACTACTGGGCTCAAGCAATCCTCCCTCCTCAGCCTCCCAAGTGGCTGAGATACAGGTGCACACCACCATGCTCAGCTGATATTTGGATTTTTTTGTAGAGAAGGGGTCTCACTGTGTCAGCCAGGCTAGTCTGAAACTCCTGGCCTCAAGCGATCCTCCTACCTCGGCCTTCCGAAGTGCTGGGATTACAGACATGAACCACTGAGTCTGGTTGGGCTTTGAGTTTTTATTCTGAGGGTCATGGGAAGCCACTGGGGTGTTTTGAGTAGGGAAGTAAGAGGATCTTCCTAGCTGCTATGTGGGAACGAGGGGCAAGAGCTGAACAAGGAGACCAACTGGAAGACTTTGCTTCTCAGATGAAGGGTTTCTTTGTTCACACAGGCAAAGATGAGGCACTGGCACAGCTGGCTGTGGGTGGGCTTGTCATCTGACCACTTGCTTTAGAGGCCTTGGCTGGGAGCTGGCTCTTGTGACTTTTGGCCCCTAGAGACTAAACTGCAGAGAATTTGCTTTGAGGTGCCAGCTCCTACATTAGCAGCCTTAGTTTTTCCTAGACAGACTGGTTTCTTTGGAGAATCCCTTTTTCTTGTCATAACCACTCAGTTTACCAATGTTCTGCAGAGAAGGTGTGTGGGGATAAGGTGGCTATGGAGAGATCAGTATTCAGACCTAACATCAATCTCCTTTTCAGCTGCATATCTCACTCCTATTCTCTGCTATACCCAGTCTCTGAGTGCGTGGCCTCGGGGGGATTCTGTAGGGACAGAGCACCTGCTTTCTCCCTCCAGCCCCACGCTGCTTTGTGGTTGCCAGATGGAAGTTGCATCTGTTGAATATTGCTATGCTGAGATGCACCAGTGACTGCCTCCGCAAATCTTTTTATTACTGGAGGTCGTAACTTGCCTCTTCCTTCACTCTCACTTGTAAGGCAGGCTCAGGAGGTTTGCTGATTGTGAGTGCATCATCGACCTTGATCAGGGAAATCTGTCCTGTTTTCCTTTATTTCTTCCTCTCATCCAGAAATTGTTGTCCTGGCACGAGAATCAGTAAACCTTTTTCTGTAAAGGGCCAGATAGTAAATATTCAAGGCTTCAGGGGGCGCGTGGTCTCTACTGCAACTACTTAACTCTGCTGTTGCAGCAAGAGAGAAGCCACAGACAACAGGTGGATAAACAGACGTGAGTGTATGCCAGTAAAACTTGATTTACAAAAATAACCAGGAGGCCAGATGTGGTTCATGGGCTGTGGCTTCCCAGCCGCGGCCTACTGGAATCCAAATCGGGTTCAGCACTTGGAGAAGCTGCTAGTATTGGTCCCTGGGCCTGTATCTGAAACCAGTACTAGCCATGGTCTGTGGAAGAGGTATCTTTTTTGTTTGACTCTATTCACCATCTAAGAGATACTGAGAGATCAGTGATTCGGCCCTGCCCAACTGAACAATAAATATCTTATATCTAGTTGTGAATTTTGAGAATTGCAGTGTTTAAATGAAGGGAAAGAGCTGCTTGTTTCATTTGGTAAATCCCTTATATGATAAAACATCTAGGAGAGAGGCTTTGTCACAAATCCAGTTGCCCATTTTGCTGTTTCCATGAAATATTTCAAAGTAGAGAAACTAATAGACTTCCATGTATCTGCTGCACAGATTGCCTTTTACTCCCAATATACTGGGGTGCTGTTGCCTGGCTGCACGGAAGGTTGTGGGGTGTGAGGGCACTTGGACATTCGGGCTTGCTGTGTCTCTGTTAGAAACTAATGGGGCGTTGTCCCTGAGCGTGAGGGACACCTCTGGCATCTTGTTTCCTCTACCTGAGGAAGTGCAGCCATGCTTGTTGGGAAGACTTGGGAGAGGACCATGTACCACTGAGGCAGGTAACACCCTTTGCCTCTGTACCTCCCTGTGGGCCTGGCAGTGGGGCTGGGCCCAGGGCCAGCAGTCCACCTACCCTGGCTAGGAACCTGAACTCCTGCATAATTTCAAGGCCCTTCTGGGCAACACCTTGCCTTGCCATGTGGACTGGCCACCTCATCTTTCCTTGTCTCCAGACACCCCCACCACCTCCTTCCCCCAGCCAGAGACTCCAGAATCCCAGATCCTCACAGCAAGACACATCCTCCCCCAGGGACCCCGTGTCTGTTCAGTGGAGAGGCTCTGGGAAGGGGAGGGAACGACTTCCTCTTTATTCCCGTAGCTTCCATTTGAGTGGCCGACAAGTGTCTCAAATAGCATTTCAGATTGTGCCCCCCCCCCACTCCACCCCCGCCTTCCTCCTAGAAAATGCAGCTGGTGCTCGTGTGCAGCCACTGTTCAGACACGTGGAGGCCACAGTGCTCGCTTGGAACCCTCTGGGACCACCGACTTTCAGTGGCTTCTACTGAAGGGAAGGGCCGACTATTTTGATTTGGGTTTGACAGATAATACTGAGTTTGAAAAATAATTTCCCATCATTAAGCCAGACATCAAGAGGCCAAAGTAAATTCTAGGTCATCTCTCCCCTCACTGAGTGAGTTCCCTGTAACCAGCATTCCAGAAGAGGGCGAAAGGGGAAGAATCAAGTCCTTTTTTTTTAGATGTTGCCCAAACCAGATCGCTAAACAGTATCATACCTTTTTACTGCGATTTCTTATCATTTTAAGATAGATACCCAGTTTTTATTTTAGGAGTAAACACTTAAACTGAGGAAGCACACCTGTTGTTTCTCACTTCCTATTCAGCCAACACTAATGCCTTCTCTGTACTGAGAACAGCTGATCCTCCCAAAGCGTGTGTGTCTCCCTGTCTTCGTGGGGCCCTTGCTGTTCTCACCATAAGCCCAGAAGACTCAAGGATGCTCAGCGGGTCGTGCAGCCCTCTCCACCACCTATTCCAGAAAGTCCTCCTCACCCTAAAAGGAAGCCCCATTCCCACCAGCAGTCACTCCTCACTCCCCTTCCCCCAGCCTCTAGCAGCTACCAGTCTGCTCTCTGTAGATGTGCCGATTCTGAATAGTTCATAGAAATGGAATCATGCAATATTTGTCCTTCTGTGTCTGGCTTCCTTTACTTCGCAGAATGCTTTCAAGGTCCATCCATGTTGTAGCGTGCGTCATACCTCATTCCCTTTTTTTTTTTTTTTTTGAGATGGAGTCTTGCTCTGTCGCCCAGGCTGGAGTGCAATGGCGTGATCTCGGCTCACTGCAACCTCCACCTCCCGGGTTCAAGCAATTCTCCTGCCTCAGCCTCCCGAGTAGCTGGGACTACAGGTGCACACCACCATGCCCAGCTAATTTTTGTATTTTTAGTAGAGACAGGGTTTCACCATGTTGGCCAGGATGGTCTCGAGCTCCTGACCTCGTGATCCGCCCGCCTCGGCCTCCCAAACGCTCGTTCCTTTTTATAGCTAATATTCTATTGTTTGGATATAGCACATTTCATTTCATCAGTTGATGGATATTTGAGTTGTTTCTACCTTTTGGCTATTGTGAATAATGCGCTGTGAACATTGTGTACCGATTTTTGTTTGAACACTTGTTTTCAGTTCTTTTGGGTATATGCCTAGGAGTGAGATTGCTGGGTCATATGGATGGTCATTTTTGTTTGTGTGTTTAAGACAGAGTCTCGCTCTGTTGCCCAGGCTGGAGTATAGTGGCGCCATCTCAGCTCACTGCAACCTCTAACTCCTGGGTTCAAGCGATTCTCCTGCCTCAGCCTCCCAAGTAGCTGGGATTACAGGCAAGCACCACCATGCCCGGCTAATTTTTGTATTCTTAGTAGGGATGGGGTTTCACCATGTTGGCCAGGCTGGTCTCAAACTTCTGACCTCAGGTGATCCACCCATCTCGGCCTCCCAAGGTGCTGGGATTACAAGCTTGAGCCACCATACCTGGCTTTGGATGGTAATTTTATGTTTAACTTGCCGAAGAACCACCAAACTGTTTTCCATATCAGCTGCCCCATTTTACATTCTCACCAGCAATATACAAGGGTTCCAATTGTAGTTCCACGTCCTTTATGACCCTTGTTTTTTGTTGAGACAGGGTCTCATTCTGTCACCTAGACTGGAATGCGATGGTACAATGATGGCTCACTGCAGCCTTGAACTCCTGGGCTCAAGCTGTCCTCTCGCCTCAGCTTCCTGAGTAGCTGGGACTACAGGTGCATGCCACCATACCTGGCTATTTTTTTTTAATGTAGAAAAGGGGTCTCACTATATTGCCCAGACTGGTCTTGAACTTACGGGCTTAAGCAATCCTCCTGCCTCAGCCTCCCAAAGTGCTGGGGTTAGAGGCATGAGCCATGGTGCCTGGCCATGCTAACAAGTTATTTTTCAGTTTGAAAAAGAATAGGTATCCCAGCAGGTGTGAAGTAGTATGTCATTGTAATTTTCATTTACATTTACCTAACATCTAAAGGTGGTGAGCATCTTTTCATGTGCTTGTTTGGCCATTTGTATATCTTTTTTGGTGAAATGCCTGTTCAAGTCCTTTGCCCATTTTTTAATCGGGTTTTCTTTTTGTTATTGAGTTGTTAGAGTTCTTTTCATATTCTGGATACTAGACCCTTATATAATTTGCAAATATGTTCTCCCATTCTGTGGGTTTTTTCACTTTCTTGATAGTATCCTTTGCACAAAAATGTTTAATTTTTATGAAGTCTGGTTTATCTGTTTTCTTTTTAGTTGCTTGCACCCTTGGTGTCATAGCTAAGAAACCATTATCAAATCCAGGGTCATGAAGCTTTACCTTTGTATTCTTCTAAGAGTTGTGTGGTTTCAGCTCTTCTGTTTAGGTTTGTGATTCATGTTGAAATCGTTTTTTTCCTGTGGTGTGAGGGGGGATCCACCTTTATTCTTGTCCATATGGCTCTCCAGTTGTCCCAGCATCATTTGTTAAAGACGCTGTTCTTTCCCTGGTGAATGGGCTTGGCTCTCAATTTTATTCCATCAATCTGTATGTCTGTCCTTATGCCAGTATCATACTACCTTGAGCCAGATGCACTTTTAAAAGATCCAAGGCTGGGTGCGGTGGCTCACCACACCTGTAATCCTAGCACTTTTGGGAGGCCACAGCAGATTGGATTGCTTGAGCTTAGGAGTTCAAGACCTGCCTGGACAACATAGTGAGACCTTGTCTCTACAAAAAATACAAAAATTAGCCAGATGTGGTGGTGAGTGCCTGTAGACTAAGCTACTCAGGAGGCTGAGGGAGGAGAATCATTTGAGCCCAGCAGGTTGAGGTTGCAGTGAGCTGTGGTTGTGCAATTGCACTCCAGCCTGAGTGACAGACAGACCCTGTCTCAAAAAAATTAAAAATAAAAATAAAGTATCTGAAAAGACATACAAAACTAGGTTTTGTCTGGGAGGACAAGTAGTTTGGTATTGCTGGAACATCAAGTGTGCATGGAAGTGGTTGTGTGAAGGCTGGAATTAAGGACGTGAGAGACAGTGACTGTGTGAAGGAGACGCAGCAAGCTCCGGAGCCTGCCTGAGTGTTGGCAGATAACGGGGACATGAGATGTGTCCATGCTCTCAACAAGCTCAGAATCTCTTTGTAGAAGCAGACATGGGATTCCAAGCCTGATGGAAGTGTAAGGGAACCCCCTTAAGAACACTGAGGAGATGGTGGGGCCTGGCTGCGTGTATGAGTGGGGAAAACATTAAAGAGAATGGCATTTGAGCTAGAACTGAAGGCTGAGTAGATCAAAAGCTTTGTGTGGGGGTGAGAGTTTGGGAACGGGAAGAGGGCATTTCATGCTGAAGAAACAGGCATTGAAACAGGGCAGGGTCAGAGAACATTTGAGAATCTGAGAGTGGCCCAGCATTCCTGAAATAAAGGAGAGACTCATCTCTCCCATACATTGAGAGATGAGTCCTGGAAAAATAAGTGTGGGGGAGACAGCGGCTGAGCTCAAACCCCATGCTACGGAGTTTGAACTTTCTCCCGCAGGCAGTGGGGAGCCACTGGCATCTTGTGAGCAGGGGAATGGTCTGATGGACCTTTAGAAAGGTCAGTCCAATAACAGTATGAAAATATGATTGGAGGCAGCTGTGCTCACCACTGTACCACCAACACTGAAAATACGATTGGGAGAAAGATGAGGGAAGGTGTTCTGATTGTCTGGTCTATAGAGGCTGGGGTTAATGCAGGGAGGAATAACGTGTTCATTTGGACTATTTTCACATACATAGTAGTCGAGGGAATCATATAGGGAAGCCCCAGGTCCCCATTGCCCAGCCTTGGCCATCATCCACTGCAACCCATCTTGTCTTATCCAGGCCTCCTCCTCCATATGCATGGCCCTCTCTTCACACTACATTATTTTGAAGCAAATCTCAGTCATCGTATTTTATTTGTAAGTCCCACCTGTGGTATCCTCCAACAAGGACTCCAAGAACCAGAACGTGATTGCCTCACCTAAAAATATTAACTGCAATTCCTTACTCTCAGGAGTAAGCATTAAATCTCCCCTCCCCTCCTCCCTTTTTCATTTGGTTGGTTTGGGTCCTGAATTGAATTGAGTCCTGAGATCCAAATCAGGTACACACATTACACTAGGTTGTGATATGTGCTGGTTCCTCCTCTCCTTTTTCTCCTTGCAATTTAATTGTTAAATCAGGTTGTTCCCATACGTTTGAGAGATATGATAGTCAACCAAGGGTGATTTTGCCCCCCAAGGGACATTTGGCAATGTTTGGAGACGCTCTTAGTTGTCGCCGCTTGGGGGGAGGGGCTGCTTGCATGTAACAGGGCCCACAGCAGAGGCTCACCTGGGCTGAAGTGTGGTGGCTCGACTGCCCGGTGCTGCGGGAGGACACCTCCTGCCATTCCCCCACGTTCCCTGGTTCCCTGCGTCCAGATCGCTTTGCTTTTGGTTAACACACTCCTCTCTCTCTTGTATTTTCCTAAGAACTGGTGGTTAGACCTCAGGGCTTGATCAGGTTCAGGCTGGACTTTCCGGCATTAAAAATACTTCTTAAGTGGCATATCACTTAGTCCTTGGCACATAAGTGGTGGCAGTTTGTTCCGTTTACGATAAAATTGCAGAAAGGGAGGATTTTGAGAGGCACTGGAGCATGGAATTGCTCCGGTGTGAGGTGTAAGGGGGAAGTTGGGGTCCAGCATTTGGCTCAACCCCAGACCCAGAGTCCAGGGACTGAGGCTGGGGCTTGGCTGCAGCACTGACTGGGTGATTTCAGGCGCTCACCCCACAGCCTGAGCCTTGCTTTCCTCTCTGTAAGCTAAGGATGCGCCAGCTCGGCCTGAACCATGGAATGCAGCGTGGGGCAGCCGCTCCCCAGCCTTCCTCCCTAGCCGTCTCCCTCCAGCTACAGGTGCCTTGCGGTGCCGCCACTGGAGGAGTCTTTGCAGGTTTATGGGACATCAGAGCAGGGAGGGAGCCGGGTGTCGGGGCTGCGGCAGGGTCCCCACCGGGCTGTCCACGAACCAGCGAACCAGCGGTGTTGGTGGTGTCTGGTGCCCAGGAGGAGGGCTTGTTTACAGCTGCCGTATTTCCCGGGACCCTGGCTTCTGTCCTCAGGGACCCCTTCAGACCTTCCCCACCCTCCGAAGCCTCAACCCGCCCTGCGCCTCCCGGTGGCACAGCGACCTTGGCGGCTTTGGCCCCTGAGCCGCTAGGCTGCCAAGGCGCGCTGTGCGCGTGGGGCCAGGCTCGACCTCACTCCTGTTGTCGCTGCAGACCCGCGTGGGCTCCCGCCGGGCCCTCCTGCCGCCCCCCAGCCTCCCCGCCCCTGCCCTTGCCAGCCTGCGCCTTCCTGGGCGCCTGACGCACCCCTCTGCCCCAACCACGTTTTCTCAAGAGTGTTGTCTGTCCCGGCCTTCCAAGGAGACCCTTAGCTCCCGCCGGCCGCCTCCGGAGCCTCCGGCATGGGCCCCAGGCCGGGGTCCCGCCTTTGCCCCGGCCTCCGCTGCCTCGCCCCGGAGCCCGGAGGAGGGGAGCCGGCCACCCGGGGAAGAAGCGGAGGACGCCGATCTGGCCTCCTGCGTTGCGCGCTCCAACCCTCTGCTTGGCCGCCCGCGAACCGCGCTCTCCCGTTTCCTTTCCGTCCCGTCTCGGGGGCTTCATCCTCCAGCCGTGGCCGTGGCCGTGGCCAGGTGTACCGGAGCGGCACCCAGGAGCCCGCCCTAGCACCCGCTCCCGCTCCCACCTCGTCTGCGCCCACCCGCTCTGGGCAGCTGCTCCCAAGGGAGCCCCTCGCCCTCTCTCTCTCCTTCCCTCATTCCCTTCATCCTTCTCTCCCTGTGTGCCTCCTTCCCTCCCTCCCTCTCTCCCCCTTCTCTCTTTCTCCCTCTCCCACTCCCTCTCTCCCCACCCTTTCTTCCCCTCCCCCCTCCCCCTCCCCCTTCTTCCCCTCCCCCTCCCCATCCCTCTCTCTCCCCTCTCTCTTTTTCCCCCTCCCCCTCCCTCTCTTTCCTCTTTCTCTCTCCCCCTCCCCCTCCCTCTCTCCTCCCTCTCTCTTTCTCCCCCTTCCCCCTCTCTCCCCCCCTTTCTCCCCATTCCCCTCCCTCTCTCCCCCTTCCCCTCCCTCTCTCCCCCTTCCCCTCCCTCTCCCCCTTCCCCTCCCTCTCTCCCCTTCTCTCTCTCTTTCTCCCCTTCCCTCTCTCTCCCCTCTGGCTCTTTCTCCCCTTCCCTCTCTCTCCCCCCCTTTCTCCCCATTCCCCTCCCTCTCTCCCCCTTCCCCTCCCTCTCTCCCCCTTCCGCTCCCTCTCCCCCTTCCCCTCCCTCTCTTTCCTCTTTCTCTCTCCCCCTCCCCCTCCCTCTCTCCTCCCTCTCTCTTTCTCCCCTTCCCTCTCTCTCCCCCCCTTTCTCCCCATTCCCCTCCCTCTCTCCCCCTTCCCCTCCCTCTCTCCCCCTTCCCCTCCCTCTCCCCCTTCCCCTCCCTCTCTCCCCTTCTCTCTCTCTTTCTCCCCTTCCCTCTCTCTCCCCTCTGTCTCTTTCTCCCCCCCTTTCCACTTTCTCTCTTTCTCCCCCCTTCCCCTCCCTCTCTCTCCCCTCTCTCTTTCTCCCCTTCCCCCTGCCTCTCTTTCCCCTTTCTCTCTTGTTCTCCCCCTTCCCCTCCCTCTCTCCTCCCTCTCTTTTCCTCCTCCCCCCTTCCCCTCCCTCTTTCTCCCCCTCTGCCCTCTCCCCCTTCCCCCTCCCCTCCCTCTCCCTCTCTCTTTCTCCCCCTCCCTCTCTGCCCCCCTCTCTCCCTCTCCCCCCTCCCTTCCCCCTCCCCCTCCCCCTCCCCTCTCTCTTTCTCTTCCTCCCTCTCTCCTCCTCTCTTTGTCCCTCTCCCCCTCTCTCTTTCTCCCCCTCTTTTCTCTCTACCCCCTCTTTTTCCCCCTCCCCCTCTCTCTCTCCTCCTCTCTCTTTCTCCCCCCTTCTCCCCCTCTCCCCCTCCCCCTCCCTCTCTCCCCATTTCTCTTTCTCCCCTCCCCCTCTCTCTCTCCCCCCCCTTTCTCCCCCTCTCTTTCCCCCTCCCTCTCTCCCACTCTCTCTCCTTCTCCCCCTCTCTGAGCCCAGGTTCTTGGTGGCATCTGCTTTGGGCAGCTCTGCAGCTCCTTCCTCAGGGAGATCACCTCACCTTCCCAGGGACAGACAATGTCTCATGCGGAGAGGCCCTGCCCTCCTGAGCTGATGTCCCATCGGGGAGGAAGATGCCCCCTCAGAGTTGGTGGGAGCACCAGGTCACGGTGTTGTGGGGCAGGCAGCTGGTGGCTGGGCTGGGCAGAGCAGGCAGACTGGCTCCTCTCTCTGGTCTTGGCCCTGACGAGAGAATGGAGTGGGGCATGGTGGCCAAAAGGCCAAGGGCCCCTTTGGAACTGTGCCCGAGGGCTGACTTATTTTCTCAGGGGCAGAAGCCTATCCTCAGTGTGTCCCCATGGCAGTCAAGACCCATGGACTTGCTTCCCAGCCCCCTAGGCTGGGCCACCTTCCATGCAGCCGACCTTCCAGCGGGGGTCAGAAGCCACGGGGGAGCCCTGTCATTGGCCTCTACCCAAGGTCCTCGCTGTGAGTGCTGGGCTGGCACTATAGTGAAATAAAAAGGAGATGGAGAACATTATCTACTGGAACACGCACGTATGTGACTGAACATCTAAAGCCAGGACAGCTCCTAGGAGCAGCTCCTCCAGACTGTGGAATCAATGCCAGGGGCACCCAGAGAAGGCGGAGCAGAAACCTGTCTAACTGGGGGATTCTGTGGAGGAGCTGGTTATGGAGGGGCTTTTAGGGAAGAAAGACCCAGGCTTTCATGGCAAAAGATTGACAGATGTCAAGCTCAGAGCCCAAGAAAGTACCTTTTGAGGAAAAAGCCACAGACTGAGGGAGAGAAGGGAACCGAGACCCCTGCCTCCCAGGTCAGAGGCTGCCTGCTGTTCCGGGCAGTCTGTCACATGAGACAGCTCTTTCCAGGCATTCCTAAGCACCTTAGTAGAAAGTAAAGCAGCTCTTATTGCTTATGAAAATTTCATTCAAGGATGAGAACAAATTAATGTCTGGGGCTGGAGTTGGTGTGTCTGCTCTCCTTGGCCCTAAACTAGGTAGGTTTGTGTCTCCAGGATGGAGTCTATATTAGTTCATTTTCACACAGCTATAAAAAACTACCTGAGATTGGGTAATTTATAAACAAAAGATGTGTAATTGACTCACAGTTTCACCTAGCTGGGGAGGCCTCAGGAAACTTACCATCATGGCAGAAGGTGAAGGGGAAGCAAGGCACTTCTTACACGGCAGCAGGAGAGAGAGAGAAAGTGGGGGGGGGGAACTGCCAAACACTTGTAAGTCATCAGATCTCCTGAGAACTCACTCACTATCACAAGAACAGCAGGGGGGAAACTGCCCCCACAATCCAGTCACCTCCCACCAGGTCCCTCCCTTGACTCGTGGGGATTACAATTTGAGATGAGATTTGGGTGGGGACACAGAAGCAAACTGTCTCAGAGAGTGACAGCCTTTTTAAAGAGCACATATGCAGACACAGACTCCCTTTCTTTGGGCAGAAAGAAGGGTGGGCAACGAGCACATTATGTAAATCATCTTGACGGTGGACACAGCAGCTGTTGGCTGTCACTGCTGGATAGTGGTCGCAGCAAACAGCTGTGGGCCAGGTCACTGCTTGCTACCTAGAGAGCCCTTCAGCTGGGGGGCCCAGAGCACAGCTGAACTCCACGGGCCCCCTTGGTGAGCTCCTTTGGCCTCTGTGGATGACAGGGGACCCCTGGTTCCTCTGCTTCGTGCATCTTCAGACTCTTCTCCACCTCTGCTGAGTAGTTCAGTTGGCAGCGTTGCAGGTTGGCTGCAGGGGTGTTGACCAGCCCTGGAGCTATGGTGCAGCCTGGGAATGAGCACGCACACCAGGAGCCTAGGACAATGGCAGCAGAACAGCTCCAGCGGAGCGTTTCCTGGGGCTCAAGGGGAGGCACTCAGATGGCCTGCTTTGGGTGTTCAAGACTGAGTGGTGAGCCAGCAGGGAACACCTAGCATTTTGTGAGATACTCAGCCGTATTCATCTCCTTGCACCACTGTACAAGTTACACATGCAGTGGCTCCAAAGAGCATAAACTTACTATGTTACCGTTCTGGCATGTAGGTCTGAAATGAGGCCAAAATGAAGGTGTCAGCAGGGTCGTGATGGCTCTGGAGGTTCTAGAGGAGAATCTATTTCCAGCCTTTCCCACCTTCTAGAGGCCACCTGCCTGCCTTGGTTCATGGCCACTTCCCTGCATCTTCCAACCCAGCCATGTAGCATCTTCACATCTCTCTCTGACCCCTGCTTTCATTGTCCCATTGCCTTCTCTTGTCTCCCTCCTGCCTCCCTCTTGTAATGACCTGTGTGATTCCCTTGGACCCACCTGGATGATCCAGAATCATCGTCCCATCTCAAGATTCTTAACTGAATCCCATCTGCAGAGTCCCTGTCGCCAAGCAAGGTCCCATATTCACCAGTTCCAGGAATTAGGATGTGGACATCTTTAGGCGTCATTATTTAGTCTACCACATCAACCTATGTGGTAAATATTTAGCAATCAAAAGTTTGAAGGAAGATACGAGAAATTAGGCATCTTTGAATCTTTCAGTCTAATATTGCTGAAGGTGGGACATAAGCCCCATACTCCAGCCACTCTAAGGAATGATGTCTTCCATGGAGTGAAGGGGAATGCCCCAGAGTAAGACTCATGTATATGTTTTTCTATATTTTAATAGTGCTACAAAATACAACCATTGTACATATTCATTTGTTTTTGTTTTTGTTTTGGAAGCAAATTTCCGTCAGGAAAAACAGCCTTGTTGCTGTCCCGTCTACAGTATCTGCTAAAATAAAAGTACCAGTCTCTCAGCCCATAGTGAAGAAAGACAAACGGCAAAATTCTTCAAGGTTTAGCGCAAGCAATAATAGAGAACTTCAAAAACTACCATCCTTAAAAGGTAATTTTTATTTGTCTTTTAAAAGTTAAATTGTGGCTGTTGGAGTGAAGGAGCAATGTTTTGATAGTGTGCTAATTTATTCCTTTGCTGTGTTTGTATTTTGTGGGGTCATCTTTTCTGTATTGAGGGGTTTTTTTTTTTTTAGGTTGAATGTCATTAACTTACTTACTCAATTAACATTTTAAATTCCAGAGCTATTCAAGATAAAAGTTTAACAACACAGTATAGGCATAATACACTAAGGAAACAGGAAAAGCTGAACATCTTTTTATTTATGGTATTAAGCTAGCCAGTTTTTCTTTTAAATTAATTTTCATTTGTTTGTCTTAGAACTGTAGCAATTCCGAAAGGAATTACTCCAAGTACAGTAATTGTAAAAATTATAGTAGAAGTTCCCTATGTTTCTAAAGTAAGGACTGTAGCTATAGTACATTATGGACTTGCTTTGTTATGAGTCATTTGAGGATTACCTCTACTCAAGCATTTCTTATATGAAATTAGGAAAAAGTGCTCTTTACTTTGAATTTCCCCCCAAATGACACAGCCATCTCTTTCCATCTCAGGTTGTTTAATCCCTAAAAGTCTTCCTTTAGATTTTGAGATTGAGGTGCTTAAAACCTTATCAAGGAAAACAGAGTAAGGACCGTAAAGTCAAATGTGAACCTCTTAAAACCTTTATAATTACTAAAATATAAGACAGATATACTAAATAAAATAACATTTTTCATACCTTAAATTTATAATAATGGATCTTTTACAATTAATTTCCACTGAATATTAATTCAGCAACCAGTCCAGTGGCTCGCGCTTATAATCTCATCACTTTAGGAGGCTGAGGCAGAAGGATCACTTGAGCCCAGGAGTTCGAGACCAGCCTAGGCAACATAGGGAGACTCCGTCTCTACAAAAAAATAAAATTTGCTGGGCATGGTGGCACACACCTGTGGTCCCGGCTACTCAGGAGGCTGAAGTGGGAGGATTGCTTGAGCCTGGGAGGCCAAGGCTACAGTGAACCATGATCGTGCCACTGCACTTCAGCGTGGATGACAGACTGAGATCTTGTTCTCAGGAAAAAGAAAAGTAAATATGAACTCAGTGAGAGCAGGCAGTCTGTCATGTTTATAGCTGTATTCCCAGGCTTTCCACACTGTAAAGCAGATAGCAGATTTGCCAGGTGGAAGGAGGAAGGGAGGAAGGGAGGCTGGGTGGATGGTGGATTTATGGGTGGGTGGATGGGTGGGTGGATTTACGGGTGGATGAATTTTCTTGCCCCCTACTTGCTAGAAATCCAGGTTCTCGGCCGGGCGCAGTGGCTCATGCCTGTAATCCCAGCACTTTGGGAGGCCAAGGCGGGCGGATCACGAGGTCAGGAGATCAAGACCATCCTGGCTAACATGGTGAAACCCCGTCTCTACTAAAAATACAAAAACAAAATTAGCCAGGCGTGGTGGCGGGCGCCTGTAGTCCCAGCTACTTGGGAGGCTGAGGCGGGAGAATGGCGTGAACCCGGGAGGCAGAGCTTGCAGTGAGCTGAGATCGTGCCACTGCACTCCAGCCTGGGCGACAGAGCGAGACTCCATCTCAAAAAAAAAAAAAAAAAAAAATCCAGGTTCTCGCTTGCATTTTCTAGAGCTTGTATTTGGCTTATATTTGGTTTACCTTTGTGGTAGATAATATGCATGCTAAGTCATTTTTTATTATTAGTCTTCCTCTTCCCAAATAGGATATACCTTTCTCATGCTATTCATTCATTCAGCAAATATGTGTTGAGCGCCTGTGAAAGCTATTCTAGGTACTAGGGGTACAGAATTACACAAAACCAAGCCCCTATTCTCCTGGAGTGAGCAACCCATTGGTGAGACAGCAAGGAAAGGGATAGGTATCAACTCCTCCTTCCAGTACCCTCCGGAGGCCCAGAGTCAGAGGGAGGGAAAAGGCTTTGTATAACCACTGTTGGGCCTTCATGTCCCAAGCCCTGCCCCTAATGCCCATCACAGCTGGGGCTTGGATCTGCCATGGTACAGAAGGTTGGCCGTGTGCCCCATTTTTCCATGCATGCCCCGCCTCAGCCAGTGCATGCTGGGTGTGTACTGCTGCTGAATTTGGTCAAATGCCATATGATTTTTCTCCTTAAGATGTTAAGATTATAATTGCTGTGTTGATAGATTTTTCTGGTTTTGAACCATCTTTGCATTTGTCAGTTTTGTCGCCGTATATTATTCCATGCGCGGGGCAGAGCCCATGCAAGTACCGGTGTGTGCCGGCCTCTAGCATACTTCCTTTACCTCTTCTGAGGAGTCGCTGCACAAGCCTCTTTCTACATCTGTTCTACATCTGTTTTCTATTCTCAACCTCCGTTTCCTTCGTTTTTCATTATACCTAGTAAGAATGGCATGCAATATACTTCCACTGACGCTTACATTTTCACTTTTCCCCAAAATGGTAAATTCTCCATAGTAAATCCACATATCCAGGAGAATTTCA
Source organism: Homo sapiens (assembly GCF_000001405.40). Classification (NCBI taxonomy): domain Eukaryota; kingdom Metazoa; phylum Chordata; class Mammalia; order Primates; family Hominidae; genus Homo; species Homo sapiens. The sequence goes on from NC_000014.9 coordinate 101,788,668, forward strand.
CATGTATCAAGCCAGTTCCCCTCACTGGTCTTGTTTGATAATTCTCTCTTGGCTGTTCTAAAACATTAATGCCTCTGTATATATACTAAAATAATTTCACCTAGTTCAGAAAAATAATAATTGATTGGAATTAAAGTTATATATTAATTTGGTGAAAATTGATACCTTTTTTCCATCTAGGAAGATGGTATATATCCCCCATTTTTCTGGGTCTTGTTTTCTGACTTATAAAATTTTATGGTTTTCTTGTAAATCTCTAACTTTCCAGTAAATTTATTTCTAAATACTCTATAGCTTTTGTCACACTTGTGACTGGGTTATATTTTTTCCCATTTCCACTTCTAATTGGTTTTTGTTAATCTCATGCAGAGCTATTGGTTTTTAAATATTTTCTTTTGCCGTCACCTTACCACATTTTCGTATTAGTCTTAATTAATTTTTCCACTACAGTCTGCATATATAGTCCTGTTGTTTGCAATAGATTCTTTTATCTCTCTTCCACTATTTATGCCAACATAGACTAGTTATTTTAATTTTATTCTGCCACTAAGAAGGACCAATAAAACCTGGAACAGAGGTGATAGCAGGCATTCCTGTTTTCTCCCATTTCAGTAAATGGCTTCAGCGTTTCCTAAGTTGATGGGAAAGTGGCTCTTGGTTTCTGGTAAGCAGCCTTTGCAAGGCCGCTGGTGCTCCGGAGTCCAAGCTCACAGGACTCTTCCCGGACCCATGCAGGCTGGTTGGCGCCATGCCAGTGCATGCTGGGTGGGTACTGCTGCTGAATTTGGTCAAATGCCATATGATTTTCCTCTTTAAGATGTTACTATTATAATTGCTGTGTTGACAGATTTTTCTGGTTTTGAAATATCTTTGCATTTTGTCAGTTTTGTCACAGTGTATTTTCATAGTGTTTGGAACTAATTTTCTTTAGAATATTTGCTTCCGTATTTACTACATGGAGCTGGTCTGTAGTTTTGTTCTTTTTCATAAACCTGTATTTTGTCCTGTCTAAGATTTGTTGTCACCAGCACTTTGTGAAGGTTCCTGGGGTGGCCTGGAGCAGCTTTTCCCGCAGCTCCCTCACACTGCCACCTTATGACAGGGATAATGAGATGGACCCGGATTTCAGAAACAATAAAATGTGGAATGTGTCCATGAAATAGGGTTGAAAGTTTGACTTGGAACTCAGTGGGCCTGTTGCTTTTCTCTATGAAACGTCTGTAGCTTCTTAGCACAGTGCGTCCATTTAGAAAGGGGGGTCTGTTAACTAGTACATGGTCATTGTTTAATGCACCTTTTAATCTCTTCCTTATCAGTGGCGGTTATGTCTCCTTATAAGTTCATTTATTCTTTTGACTGTTCTGTTTGTGTTCAGTATTATTCATCTGTACTTTTATCTTTAATTATCCTATGTCTTTTATTTTAACCTTTTCTTCATTTATTAAGTTGAATAGAGAGTTGACTTATTTTTAGTTTGCTTTTTAATAATAAAAGAATTTAAAGCCACGTATTCATTCTGAGTGTAACCTTCAGCCCTATCCCTAGATTTTATTTTTTCCTAACTTTTCAAGTCATAGGTTTTTCTTTTTTAGAGTTGAGGCATAATTTACATATCCTAAAACTCACCCATTGTAACTGGAAAATTTAGTTATTTTAGCAAATACATAGAGTTGTGCAACCGTCACCACAATTCTGTTTTAGAATGTTTCCATCTGCCTCCAAAAGTTACCTCGTGCCATTCACCATTAAGTTCCCCTCCGGGCCCCAGCTGCAGGCACCCACTGATCTGCTTTCTGTCTCTAGACTTACTTTCTTCCGGACACTTCATATAAGCGAAGTCATACCATAGGTAGTCTTTTACACCTGCTGTAAGGTTTTTGAGGTTCATCTGTGTTGTTTCTTTTTAATGCCGCATCATATTCAGTCAGATGGATACACCACATTTTGTTTATCCGTTCACCAGTTAATGGACATTTGGGCTGTTTCTTAGCTGGTATGAGTAACAGTGCTGCTGTGAACATTTGCATAGAAGTCTGTGCGAGCAGATATTTCATTTCTCTTGAGTAGATACCTAGGAGTGGAATTCCTGGCTTGTGTGGTAAATTTATGTTTAGCTTGTTAAGAAACTGTTGGCTGGGCACCGTGGCTCACGCCTGTAATCCCAGCACTTCGGGAGGCCGAGGCGGGCGGATCATGAGGTCAGGAGATCAAGGCCATCCTGGCTAACACGGTGAAACTCCATCTTTACTAAAAATACAAAAAATCAGCTGAGCATGGTGGCACTCGCTTGTAGCCCCAGCTACTCGGGAGGCTGAGGCAGGAGAATTGCTTGAACCTGGGAAGTGGAGGTTGCAGTGAGCCGAGATCACACCACTGCACTCCAGCCTGGGCAACAGAGCAAGACTCCGTCTCAAAAAAAGAAAAAAGAAAAGAAAAGAAAAAGAAACTGCCAAACTGTTTTCCAAAGTGGTTGTACTGTTTTACATTTCCACCAACAATGTATGAGGGCTCTGATGTGGCCACATTCTTGCCAATATCTATTATTGTCTTTTCGATTATAGCTTAATTCTTGTGGGTGTGTAATGGTGTCTCACTGTGGTTTCCATTGGCCTTTCCCCAATGACTGGAAATTTTAAGCATCTTTTCATATGCCTGTTAGCCATTTGTCTCTCTTCTTTGATGAGATGTCTTTTTTTAAGTTGGTTGTCTTCTTCTTGTTGAATTGTAACAGTATGTTTTCCCAGATATGAGTCCTTTATTTTAACAGAAAATAAAATACAGTAAAAATAAATTATTACAGAAGTGAAGTACAAAATACACTGTGTATAAAATAGTGTTTTTATTATTATAGTCAGTAGACATAAGATTACCCTGTTAAGTTGATACGAAAGTTTTGAAACGCTTATTCTCAATTTTTGTTATTCGTTGTAAATCTTCAGATTTGTCTATATGTGTCAAACCCTTCTTTTGAGCTTTTAATTTCAGGGTTTTTTTTTTCATTTATGAAAGTTCTGTTTGGTTCTTTTTTCAGTCTGCAGTGCCATTTTAAAATATTTTCCTATTCTCTTGAACATACCATCAAAACTTGTATGGTATACAAGTTTAGTATAGTATACTAAATAAGTATAGTAAACGCAGCTGTTTTATAGCCTGCGTCAGGTCACACTAGTATCTGAGGTGTTTGACACATTTTGTTCATGATGTCTTATTTCCTTGTGTACCTGATTTTTTTTATTGTATATTGGTCATTGTATTCAGATATGTGAAATAAATTGAAACCTAGAATCAAAGTGTCTTCTTCAATAGGGATTTGTTTTTGCTCTGCCAGACACCTGGAGGCACTGCCAATCTGGGAGTGCCTTAAACCACAACACTGGTTTGTTAAATCAACCGACCCAGTTGTTCTGCAATATATCCCACTTACCCCACTGCGGTTCCTGTAAATGGAAACCTTTTTTGGCTGAAATACATCAGAGGCAACGCTTTATAACTTAGGAGATAGTGACATTATTGTGAGAGATGCATAGCCTCTGGTTGCCTATCATCAGAAGTGATGCTAAATTTTCAGTTTTACTAGTGAATTCAGTTGATGACAGATTGATATCTCTATTGAACAATTACATATTTCCCTTTACAATTCAAAAAGTACTAGTAATAGTCTGCAGTGTATATTTTGGCATCCTACCAATGTGTATTCCCTGTCAACCATGTGCTAATGTCTTGAACAACAGTTGATAATCCTTGCCTGAGTCAGTAGTTTCAGTTTCACTAGCGAATTCAACATTTACTCTAACGTTCTTCTGAAAGCAGTGATTTTTCTTACCAACCAGAGATACTTGGTTATCTTGAAATGGAGCTCCTACTGAAAAAGAAGGATAAGCTTAATTCTTTGTCTTTTATTACCAGTTCCCTCTAATGGTGACAGCTGAAGCTTTTTTCTAGCTTTCTCTTTGTTTTAATATCATTGTGGACTAATATATTGTTGATTTCAGTGTGTTTTCATGTACCAAAAGCATTAGTCTTTCTGGTGTTCAGATGGCATAATTGCAATCATTAAGTGCCCTTTAGGGTAGCTCGTGTGTTTTTTTGTTTGTTTTTGTTTTTTTACATAGCCTCATTTATTTTTGATTCCTTGATTTCTGACACAGTGAGACATCCCTTGGGCTCATTTAATACCTTCTCTTCCCCAGACTTCAAATCAGCCATTTTTCTTTTCTTTTTTTTTTTTTTGAGACAGTCTCATGGTCTCATCCATGCTGGAGTGCAGTGGTGCAATCTTGGCTCCCTGCAGCCTCCGCCTCCCACATTCAAATGATTCTCCTGCCTCAGCCTCCCAAGTAGCTAGGATTACAGGCGTGTGCCACCATGCCCAGCTAATTTTTATATTTTTTGTAAATATGGGGTTTCACTATGTTGGCCAGGCTGGTCTCAAACTCCTGACCTCAAGTGATCCACCCACCTCGGCCTCCCAAAGTGCTGAGATTACAGGCATGAGCCACCACACCTGGCCAAATCAGCTATTTTTCAAAGAGCCCTGGTTCCTTTCAGTAGTAAATATATTAGCAACCAAAATCTGGGTCAGAGGGATGTTTATTGCTACTGGTCTGACATTACTTTTAAATGCTTTCAATGGAGGGAGCGAGGATATAAATTTTCTGAATCGTACATTCATATTGATATTTTAAATTTAATTTTAACATTATAGTGTTTTTGAAGCAGGATATTTCCCTGACCACTTCACGGGCAGGAACTGGACTGCGTGGGTGTGGGAACTAGCTGGCCCCTTCAGCGCCAGCAAGGGCGATCTCCACTTACTCGCTGCTCCACCCCTCGTGGGAGGGGAAGTGCAGGTGAGCTGGTGCAGGAGCACTTTTGGGCACCAGCAGGAGCAAACCCCATACCAGCCCCATGGCAGCGTCTTCAGGGGTCCCTGTGATCCCTGAAGCCCCAGAGAAAGTGTTGCAGTACTCTTTTAGCTCTGCCATCCATGGATGACTTAAGTGTTAACAGCTCAGTGGAGGGTCAGTGGGACAACCTTTTACACCCATACTCATGGCACCCAAGTTGTTGTCCAGCATCCAGGAGGAATGAGGTTGCATGAAGGAATTGAAGATGGTAAATGCAGGGGATTTTATTGCCAATGAAAGTGGCTCTCAGTGGGAAGGGAAGCTAAAAAGGAGACAGAGTGGGAAGGTAATCTTCCCCTGAAGTCTGGCTGTCTCCAGCCAGATTCTTCTCTGAAGTTACGCCATCAAGTTGTCCCTCTGAAGTCAAGCCACTTCTTTCCAACATCCAACTCTAGTCTCCTATGTCCAGTTGCTTCTCTTCTCTCTACCAGCTGAGCCTGGGGTTTTTATGGGCACAGGATGGAGGCACGGGGCAAGCCATGGGTGGTTTTGGAAAAGGCAACATTCGAGTGGGGAAACAGGAATGCATGTTCTCACTTTGGACCAAGGTTCCAGGCTTTTCGGCTTGAGGCTAGGGCCCTCACAAGGGACGTGCCCTCTTCTGCCCAGAACTTCCCTGCTTCCTGTTCCTATCACTTTCACTTATTTCTTGGCTTTCATAGTTTTATCTCTGTCTTACACTGAAAATGTTGATTTCTAGCATCACTAATGTAATTATGGGTATATTCTCTTAAACAGTTCCCAAAAACAATATTGATATTACTGCAAACAGTTGGAACTTTGAATTGACCCATAGTCATTGCAGAAAGAAACAGCTGTTGACTTTATTTATTTATTTATTTTAGAGACAGTTCCATGCGATGTTGCCCAAGCTGGTCTTGAACTCCTGGGCTTAAATGATTCTCCTGCCTCAGCCTCCCAAGTAGCTGGGATTACAGGCACGCACCACCATGCCTGGCTACTGTTGGCATTTTTATTGGGATCCTGTTACATTTTGCAAATATCTGAGGGAGGGCTGGCATCTTGTGATGTGTGCCTCCTCTAAGAGTATGCTATGACTATTTTCCAAGGCCACTTTCATGTCCTTTAAGGCTGTTTTTAAGTTTCCCTTGTAGGTTTTGCATGTCTCTTACTAAGCTAATGCCTAGATAATCATTATCATCGCTCTTGTAAATAGAGTCTTTTCTTCCATTGTGTCTTCTAGTTATTAGTTGTTTATATGAAGGCTATTGAATTTGGGGGCCTTGCTTTCATAACCTGCTTCCTTACTGAATTACCTGATTGTTTGCATCAGTTTTTCAGTTGATTCTTTTGAATATTCAGGTATTAATTAGAGCATCTGCACATAATTTCACCTCTGTTTATAATTGTAAACTCACATGTCTTTCTCTCCAGTTGACTAATAAATTCAGTAAAACAATTTCAGTAAAATGTTACATAGTGGTGGTGAGAGTGGGCATACTTGTCTTGTTTCTGACATTAGTGGGAACGAGAGGCATGATTTTTAGCAACCGTTTATTATTTCATTCTGTGGATACCCCAGTTTTTCAGCTATTATAAATGATACTGTTCTGTTAATCTTTTGTTATCGTTGTTGTTCACATCTTTGAACCTTTCCTTAAGCTTGATGAAGGAGGTACTGGATCAAAGAGCAGGCATTTTCAAAAACCCTTAATAGATATTGTCTACACACTTTCCAGAGAGTAGCACCACATACAGAGTATGTGAGATGCCTGTCCATCATACCTCTCCAATGCTGAGATCATGTAAAAGTTGTAGTTATTTGATAAGTAGAAAAAGGTATTTCATATTTTTATTTTTTTTTAACCAGTGAGGTTGAATATAGCCCTCAGACCTGTTCATTGTAAGATTATTCTGAATTAATGCCTTCATTTAACATTTTTGGACTGGAAGGTGGAAGTGTTAAATAAAGAGACCTTTTTTTTTTAAGATACTTATAGGAAGAGTAAATTAATCATGGACTTGTTTTTTGAGGCCATTTTTAGAAAAGAAAAGACTAGGAGAAGTCAAAGTTATAGCAGAATAATGTAGGACTTATTATCGGCTAACTAACTAGAGACCCTGGGGCAAAAGAGTTGCCGAGTATTTGGTCTTTTGTGAAAGAAGTCATTACATTATTGTTAGAATTTACTTGAATTGTTTAAAATTGGCTTTTGAATACCAGTTAAATATTTTATATCTCTTGCTCTCCTCTCATGCAAATACAATACTTCACCCTCATTCAAAGCAGTTTATTTTCTTTTTTGAGACACGGTTTCGCTCTGTCACCCAGGCTGGAGTGCAGTGGCACAATGTCAGCTCACTGCAGCCTGGACCTCCCAGGCTCAAGCAGTCCTCCCAGCTCAGCCTTCCAAGTAGCTGGGACCACAGGTGCGCACCACCACGCACAGCTAATTTTTGTATTTTTAGTAGAGACGGGGTTCCACCATGTTGCCCAGGCTGGTCTCGAACTCCTGGGCTCAAGTGATCCACCCACCTCCGCCTCCCAAAGTGCTAGGATTACAGCCATGAGAGCCACTGCGCCCTGCCTATTTTCTGATACAATTGAAAGCTTTACCATAAAAGTAGAGGTTTAACTGCCTACAAATGAATTATGCATATATTTACAGGAACTTTGGCTTCTTGCCTGTTAGTTGAAGAATAATAAAAATGGACTGTGCGGAAGTTATCGGAGTGCCTGCTGCTCTTCTAGTCAGCTTAGAAAGAGCCGCGCAGGGAATCTCTGCTTTCATTAGTCTTTTCTTCTCTTGCATGTTTTGATTTTTGTGTCTTCTCGTGATTTGCCATGATATCTTAATGAGAGGACACAGTCCCTGGATTGCTGAGGCAGTTCACACTGGCCATCTGTGCTTCTCAGAGCAAGGGGAAGGTGTTCAGAGCGATGACCCAAGGTGGCCCTTGCCCTCAGGGAACCAGCGGGCCCGGAGTCACAGCGGTGTTCTAGCTTCAGCCCCTCTAAGCCACAGAGAGTTACCACCAGGGCCACTCCCTCTTCAGAACACTGGGGAGCCCGTTGCCTGTCAGACAGCCTGAGCCCAGCCAGCCAGCCCAGCCCCTCCAGGGTACCCCCTCTCCATGGCCCGGGGCTACACACATGACCTTGGCCGTTACTCCATGGTCAGTCTCAGCTCTCTCTGGGTGGCACCCATGGGGTTTAGTTTCCAGCTGCCAGCTGTAATCTCGGCTCATTACCGCACACAGAGACCACTTCTTGGACATTCCCGTCCTCTGTCTGGTCCAGCGCCCTGCTGCCTCTGCTCCTCAAGTGTTTCCTGAACTGCCCTGGCTCAAGCCGTCCTTATCTAAAAAAAAAAAATTTAAAAACTGAGGTGAAATACACATGTTAAAACATAATATTTATTATTTTAACCATTCATAAGTGTACAACTCGGTGGTATTAGATACATTCAAAATGCTGTACACCCATCACTACTATCTCTACCCAAAACTTTTCATCATCCCCAACAAAAACTCCATTAAACAGTAAGTGGCTGTCTCCCCATTCTGCTTTCTGTCTCTATGATTTTGCCCACAGTAGGAGCCTCTTAGAAGCGGAATCGTACAGTATCTGTCTTTCTGTGCCTGGCTTATTTCCCTAAACATAATATCTTCCAGGTCCCCCCACATTGTAGCACGTGCCAGACCCTCGCTCCCGTCGAAGGCTGATGCCATCCTTCAGTGATGTGTGGACGGACACATTCCGCGTATCCCCCAATCAGTGGATGGACGCGTGGGTTGCAGAGCACGCCACACACATTCAGTCAGTACACGAGTTAACAGTTGCGTGCTTGTCTGCCTGTGTCATCCATTCGAGCATCTGCCAAGGACCCAGGAAACACACAGTGTGTCTCCTGAAGGAATGAAAAGCCCTCCTGGCCCCTCTGCCCTCTTTCTCCACCCTCTCCATTTTCACCGAGATGGTTGTGGTGTCACCTCTCGTGGGGTGGCCAAAACCCCAGCCAGGGCCACCTATCCCTTCACCTCCCTCCACCTCGGATTTCCTCTTGGAAAATGAGGCTCCTGACTCACTTGACCTACTGCGTAGGCTCCTAAAAGGGTGTCGGCAAGTTGGCAAGTTAAAAAAAAAAACAATCAGCATGAAAGCACTCCGATGTATGCATACTTTTACTTCGCGTTGGTTCCCTACGTTCTTAGAACAAGGAAGGAGTGTGAGTACTTGCTTTGGATTGAAAGGTTTTCCAGACTAGCTGTAGGAAGTATGAAAGTAACCAAGGTCTCACACACAGCCCCAGCACTCTGGGTGGATTTCACTTCATCTACTCCACTCACCTACGCTGAGCTTCCCTGTGGACAAGCTCGTCCATCCTCTTTAATCACTCCCAGGCCTCGCTCACACAGCAACAAGTGCCTGTCCCTGTGTCCTTGCTGTTGGCAAGCAGAAGTTCCCTGGCAGCCTTTGAACATAGCTGAATGTTAGGTATCTTTGATCTGTCTAAGGAAAAAGTCTATTTTAAACTGTGAAGTGAAGCCAATTTTTTTAGGTCAGATTCTTACCCAACAAAGCATACATCATCCGTGCTCATATAGTTTCCAGTTTAAAAAAAAAAAAAAGTGCTGGCCAGCGCAGTGTGAGTGCACTGTGCACATGATGCCACTGTTCTCTAGGTTCAGAACACCAGCCTTCTGTTAATTACAATAAAATGTCTTCACTAAAATAGAAGCATATTTAATTTGCCTACAAAATTGCTTGGAGAGCCTTAAAAAATAAAACCTTCAGCTGAATGATGTAGAAATGAAAATTTGAAAGTTTTAATCAGAAATACTACCTAGAAATAAAATCAGTAGGATGTATTTACAGGTAGTTTGTTTTTAAGTAAAGAATAAAACAGTGACAGAGGGATCAAAGAATAAAGAATAATTCCTTTTCAAGCCAGGCACAGTGGTGTGCACCTGACTTCTCAGCTACCCACTAGGCTGAGGACGGGGAGAATCATGAGTTCAAGCCCAGCCTGGGCAAAATAGGGAGACCTTGTCTCCAAAAAAATATGAAATAATTGTTTCTTCATTATTGTCTAGTACATAGATTATTGTAGTTATAGCATTTGATGGGAGACCATATTGAGCACTGTGGCCTTTTTGGCCCATTGGGCTGTGGAAGGTATGCTAGGTGGGCTGGGCCCAGCAAAGCGCCCTTCCTTGGTCCTTGCTCAAGCCCTTCACAGGCAGCTGCAGTCTCAGGAAAGGTTCAGAATGTCACTGCGAGGCCAGCGTAGAAGGCAGGTAGGCATGTCACAGGAGGTGAGTGGAAGGCATCCACTCCTTAGCAAGTGCATCATGGGGGACCTGGAATGGGGTCTGTGTTCAGGGGAGAGGGAAATGCTGTTCTTGAGATGATTTGACAGCATATCCCTCTTAATTATGTGCTACCTGGAAGAGGTGTAAAGGGTAGCAAGGTGGTTTTGTAAGATCAGAATTGGGTGCAACTGCTTGATTCATTCATTCAGTACATTTGATGGAACACCTGCATGCCAGCCATTCTGTAGGAGCTGGACCAAGGAAGAGCTTGTGGTCCAAGCCACAGACCGGGAGGGAAGAGGAAGCCTGCCTGGATGAGGGTGGTCTAAGCCGAGATTCCTCAGGTGGCTCTGCTGCATCCCCACGCCGCAGCTGAAGGGATCTTTCTGTTGGCAGATGGCCCATGTTTTTCCAGTGGGACAATGCCCACTGCTTCCTGCATTTTGCTCTGATGGCCGGAGCTGTATTTAGTTGTGTCCTGCCTCAGTCCCTCCCAAGCTGTCCACCTCAACTCAGCATGGGGAGCGCACTCCATATCTGACGCTGGCTTCTCTAAACGTGAGGGGATAGGGAGATGACATATATGCCCTTTTACGGGTGAGGAAAGGACCAGCGGGGATTTATTGAAGGCAGCCTCGCTCCCCATGCTGAGCGACAGCTCTGTCTAGCCCCTCCCTGAGCAGGTGATGAAAACCTGGCCCAGTGCGAGTGACATGGTTGCATTATGAGCCTCTTCTGGGTTGCATTTACTTAGAGTTTGTTTCATCAGTGAGGAAAGTACTCTGGAGACCCAGTTGAACTCTGATAGCTTCAGTGAGCCTACAGACTCAATGCAAAGGTGACAGGCTTACAGGAGAAGGTCCAGGCGGTTCAAAATTGATTTGAGACAGGGAGTCAACCTCCTCTAATCTGTGTTGGTTCCATTTTCCATGCCTCATTTCAGCTAATTTTTGTTTGTGTTTTTTATGTACCTGATCTCATTTATCCAGATTTCCTTGGTTCAGACTTTCTTGGTTCTCATCACAGCCCTTTCTTTGTTCCTAGCCTGTGCCTAAGAGACAGTATTCATTAAGGGATTCTCCCTGCAGTGACTTAATCTATATCTCTTTTTAAAAATTATTTTTATGCCAGGTGCAGTGGCTCACGCCTATAATCCCAGTAATTTGGGAGACCAAGACGGGTGGATCCCTTGAGCCTAGGAGTTTGAGACCAGCCTGGACAACCTTGTCCCTACAAAAAATTTAAAAATTAGCCAGGCATGCTGGTGCACACCTGTAGTCCCAGATACTTGGGAGGCTGAGGTGGGGGGATCACTTGAGCTCAGGATGCTGAGGTTTCAGTGAGCTGTGATCGTGCCACTAGGTTCCAGGGTGGTAGAGTGAGACCCTGTCTCAAAAAATGTACGTATTTTTTTAAATCGTTACTTTAGGCCAGGCACGGTGGGTCATGCCTGTAATCCTAGAACTTCGGGAGGCCGAGGCAGGCGGATCACCTGAGCTCAGGAGTTTGAGACCAGCCTGGGCAACAAGGCGAAACCCCGTGTCTACTAAAAGTTCAAAAAATTAGCCAGGCGTGATGGTGCATGCCTGTAATCTCAGCTACTCAGGAGGCTGAAGCACAAGAATTGCTTGAACCCAGGAGGCAGAGGTTGCAGTGAGCCAAGATGGTGCCATTGCACTCCAGCCTGGGCAACAGAGCAAGACTCTAACTCAAAATAAAATAAAAATTAAAAATATATATAAAATAAAATTGTCACTTTTAATTACTCTGAAAGTAATGTATGCTTGTTTTAGCAATACCAAAAAAAAAAAAAAGGGAAATTTTAGAAATAAAAAACATCCATATGATCCTACAGCCTTACTGCTGGGTATATATCCAAAAGAAAGAAAATCAGTATATCACAGGGGCACCTGCACTGCCATGTTTGTTGCAGCATCGCTCACAATAGCCAAGAAATGAAATCAACCTAAGTGTCAATCAGTGGATGAATGACTAAACAAAATGTAGGACATATAGACAATGGAATATTATTCAGCCATAAGAAAGAATAGAAACCTGTCATTTGCAGCAACATGGATGGAACCAGAGGTGATTGTGTTACGTGAAATAAGCCAGGCACAGAGAGACAAATACCATGTGATCTTACTCATGTGGGAGGTAAAAAAATAATGGATCTCATGGAGGTAGAGAGGAGAATGGTGGTTACCAGAGGCTGGGAAGGGAAGATAGGGAGAGAGGGTGGTTAAGGGCTGCAAAAATACAGTCAGAAGGAATAAGTTCTAGAATTCAAGAGTACAGTAGGGGAATTGTAGTTAACAATAATTTATTATATATTTCAAAGTAGCTGGAAGAGAAGAATTGTAATGTTTCCAACACAAAGAAAAGATACATGCTGGAGGTGATAGGTATCCCAGTTACTCTGACCTGGTCATTACACATTGTTAACAGGCATCAAAATATCACATGTCCCCTCCAAATATGCACAACTATTATATATCAATTTTAAAAAAGAAAAACTCATACCCATACCACCCAATGATGACACTGTGGATATTTGGGGAGTGATTCTTCCTATGATCATTTTATTTCTGATTACACACTGCCTCTTTCACTTATATTTTCATTTTATACATTTATAAGTATTTCTGATGGATATGTAATATTTCACTAGGTATGTGGGATAATCCCTTTGGCATTAAAGTAGTTTCCAGTATTTTAGAACCATAAATAAAACATGATGCCCTCAAAAAGAGTAAGATAGTTAGAAATGAAGTTATCAAGGAGAGAAAAGACTTGCACACTGCAAACTATGAAATGTTGCTGAAAGAAATGGAAGAATACACCAATCAATGGAAAAACATCTCTCGTTTATGGTTTGGAAGACTTAATGTTGTTAAGATGTCAGTACTGCCCAAAGCAATCTACAAATTCAGTGCAATCCCTATTAAAACTTTTACAGCATTCTTTTCCAGAAATAGAAAAGTTTCATCCTAAGATTCATAGGGAATATCAAAGAGATAAGCATAGCCAAAACAATCTTGAAAAAGAACACCAAAGTTGGAGGACTCACACATCCTGACTTTAAAACTTACAGCAAAGCTACAGTAATCAAGACTGTGTAGTACTGGCATAAAGATGAGCCCAGAAACAAACCCTCACATAGGTGGTCAAACGAGTTTTGACAAGGTTTCCTAGACCATTCAATGGGGAAAACACAGTCTTTTCAACAAATGGTGTTGGGAAAACTGGGTACTCACATGCAAAAGAATGAAGCGGGACCTGGCCGGGCGCGGTGGCTCACGCCTGGAATCCCAGCACTTTGGGAGGCTGAGACGGGCGGATCACAAGGTCAGGAGATCGAGACCATCCTGACCAACATGGTGAAACCCCGTCTGTATTAAAAATACAAAATTAGCTGGGTGTGTTGGCACACACCTGTAGTACCAGCCACTCGGGAGGCTGAGGCAGGAGAATCGCTTGAACCCAGGAGGCGGAGATTGCAGTGAGCCAAGATCGCGCCACTGCACACCAGCCTTGTGACAGAGCGAGACTCTGTCTCAAAAATAAAAATAAAAATAAAGAATGAAGTGGGACCCTTACCTTCATAACACATACAAAGATTAGCTCAAAATGGATCAAACACCTAAACCTAAGAGTAAAACTATAATGTTTGAGGAGAAAACATAGGAGAAAGATTTCATGACATTGGATTTGACAGTGATTTCTTGGCTATGATACCAAAAGCTCAGGCGACAAAAATAAAAATAGATAGATTGGACTACATAAAAATTTAAAACATCTCTGCATTAAAGGGCCCAGTCAACAAGAAAAGGCAGGCCACAGAATGGGAGGAGATATTTGAAAAATCATATAACTGATAAGGAGTTAATATCCAGAATATCTAAAGAACTCCTACAACTGAGCAAAACAGCTTGATTTTTTAAATGTGTGAAATACTTAAATAGACGTTTCTCCAAAGAATATAATATCTGCAAATGACCAATAAATGCATGAAAAGATCCTCAACATCTCTGTCATTAGGAAAATGAAAATCAAAATTACAGTGAGATACTTCACACCCACTAGGATGGCTACTATTTAAAAAAAAAAAAAAAAAAAAAAAGGAGCAAAGGCAGGCAGATCACTTGAGCTCAAGAGTTTGAGACCAGCCCGGACAACGTGGTGAAACTCCATCTCTACTAAAAATACAAAAACTAGCTGGTTGCATGTGCCTGTGGTCCCAGCTACTCGGGAGGCTGAGGTGAGAGGATTGCTTGAGCCCAGAGGGTCAAGGCTGCAGTGAGCCAAGATCATGCCACTACACTCCAGCCTGGGTGACAGAGCAAGACCCTCCCTGTCTCTAACAATAAAAATAGTGCTCGCTTCAGCAGCACATAAACTAAAATTGGAATGATACAGAGATTAGCACAGCCCCTGCGCAAGGATGACATGCAAATTCGTGAAGCAGTTGCATATTTTTAATAAATGGCGTTGGGAAAACTGGATATTCATATGCAGAATGGAACTAGACCTCTCTTTCTCACTATATACAAAAATCAAATCAAAGTGGATTAAAGAAATCTAAGACCTTGGCCGGGCGCAGTGGCTCACATCTGTAATCCCAGCACTTTGGGAGGCCAAGGCAGGTGGATCACGAGGTCAGGCGATTGAGACCATCCTGGCTAACACGGTGAAACCCTGTCCCTACTAAAAATACAAAAAATCAGCCGGGCGTGGTGGCGGGCACCTGTAGTCCCAGCAACTTGGGAGGCTGAGGCAGCAGAATCACTTGAACCCGGGAGGTGGAGGTTGCAGCGAGCAGACATCGCACCACTGCACTTGCACTCCAGCCTGGACAGCAGAGCAAGACTCCATCTCAAAAAAAAAAAAAAATCTAAGACCTCAGACTGTGACACTACTACAAGAAAACAATGGGGAAAATCTGCAGGACATTGGTCTTGGCAAAAATTCCTTGAGCAATACCCCACAAGCACAGGCAACTAAAGCAAACAGGGACAAATGGGATCACATCAGGCTAAAAAGCTTCTGCACAGCAAAGGATACAATCAATAAAGTGAAGAGACGACCCACAGAATGGGAGAAAATACTTGCAAACTACTCATCTGACAAGGGATTAATAACCAGAATATATAAGGAGCTCAAACAACTCTATAGGAAAAAAAACTAATAATCCGATCACAAGATGGGCAAAAGATTTGAGTAGACATTTCTCAGAAGACAGACAAATGGCAAACAGGCCTATGAAAAGGTGCTCAACATCATTGATCATTAGAGAAATGCAAATCAAAACTACAATGAGATACCATCTCATACCAGTTAAAATGGCTTATCCAAAAGACAAGCAATAACTAATGCTGGAGAGGATGTGGGGAAAAGGGAACCCTCGTACACTGTTGTTAGGAATGTAAATTAGTACAACCACTATAAAGAACAGTTTGGATGTTGCTTAAAAAACTAAAAATTGAGCTACCATATATTCAGCAGTCCCACTGCTGGGTACATACCACAAAGAAAGAAAATGAGTATATCAAAGAGATATCTGCACTCCTATGTTTGTTGCAGCATTGTTGACAATAGCTAAGGTTTGGAAGCAACCTAAGTGTCCATCAACAGATGAATGAATAAAAAATATATATATATACACAATAGAGTACTATTCAGCCATGAAAAAGAAAGATCCAGTCATCTGCAGCAACATGGATGGAACTGGAGATCTTTATGTTAAGTGAAATAAGCCAAGCACAGAAAGACAAACATCACATGTTCTCACATATTCATGGGATCTAAAAATCAAAACAATTGAACTCATGGACATAGAGAGTAGAAGAATGGTTACCAGAGACTGGGAAGGGTAGTAGTGGGGGTTGGCGGGGGGGATGGTCAATGGGTACAAAAAAAGTTAGAATAAATAAGACCCACTTGATAGCACAACAGGGTGACTATAGTCAACAATAACTTAATTGTACATTTTAAAATAACACTAAGAATGTAATTGGATTGTTTGTAACTCAAAGGATAAACGCTTGAGGGGATGAATACCCCATTCCCATTCTCCATGATGAGCTTATTTCACATTGGATGCCTGTATCAAGACATCTCTTGTGTCTCTTAAATATATATACCTACTATGTACCCATAAAAATTAAAAATAAGTTTTAAAAAATAAGTGTTAATGTCCTCGTGGAGAAATTGGAACTATTGTTGTGCACTGTTTTTTGTTTTTTAGGGTCTGTTTGTTTGAGATGGAGTCTCGCCCTGTCACCCAGGCTGGAGTGCAGTGATGTGATCTTGGCTCACTGCAGCCTGCCTCGGCCTCCTGAGTAGCTGGGCCTACAGGCACGCACCACCAGGCCCAGCTAATTTTTGTATTTTCAGTAAAGATGGGGTTTCGCCATGTTGGCCAGGCTGGTCTCAAACTCTTGACCTCAAGTGATCTGCCTGCCTCAGCCTCCCAAAGAAAGCGCTGGGATTACAGGTGTGAGCCACCACACCCGGCCCTGTGCACTGTCAGTGGGAATGTGAAATGGTGCAGCCACTGTGGAAAACAGTATGGCAGTTCTTCCAAATATTACACATATACCTTGAAACTGTGTATCGCTATTATGCATCAATTAAAAATAATAGAATGGGAAAAAAATAAAAATAGAACTGCCATATGATCCAGCAATTTCACTTGTTGGATATACACCCAAAAGAATTGAAAACAGAGGCATGAGCAGATACTTGTAGCCCCATGTTCATGGCAACATTATTCACAAGTGACAAAAGGTGGAAGCAACCCAAATGTCCGTAAACAGGGAAGAGTGAATAAACAACTTCAGTGTATGCCAATGGAATATCATTCAGCCCTTTGAAGGTAGGAAATTTTGGCACTTGCTACAACATGGATGAATCTTGCGGACATTATGCTGAGTGAAATAAGCCAGTCCCAAAAGGACAAACGCTGTAAGATCTCCTTATGTGAAGTACCCAGAGTAGACAAGTTCATAGAGACTGAAAGTAGAGTGATGGTTGCCAGCACTGGAAGGAGGGAGAATGGAAAGTTACTGTTTAATGGGGACAGAGTGTCAGTTTTGCAAGGTGAAGAGTTCGGTGGATGGATGGTGGTGAGGGTTGCAAGACACTGTGAATGTGCTTAATGCCACAGAACTGTATGCTGAAAACAGTTAAGATGGTACATTTTGTGTTGATGTATATTTTAGCACAATTTTTATTTTTATTTTTTTGTTTTTATTTTACCTTAAGTTCTGGGATACATGTGTAGAACGTGCAGGTTTGTTGCATAGGTATACATGTGTCATGGTGGTTTGCTGCACCTATCAACCCGTCATCTAGGTTTTAAGCCCTGCATGCATTAGATATTTGTCCAAATGCTCTCCCACCCCCTGTCCCCCACCCCCCGACAGGTCCTGGTGTGTGATGTTCCCCTCCCTGTGTCCATGTGTTCTCATTATTCACCTCCCACTTCTCAGTGAAATCATTTAGTGTTTGGTTTTCTGTTCCTGTGTTACTTTGCTGAGAATGATGGCTTCCAGTTTCATCCATGTCCCTACAAAAGACATGAACTCATTCTTTTTTATGGCTGCATAGTATTCCATGGTACATATGTGCCACATTTTCTTTATCCATTCTGTCATTGATGGGCATTTGGGTTGGTTCCAAGTCTTTGCTATTGTAAATAGTGGCACAATTTTTAGACAATTGTTTTTTAATCAATTATAATATTATTAACTCCTTGTATTTATAGCATTTATATTTCCTTTTGCTTGCTTTTGGAGAGAACATACAGAAATTTGTGATTTTAAGATCGGGCATGGTGGCTCATGCCTGCAATCTCAGCACTTTGGGAGGCTGAGGCTGGAGGATCACTTGAGCCCAGGAGTTAAAAGACTATTCTGGGCAACATAGTAGAGACCTCATCTCTACTGAAAATGAAAAAAATGAGCAGTTGTGGTGATTCAAGCCTGCGGTCCCAGCTCTGCAGGAGGCTGAGGCAGGAGGATCACTTGGGCCCAGGAGGCCGAGGCTGCAGTGAGCAGAGATCATACCACTTCCCTCCAGCCTGGGTGACAGAGCAGGACCCTGCCTCCAAAAAAACAAACCACAGAAATTTGTCATTTTTAATATGAGCGCTATTCCTGAGGGGTTTGTTCAGAGGTATTTACATGTTATTTTTTTGCTTGAGAATTGATTATTCACTTTCCCTTTCTTCTAAAAGTTATAGGGATTTGGGGGGGTGGTTTTGATTGATTTTTATTTAACTGTTTAAGCCACGTCAAATTTTATTCTGGTATGATGTTAAGACTTAAATTGACTTTTTTCTGCATATAGTTAATCAGTTGTCTGCCCCAAGATTGCCAAGCAATTATCTAATTCTTCCCCTTCCACTGATTTGAGATATACTCTTTATTATATTACATTTATGTCAACATATTTCTCAGTTTGGGGCTGTGGCTTCTGTTCCATTAATCTGCCTTTTTTGCCCCATCACACTGTCATTAATTCATACAGCTTTATAGTTGGTAGGACTTGCCTTTCTCATTAGTAGTGTTCTCATTCTTCTTGTTCTTTTATTTTTTGCAGGTGAACTTTAGAATACTTTTGCTAAGTACCTGGAAAAATAGAGGCCCACCTGAATTTTAATTGGAAATACTTTAAACCTGTAGATCAGTTTGGGGGGAAATTATCAGCATAGCTGCAGTATTTATATTTTTATATTTCCAATTCAGAAGTACACCTTACCTTTATTCAAGTCTTCTTTTCTTCCCTCATATTATTTGTTTATTTATTTCTATCTTAGAGTCTGTTTTATCAATGATGGCCAGATCAGCCTTGGGTTCTTTAAAGAACTACTTACATGCATAGGGTTTCAAAAGAGTGTGGGGTAAATCACTAATAAAGGCAAGATCCTTTGATCTGAGATCATTAGGAAAAATACATCAAAAAGTGTCTTCACTGTTTCTTTGACTCCTATTCCGTATATTATATATAAAGCTCTTAGGAGCCTTTCCCCCTTATTTCTGTATTCCCACTCATCAGCACAGTTGTAGGATAGGCACATTTTTTCATCTTATCTCGTATGAAATATTAAATCATTGGAGGGCAGGTCTCTGTCTCCTTAAAGCCCAGATCTTCAATAAGCATCTGCTCCTGGGCTCCTTCCTGAGCCCCTGAACGCCTCGTTCCTAATTGTGTCTGAGTTCATCTGGCATCACTCAGAGGAGGAGGAGGAGGAGGAGGCTGGGGTGTGGGGCAGTGAGAGTCATCAACACTGCTTCCTAGTGGTCGTTGGTGATCGGTGGCCATCCCCTCCAGACAGACAACCCACAGGTCAGCAGTGAAGGCTTAGAGGCAGGAGGGCAGCTAAGATCTAAATTCCTCTTACCCAACTGAAAGCACGTGCTCTTTAAAAAAAAAATTA
This sequence comes from Homo sapiens, assembly GCF_000001405.40. Lineage (NCBI taxonomy): Eukaryota > Metazoa > Chordata > Mammalia > Primates > Hominidae > Homo > Homo sapiens. Next base: position 101,808,294 of record NC_000014.9, read on the forward strand.
ATTCTGCTGTTCAGATAGCAGCAAAGTCAGAGCAGGTGTGAGGCCGGCAGCCTGCTCAGGTGGTGCGTGCCCACTGCCCACTTGTGTTAGAAATCACATCATCTCCTGGCCGGCCATGGAATCCAGCACTGTCTGTCAGCTCTGGGGAAAGAGGGGGAAGGGTGGGATTTGGTTTGCTTTTATCTATTTATTTTAGTTGCTATTGATACACACAATAAAAGCTACATTCTTGTGAGGGAGGACTTGATTAGCAGCCCTGAAGGGCGGTAGCAGTTCCCTTACTCATTGAATGTATCTGGCGCTAAACCCTCAGCTGGAACTGCGAGCCCTAGCTGTATTTCAGGTGTTTCTTACTCTACTGTGAATTATGTTTAGGAACTAAAGGGCTTTTGTATCCTTCACAAGTGGGGGGAAGAGAGCAGGGGAATTGTGTGAGAAACTATTAAAAATGAGGAGCCATGGTTTGGACAAACTTCCTTGTTGGTGTGAAGAAAGGAGGAATTTTTTTCAGTTCCACCTGCCGAAGAGGCTTTTCTTATAGTTCGTTTTCATTTGGAACTACTAATAACACTCATTTTTGTAGGGAATCATCTCACCGCACCCCCTCATGGGATCCTGCAATACTCCATCCAATTCAGAAATAATGTTTTTCTCCTTGGAATAGCTTTTTACATTAACTGTATTTGAAGATAGAAAATTTAGATCTGAATAGCAGCTTTTAATAGCCCCATAAAAATAAGTGAAAATATCTTTAATTTTAAATTTAAACAAAATATCTAAAACTTAAAAGGTATTTAATATGTCAGCATATTTGCAATACAAAAATAAACATGCTCCATTTCATTTTTTTGCTTTCTTACTCCCACGGCCAGGTGATATAAATATTTCAATTTGTGTCACTTTCTAGCTATCGAATTTATAAAGCGGCTTTCATTTTCTACGTAAGTTTTTAAGCTTAATTTTTTCAGGGAAAAAATAGATCTCAAGAAAAAAAGTGTTTGGGATCATAAGTTAATAACTCATCCTATTGGTAAGGGAAGTTGAATAAGAGTCCAAACTAATGGATTAGAATTGTGTAATATTTGCTTAACCATTTGTTAAAAAAAAAAAACAAAAAAAAAACACTGGGTTGCCAGAATCCTACCTAAGATGCAGATATTAATTAGAACTAGCAAGTCGAAGTTGCACAGGTGGGTATAAAATGAATTTGGGATCCCTCACTGGGAAATGCTAAAGTTCACACAGACATATACACACACTTTTTTTTTTTTTTTTTTTTTTTTTTGGTGGCTCCCTCGAAATCATTTGTTTACAGTCTGGCCAAGGTTGTGGCCTCCAGTATTCCCCCTAAGAGATGGGATCTTTGCCTAAAAGTTACTGAGAAACGAAGGCTGCAAAAAGCCGGAAAATATCCCAGCTTTTAAGGCACACTGACAGCCAAACAGAACGCTCTTTCCGTTTGCAGTTTTTTTAGTGTCATTTTAAGTTGCAGCTTCCGGCCAATCAGCGAGCTTCATGCCTGCTGACATCACGAACCAGCCAGTTCCCTCCAGCTGCAGAGAGCTTCAGTTTGTCTTTTTTTTTTTAAACTAAAATGGAGGCTGGTTTCTTGCCTTAAGGAGCCCATTGCCTTTCCCGCTGAAGTCTAGATGTTGACATGTAATAAAGCGGGCAGCAGGATGGTGGTGGATGCGGCCAACTCCAATGGGCCTTTCCAGCCCGTGGTCCTTCTCCATATTCGAGGTAAGTTATTGTGTGTTTCACTGAATCGGAACCTTCCGTGGGTAGTTAATAAATGGCTATTGTGCTTCAGATAAGAAAAGCAGGAAGTCCTTTCTAGCAGAATTCACCCCATTTCGCTGCAGACTTAACCAGAGGAGGTTGGGTGTGTCACTGCAGTTTGGCATTTTACGAACTACTTACAGAATTTGAGGCTTGAAAGAGGCCTTGCATGCATAGTTCAAAGCTGGTTTTTCTGCTTTCTGCTCGCTCTCCCATCCCCCTTTCAAAGCTGTGCTGATGTCAAAGGATGTGAAGTCACTGCCCAGGGAAGGTATTGGGTGGGGGTAGGAAGGAGAGGCGGGCCTGTCGCGCCTGGCCAAGTTGTTCGTACGCAGAGTTTCTGTTACATATGTGTGGCTTAATGCTGCAAAGGTTTTGTCGAGGACACATCTCAGAATTAAAGATGAATTGCAGTCAGAAAATATGCACAATTGATTGGAAAAGAACTTCCTTTAAAAGGATTGTTTTCATTCTTGCCGTGGAGCCTGAGAGAGAAATATGCTCCACTTTGAAATATTGAAATCTATCGTGGGTCATCATTTTTGAAATGTTAGCGTTTTCGTGGAATATTAGGAAATATTTTGCATTTAAATAGGCTCTGTGTTGCCAGTTGGCTTTTAAAATTTTAAATGGCAACAAGTTTTCAAGGTATATAGAGATCACTGTTTTAATAATTAGTTTGCTTCTTTTTATGCATATTTTGGTTTCAAAACTTAGCCTAAAAGCACAACTACTCTAGTAATTAATAGCGGTTATATTGAACTACAGGCATCAGGGTAGTAGCCTACTTATTCTTGGTATTTTAAGATATATGAATTTTTTTTTGGTCATAATTGGGTGAAATAGAAAAATGATTTTAAGCTTCATCAGATCACTTTAGAATTTATAGTATCAGAGCTGTGCCCCAACAAAACTGTTTCTCAGAATCTCTTTTAAGGAAGGGTGGGAGCAAGATTTCTAGGTGACTAATAATCTCTATGACTAAAACGCCAGGCCAGACTTTTCAGATCCTAGGGTGTACCCAGGCACATGCAGACTCAATCTACTGGAATAAAATGGGTGGTGCTTTTCTCTCCAAACTATCTTTCATGAAGGTGGAAATCAGCATTCAATGACCAAATTGTAGGACAGGCTGTGAATTTATTGTTTTTGTAGTGCACCCAGTAAAAAGCAAAGGTTGCCTACAGGTAACATTCAGGTATTTTAGCTGCAAGAACCAAATGGGCAAGAACAAAATGTAATTGTTTGGATTTAAGTTAGATAGCTTTTGTTTGTTTTTTGGGAGACAGGGTCTCACTCTTGTCACCCAGGCTGGAGTACAGTGGTATGATCACAGCTCACTGCAGCCTCCACCTCCCGAGCTCAGGTGATTCTCCCACCTCAGTTTCTTGAGTAGCTGAGACTTCAGGCACGCACCACCATGCCCAGCTAATTTTTTAATATTTTTTGTAGAGATGGGGTTTTGCCATGTTGCCCTGGTTGGTCTTGAACTCCTGGGCTCAAGCGATCCTCCCACCTCCGCCTCCCAAAGTGCTAAGATTACAGGTAAGAGCCACTGTACCTGGCCAAGTTAGTTCTTAAAAACGAACTAGTTAGCAGTAAGATAAATTAACTGCATATAAAATGTAAATTTTTATACTTTTAAGGTATCCACTTATAAATAACATAAATCTTTTTGGTTTGTGTTTTCTGGTTTTTATTAGATGCCTAATATACTACTCAGTTTTTGAATTATGAACTTATTCTGAAATAGAATCATTTCACGTTGTGTCTTGAACCACATTGATTTTTTTTTTAAAATTCCAAGACCTTATTATGGCCAGTTTGTATTTGTTGCTGTTGGTTGGGTGGTTGGTTGCTTGCTGTATAATTGTGGAGGGAAAAAGCAGTGAAGTGTATTAGCCTGAAAGAGACTTGAGTTTTTAAGAAGGGATAACTTTGGAGACCTAAGACTAACTTCTGACTCAAACAGTGGGGGTAATTTCTAACTTCAAAATTTGAAGAACGCTTGATTTACTCATAAAGACTTTTCTGGAGCGAGCATGTTAATGTGAGATTTAGCAAAATTTGATTTATTTATTGGGCCTTAGAGTCTTAGCTTAACATCCATTGAGCAGCTCCGGTGTGCCAAGTGCTGAGCGTCATTACAGTGATTAAGTTGCAGCCCCTGTCCCAAAGGAGCGAATGGAGAGACCCAGCATAGGAGCTCTGCCACGAGAGGGCTAAAGCAAGAACACACCGGCAGGGTGCCCGGGAGAGCAGGGGCTGGTGTCAGGAGCAGAAGGAACCAAGGAGGGCTGCACCCTGGGCTACCCTGCTCACTCGGATGGGGTGGGCATGCGCTGTCCTTCCCGTTTATTTAGGAAGGAGGGGTCTTTCCCACTGAAGGAGAAATAACTTACCCAAGGTCACACAGCCTGGAAGTGGTGGAGCCAGAATCCAAACCCAGACTGTTGTGTTGTTTTGTTTTGGATCTTTTTAAAAAAATCATTTTAAAATAGGAATGTTGGCTGCTTGAAGAACATTTTGCTACAGGATTACAGTAGTGGTATTTTCCCCAATGCCTTACCATTTATTTGGCTCGGTAGCCTCTTTTTGTATAACAGTTTTGTACCTTGGGCTCATTTATTAATCATTTTACAAATATTTATTGATCCATACCACATGCCAGGCAGGGTTCTAATGTGGATATGAGCAGGGGCTATGGCCCAGCTTTCCCAGTTTACCATCCATCAGGGTGGGGACCAAGTAAGTAAGTAAGGAAAATGATCACCTGATTTGTTGTCACGATCGCTTTGACCATTATTGTCTACCAAGTAGTCTGGACTTTGCGATTAAAATGGTGAATTTGCACATCCTAATAAGTTTGAGTGTGAAAGGGACATATTTTTGAGAGTTAGTGTAAGCCCTTCTGTCTGTAGAAGGAGAGTCACCTGGAACTTGATGGCTGTGAATGTAGCTTGGTGACATAAATCCTCACTCTCAGCTGTGTCCAGGAGAACTGTCTGCTGTGGTGGAAATGTTCTGTGCTGTCCTCTGCAGCAGCCCCTGGTCACCTGCGACTGCTGAGCACTTAACATATACAGCTGAGAAAGTGAATTTTTAACTGTAGTTATTGTAAATTTAAGTGGACACACCTGTCTTGTGGCTAGGATATTGGACAGCACAGTCGTAGACTGGAATTGTTCGACTTTTTTGGAAAAGGACCAGATTGTAAGTAGCTTTGGCTTTGTGGGTGAAAGCAGCCATAGACAGTAAATGAATAGGCATAACTGTGGTCCAATAAAGCTTTATTGACAAACAGGTGACAGGCTGGATTTGGCCCATGGACCATAGTTCACCAACTCTGTTCTAGACTGTTCTTTGACTTTCGGAATTGCCTGTTAAGGATAGGAAAGCATGTTTCCTGCAGGCCTTCAGTCTAGTGCCTCCTCCCTGTGCTGGGAAGCTGGGCCAGCCGTGATGCTGTGAGGCGTGGTGGGTGGGCCCACTTCCCACCCTGCAGCGCATGCTCACTTCAGGAGCCAGGTTTAAGGCAGTGACAGCCAAGCCGGAAAGATGGTAATGGCCAGAGAGGAAGCACACAGTTTGAGCCTTTTCCAGCTGGCCCTTATTCTGGGCTTCAAGAATGTTATTAACTGCTCTCATCTTGTTCTAGTCATTAGCAAACTTATCCAGTGGATGAGTCTGTCCTTGAAAGACTCAGGAGTAGCTCCAGCCTGGTGGGATGTTGGAGAACAAACCATTCTTTTGATGTAAACCCATTTTTTCTTGGGAAGTGGAAGTCTAATGGAAAAGTTTATTTTCTCACAAGTACTTCCTGAGTCACCAATTTGTTGAAGGTCTTCACCTTTCCAATAAAAACTCATTAAAAAACATGCAAGAAGCAAGCACAGAACTCAAACCCATGGCTTTCATTTCCTGCTGCGCTAAATCTGGTGACTTAACCTATATTAATAATAACAATAGCTATACATAATGCACATGGGTTGCTAAATTAGTAACACACCTGCATGGTGTGAAGTCAGTAAGTACTAGTGAGAATGGGTGCCCCCTGTTATCTTTATTCCCTAAAATTAGGAAGGAAAAATGTTTGAATGATGACTAAACAGTTCTTCAAATAATTAAACCAGTGATCCTCTGAACAGTGCCTCAGCTCAAGATTTTTACTTCACAAACATCTCTTTACTATGTAACTGCAGCTCTCTGCAAAGTGACTTTATAGAACTACAGCCTTAACCTTACCCATATCCTATCCTGTATCCAATCCTGTATCCTAGGTGTGAAGTTGTTTCTTTCGTATTCCTGGTGGTGTGGAAGGTAACCAAAGTAACAGATAACTCTCTGAGGAAACAGGGGTGGGTATGTTTGTGTAAAGTCTGTACACCTTTTTGTTCCTTAAACACACACACATTTATGCTCATAAACACACTCTCATCCACCTCCCTCATCCATACGCTCTCAATCTCAGAGGCAAAAACAAAAGCTTACCATCCAGCTTGGGTCTAATGTCTGCTCAGGAGGTTTTGCCTTGCAGCAAAAGCTATCTTCTAAAATTTTCTCATTAAAGTATGTTGTGTAGAGGAATGAAAGAAAAATAGAGGTAAGGTTATTAGTCAAGAATAGGGTGTGTGTTTTTAAACCCAGGAAAAGAATAGACAGAAACACAAAGACAAAGTGGTTTGGGATACATCCTAACTTTTGGTTCCATATGTCAAATAAAATTGCGAGGTGGTTCTTTTTGGATCCTACAGCACTTTGCCAATTGTGACAAGCTGTTGTGAACACTCATGTACTTCTTCCTCACAGCACTCCTGCCTGGCAGGTGAGCAGGACAATCCTAGTATTTCTCCTCCCCAAGGTCACCCAGCCTAGAGGGTCCAGTCCAGGGCTGTTGGCAGCACCAAGTACGAGGTCCCGAAGCTGCTGCTGGTGGCTGTCCCAGAGGAGAAGCAGCATACGTTGAGTGCCTTCAGTGTGCTAGGTCACAGCTGAAACCCTGTACCTCTGTTCTCTCTCTGAATCTGCCCAACACTGTGAGGCATTATAACCCTCCCCCACTCACTACCGCCCCTGCCTTTTTTGTCCCCCCGGGAGAAAAAAGGGAGCCTCTTGCCCAGGGCCACAGAGAATGTAGTGAAACAAGATTTGAGCCTCAGTCAGTCTGATAGCAAAGCTCATGTTCTTTGCTCTGCAGACATCAGAGTGTTGAGAGATGCTGGTGAAAGCTCCCACCTCATAGGTACTTTTTGATTTTTACTGTTTTCTGTACAGTGGTAATGGATTTGAGTGTCTGGAGTTCAAAACTCATTTCAGGGTTGAATAGGAGTTTGTTAAAGGTTTACATGCGTATGTTCTTGGTGTGCAGGGAGAAAGTTGATAATCTTACCTGCTGTCCCAGTTCACTTACCAAATCTGCCAGCTAGTAACTGTTGACTTACCTCCTCCACAAAATCAGGAGTATCCCGAGGACAGTCCTGTTGAACTTGTTCTCTGGTGACACTGAGCATTATTCCTAGAGTAGAGGCATCAGTTAGTGTCAGTGGATTAAAAATTAAAAGTTATCTCTGAGTGATCACTCAGGAAATAGCTATCTACTATATTTCTTTTTTGAGTTGGAGTCTCGCTTTGTCACCCAGGCTGGGGTGCAGTGGCGTGATCTCGGCTCACTGCAACCTCTGCCTCCCAGGTTCAAGCGATTCTCCTGCGTCAGCCTCCCGAGTAGCTGGGATTACAGGTGCATGCCACCACGCCCGGCTATTTTTTGTATTTTTAGTATAGACAGGGTTTCACCGTGATGGCCAGGCTGCTCTCGAACTCCTGACCTCAAGTGATCCGCCCGCCTTGGCCTCCCAAAGTACTGGGATTGTAGGCATGAGCCACCACACCCGGCCTATCTGATGTATTTCTTAGCTAAATACCTCATCAGTGGAATGAGAAGCTCATGAGAAGCTGTACTTTATTTTTCTTTCAATCCTCTATACGCTGTAGTTAACGTATTTCAATGAAAAACATATAGGAGATGGCTTTTGCTGCAAGGCAAAAACCTGCTGAGCAGACGTTATACCCAAGTGCAAGAGTAAGACTACCAAAAAGGTGACAGACTTTACACAAGGCGGCTGGTTGAAAGAGCGACACAGGTGCCCACTCCACTCTAGGCCTTGCTCAGGCGCTGTTTCCGCTCCCTGTCACACTGGAAATAGGACCGCCAAGTGGTCTAAACGTGGGATAAATCATTTCTCTCACTCACATCTTGGAAAGACGCTGGCTAAAATGCATGGGGGAAACCAGTACTCCCACAGCAGGTAGAAGTCTGGCTTTATTTGAGGCCCTTGAATTACACATAAATCAAAAACTCTTCTAGTTTAAAAAAGAAAAAAGACTAAAGAGATATAACAGGTACCGTGAGTGAATCTAGATCAGATCCTTGTTCTAAAAAGTGTGAAATCAAACCTATTAGAGACATTTTGAAGGCAGCTGGAGAAAGTGGAGTGCAGAATGATGTTGGATGTGTGGAATTACTGCGAACTTTCTAGGTGTAAAAAGGTGTCCAACTTTTGTAAGGGACTTTTCTTATTCTTAGGGAATGCAGAATGAAGTATTAATAAGTGAAGGATCGTGATCTCTGCAACTTTAAATGGTAAAGAGAAAAGTGGGTAAAAAGCAAATATGTCAAAGCATGAACAGTTGTTGAATCTAGCTGAGGGGATATACAATATACAATTATTCATTGAAATTCTATGGAGATTTTAACTTTTTCATAATGTTTGAGAGAAATAAATATATATATTTATTTATATATATATTATATATATATTATATAAATATATATATAATATATATATTTATATAATATATATAATATAAAAATATTATATATGTATATATATTTTTTTTTTTTGAGATGGAGTCTTGCTCTGTTGCCAGGCTGGAGTGCAGTGGAGCAATCTCAGCTCACTGCAGCCTCCGCCTCCTGGGTTCAAGCAATTCCACTGCCTCAGCCTCTCAAGTAGCTGGGACTACAGGCACCCACCGCCACAACCAGCTAATATTTTGTATTTTAATAGAGATAGGGTTTCACCATGTTGACCAGGATTGTCTCGATCTCCTGACCTCGTGTTCCACCCGCCTCGGCCTCCCAAAGTGCTGGGATTACAGGCGTGAGCCACTGCCCCAGGATGAGAAATATATTTTTAAAAAATAAGGCTGTTTCGCTCTCTTATCATTTCAATATTCTCTGGTGAAGGAAATATCTTTAAAAAGGGTCTGCTTTGGAAAAAATGTACAAAGAAAATGTAATAACTTAGCTACTGTTTCCTAAGCCATGAGCAGTGGCCTTTCATATTTGAGTCTTTGCCAGCCAGTGTTGGTCCTCTGGTTGTAACTCACAGTAGCTGCACAGACGGCCACACCATCTGACAAAACAGCGTTTTTGGGGTGCATAACCGTTTTTGATGTTTATTGGCATTTTTATTGGTCTTTTGGAGTGTAACTGCCTTTGAGCCACACTAGAAGATAAGATAAAACCAAAGTTTCCTCCGCACTTTAAGAGGCAGGGTGTTTGGTGGCTGAGGGTAGGACCTGGAGCCACACGCCAGGGTCAGATCACCCCCCATCCCCCACCCCGCCCACCCCAGGCAAGCTGAACTGTCTAGGGCATGTGACTCACTCTCTGTTTCTAGAAATGGAACGTGAAATGGGAATAATAATACAACCTACCTCTTTGGGGTTTTTTGAAAGTTAAGTGAATGCACATAAAGAACTTAAAATGGCGCCTGGAGTGTCGTGAGACTCAGTGCTCATGGTGTCTGTGGTTGTCTCTTTCGTAGGTCACGTATGGTACTCTAGGGCCCCGCCACTTAGCCATAATCTGTTTTCTTTTTCTCCAGCTGTATTATCTGTATTTGTTCATCTCAAAGCTCATCTGTCTCTCTCTCTCTCTTTTACCCAGCCTTTTCATCTCTTGCAGTTTGCTTGGCATTTCACCATTTGGAAGAAATTAGTATCATCAGTACCTCTGGAGTTTGCACTATGCTCTGCTTATAGATTGTGTATAGTTACCTGCTAAGATGGTCCTAAGCACATGTCCACGGCCTCAGTTCAGAGTATACTTAATGCTCCCTATTCAGTCTTTCTGTTCCCGTGCTCCAGTCCGTGAAGTCTAGAGTAAAATAAGAAATTGGCATTTATATACATCTCCCCTCCTCATCTTTAACTCTTTTGAAGAAGAGAGTTTTAGTATCACATTCATAAGAAATTTCATCTTTAAAAGTTGGTATTACAGGCGCAGTGCCTCACACCTGTAATACCAGCACTTTGGGAGGCCAAGGTGGGCAGATCACCTGAGGTCAGGAGTTCAAGACCAGCCTGGCCAACATGGTGAAACCCCATCTCTACTAAAAATACAAAAATTAGCCAGCGTGGTGGCGGGTGCCTGTAATCCCAGCTACTAGGGAGGTTGAGGCAGGAGAATCACTTAAACCTGGAGACGGAGGTTGCAGTGAGCCGAGATCACGCCACTGCACACCAGCCTGGGCAGCAGAGTGAGACTCTGTCTCAAAAAAAAAAAAAAAAGTGAGCAATATCTGTGGTTAATCTCAAATAGGGTGGCTTTCCGTGTCATTTCCCTTTAGTTGTTTTTAAATGCAGATGTTGCTTTAATTAAATAATATTTGAAATAAGTGGGGTCCCAACTATAACCTTATATCTTATTGTTTTTAAATGTTGATATTTTGGTGTTTTCAGTAGAATTTGAGCTGTTAACAGTGATTAGGTTTTTTCAGTTTGTCATCGATGTATGTGACCTCGTTATAATACACATGGATTTTTGTCTGCTGGTTGTGTTACTCATGAGCAATGTGTTCTAATTATGGTATTTTAACTTATAACTTATGAAAAAGTTATGTTTCACTCTAGGGAACAAGTCCTGAAGAACCCTCAAGCCCTAAAGTACCACCTCCACTTCTTCCTGAGTTGCTGGTTCTTATTTTTGGTGGGCTTCAAGGAAGAGGTGGGTGGTGAGGGTGTCTGTATATGTGTGTTTACATTTGTAGACAGTTTCTGTACATGTATAATTAGGAATGGGTTGTCGGTTTTGGTTTTTTTCCCAGCTTTATGTAATTGGTCAGACTTCTCAAAGGGGGGTAGCACTTGATAATCGCTCTCTTGGAACTCTGAAGCCTTTGCATGGAGCAGTGTTCACCCTGGGCAGCCTGTGGCCCCTGGGGTCACAGAGCTGCTTTCCAGGGGGTTTGCAAGGCCGTCACTGCCTCATAAGATTACCAAGATCTAATTTACCTCTCACTGTGTGGACGTTTGCCCTGGTGGTGCAAAGGCAATGGTGAGGAATATGGCGCCTTTCTTTCATCGAGCAGGACAGCGGTGTTCAGCTAGCAACACACCAGTCTGACCCAAGAATGTCCTCGATAAAGCATGAAGTTACTGGTTTTTTAAGTCTCAACTCTTTTGTATACCTTTTTAATTTTGTTTTTGTTTGGGTTTGTTTTTAGTTTTGTTTTTGTTTGGGTTTGTTTTTAGTTTTGTTTTTGTTTGGGTTTGTTTTTGTTTGGTTTTTTGGTTGCTCAGGCTGGAGTGCAATGGCGCAATCACAGCTCACTGCAGCCTCAACCTCCCCAGCTCGAGCATTCCGCCCACCGCAGCATCCTGTGTAGCTGGGACTACAGGCAAGCACCACCACACCCAGCGTGGTTTTTTGTTGTTGTTGTTTTGGTAGAGCTGGGGTCTCACTGGGTTGCTCAGGCTGGTCTCAAACCCCTGGGCTCAAATGATCCTCCTGCTTTGGCCTCCCAGAGTGCTGGGATTAGAGGCGTGAGCCACCGCACCCAGCCTCCTTTTTAATTTTGCGTGACGAAATGCAGAGTTCACATGAAGCCGTTCTAGCATGCTGGAGTGTGATGGCCGTCTCGAAGAAAAGCGCCCATGTGATGTGTGAGTTATGAGCCAAAATAGCCACTTTTTCCAGGAACTTTAAATTATGAGAATAGTAATGTAAAATCATTTTTACTTGACAGAACAAAAAGCAGACAAACTGTGGATATTAAGACTTAAATATTTGGCTGATATTTTCTAGAAAATCTATGAAGTGAGCTTATCAATTGAGGGGAAAACAACTGCGACACTGTTTTTGGCCCATGGTAAAATTTGAGCTTTCAAGAAAAATTTGAACTTTGGAGAACTTTTATCTGCCAGTGTAAATGTGGCAGCTCCCAGTGCCACAGACTCTTCTGCTGAGAGGGGTGGTGACATTAGCAAGTGGGGTTTCTTGATGTATACGGTGGAAGGTCACACACCACATGCAGCAGTGTGTTCTCAGTGACCAACGAACGATGCTACAAACAAGCGTGGGTGAAGAGCCACCAAAGTGTAAGACACACTGCCGGGTGTTCATGTAACTGACAGGTTCATCAACATGGTTTCAGATTCCTCATTGCAACTAATCTTTAAGGAACTATCACTTGTTGAATTTTAGCATAGGCAAAGAAGAACATCGGCAATTTTTTGAGAAGCATTGAAACCTCCCTTTTCCCACCAGACGTGTCTGTCTGAGCCTGGGGTGTTTCTTTACATATACTTGAACCAGAATAGCATATCACAGCAAGTTGAACACAGAAGCATGTCGGCAGATCCGCCTGTCTTCTGTTGAGTATTGAAGATACATGCAAAAATGTACAACATGGCCATTTTCTCGCTGGTTTCTTTTTGAAAATAAGGTTATTTTCATAAAATATTACTTAACATGAAGTGAACCTATTGCTAATTTAATGAATAAGTAAATATTTTTAAAATTTTCAAGTATGGTCAGTATCAATGGATATAACCCCCATAATCAAAGCTCTTTAGGGTTCTCCATACTTTCTAAGAATGTAAATAGGTCTTGACACCAAAAAAATGGAAAACACGTGGACTTGGAAGTTTTTCTCGAATGGGCTGGATGTGACCCTGACCCTGTTTTTACCAAGCCTCCTTGGTTTTTTCCCTCTTTTCTCTAAAAAAAAAAATAAAATAAAAATAAAAATAAAAAAAAATTAAGTAGTCAGTGGAATCATCTAAACTGGTCTCTGGGACCATGAGAGCTGAGAGCATCCGGAGCCCACCTAACCCTGAGCCTTCCTCTTGCCTTGGTCAGTTTCCTTCTTTGTTTTTCAAATCTTTTTTTAAAAGCCATTTTCAAGTAATCAATTAATATGTGAATACGGCCCCATTTACATTTTTTCTTCATTGCAAATAAAACTGAAATTTTCCCTAACCTTATCCCCTGAGATTGGTCTACCATCCCCACATCTCAAAGTGACTGCTGCCTGGAGTTTGCTGTGTGTCATTCCAGACCATTTTCTCCCTGTGGGGGGTGGGTGGGTGGGTGTGTGTGTGTGTGTGTGTGTGTGTGTGTGTATTTATCCACATAAATAATATAAATATGTATTTATTCACAGAGTATATAGCATTTTTTGTTTCATTTCTTTAAAAAATTGACATGAGAGCAGTTTTAGTAACAAAAACCTTTTATACGTTTTTAGGATCTTGGTGGCGCTCTCGGTTCATAATGCTCTGAGTTGGTGTTACGTCATATTATCCTGTATTGTACTGTGTATACATACGTTACGTAAATGCTTAATGTGGTCTCGCATGTTTTTCTGTGAATTTGGCTTAAACTTTCAGACTAGGCATCTAGGAGGTGGCGGCAAGTGGAAGGTGGAGCTGTCACAGACACTCGGCCCCCGCAGCCTGTGCATAGGTGCTCTAGGCTAATTTTACAGGTGTGATGACCGGGCCAGAGTGAAACCATGTTGTCTGATTTTAGAACAGAGGTCACTTATGCTTCACCAAGCTGCTGGAAATGTGGAATTTTGTTTCTCAATTATTGGACCTGGTCCTGAGGAGATGTTTCCCTTTAGAGAACATCATTGACGCTTTTAAGAGTATTTTACTAGATGTTGAAAACGTTGAGGTCTTATTAATGTAGTGACCCCACCACCACCACCCCCTGCCCCCCCCCCACACACACACATCCCTTGCTAAATTATTACATCAAATCATACAGGAATCTGGCGCTATCAGAGCCAGGGTTAAGGCCTAATAGTGTCACTAGTTACTGAGCTTCTTGATTAAGTCACCTTACTTTCCTGAATCTCCAAATAAGTTACATTAAAAATGCATCTGATTAAATTACTTATTTTAGAGGGAATTGGAAGAATTCTGTGATTGGCGTTCCGATCTAATCCCCCAAAGAGAAAAACACGAACGAGAATGAACACATTTCTCCTTTTATATTATTCTTAGTTAAGAGAAATGCTCTGCCAGGAGAAAACTTAAATGACTATCCAATGGGTAGGGTTTTTTAAAAGAATCTAACCAATTCAGATACTTTTTCTTTTTACACAGTCACAAATGATGTTATGTTGATGTGTTTTTATGACTTACTCTTAAACAACATTTAAATTTAAGCCAAAGTTAAAGTTGTGATTTTGGGAAATTTTTTTACTTATCCTTCCTCTCTTCCCGACTTCCTTCCCTTAAGAACCCCATTCTTATTTTCTCATTTATATCCTGGCTGAGGCTATCAGGTATTGAAACTGGCCTTTTGAAGACATATAAACTTCTGGGGACTGACTTTTCTCATTCAAATAGTCTAATATCAGTGGATATGAATTCTGCATTTTTTTACTTCTAAATCTTATGCGTCATTTAAATGTTAACTTTCAAAATATTAATCTTGAATTTTCACATTTTTGTGTGAGTTGGAATTATTATCCAATTAAATGAACATAAATTATACTGCCTACATAGATTGGAAAAATATCTTTTGGTGGGCCGTGTGTGTATATGCACCCATGTGTTTATGTAAAACCAAACATCAACTTACAAAAACCAGTTCAGTCTTATAGCCTTGTATAGTGTAACATACGGGCTGAGACATTTGCTTATTTGAGCCTTTTCACCCTTTATTTGTAAAAAGGAGGAGAGCCTTTAAGTGAAATGTAAACTAAACTTGGAACCCCTAAAACGATTTTGAACACTACTTGACATTTAAATGTTTATTAAAAATAAAGCAAAGTTTAAGAAGCATGTTTGGTAAAGAGTTCTTTGGCAGGAAATGGGGACCTATCAGCCAAGCTAATAGCCTTAGCTATGGCATCCATAGTAACTAAGACACGCTGCCGATGTAAATATTTATGCCAGCAAGCAGTGCTGCAGAACCCGGGCCGAGCAGTTCAGAGCAGTGAAATTAAAGCATCAGCCGCCAATGTTTGATTTATTTTGTATTATCCGGTATTCCAAGCATTACCATCATTCATCTCTTCTAGGGTTTTTCAAAATAGTTTAGCCCTAAGAACAAGAATCCTAGAAGACCAGTTTACTCGGAGTAATTCGGTACCCTCTCCCCCACAGCATGATAGATACCCAAATGAGAATAGAGAGGCTGTTATTGTTTGTCATTAGCACCCTGGAACCTTTTTCATCTTCAAAGCTCCTCGCAAAAGGGTTCATTAACCGTCGCCCTCTTTCCTGTGAGAGAGTAAACAAGTATGATTAGTCCTACTTTGACAGCGGTGGAAACTGAAGCAGAGAGGTTCTCCAACTTGTCTGAGGTCCAAGAAGGAGCTGGTGACAGAGACCAGATACCGGACCAGCACTTGGGTTTTCTGACTCACGGTTCTGGGCTCACCCCTCTCTGAGCATGCACTGAGCCTGCTCTTGCAGGTTTCTTTATCACAGGGATCTATCTACACGGTACTTTCTGCTCTCAGCTTTTTACAGTGGTGTAGAGTGCAGTGCAGCTGAAACCAGGTTAGTTGATCTTATGGTGTCATCTAGAAAAACAAGAGATGCAGATTCTGGGTCACGAAGGTAAGGTTGTACTTTTAGGGTTTGTGGTTATGGATGAAATTAACTTATCTGAGCCTTACATTGTCTCACTAGGCACAGTGCCCACTTGTTCCGTGGCACAGCCCCAGAGCTCCTGTTGAAGGAACAGACTCCAGGACTGACTTTCCACTTGATTTTCGGAGCTCGCACATCCCGAGAGATTCATGTTCAAGCTGCATTTTAGACATAGCTGGCAAGAGTATTTTCGTGGTAAACGTAAACTTACTATTGGTAAAGATTCTTAATGAGTAATTCTTAGGATTTAGTACAAAATTAGATATATTCTTTTTATTCGTAATGATATAGCATGAAGTTCTTGCGGGGTAGGAGAGAGAGGTATTCATCTGAAAACTGGCTCTGTTTTAGTGTAGACATTTGTCTACGGGGAAACAGTAGGAAAGCATCAAGAAATATTTCTTGATGTGTACAATTGAAGTGATGTTTACAATGTAGTGAAAAAAAAACCTATGCACGCATGTTCCTGATTTTAATAAAGCTCTGCAAAGATTTCCTTCCTCATTCTTTGCTTTTGATTCAGCATATGTGCTGTTGCTAAGTTAAGTGTTGGTAACCCTGTGTCCTTTGTTGGGCCAAACAAGGTTAAAATTAAGACGAAAAAAATTTCTGAGTTCATTTCAAATGGAAGGACAACATGATACCTAACACAGAAGAGAACAAATTTAGTTTTGACTTTCTGCCCTATGTCCACCTAAAGCTGTATTTCACTCACTCACTAATATTTAGAAATCACCCACTTGGTGGTTGGCTCTGTGCTTAGTGCTAAGAACTGGTCGTGTTATAGGTGCTGTGGGTGCGTGTCTGCGCTGGCTTCAGGAGGAGGGAGCAGGCCCTGTGGGGCCCAGCAAGGCCTCCCAGGAGAAGCAGTGTGTTAGCTGAAGTTTAATGAACTAATTGGTGGTCCTGGGATGCAGTTGGGAAGATGGGATGATTCAGCCTGTTGGGGTATGTGTTGGGGGTGGTTGTTGCACTGTGGTGAGAAAATTCCTGGAAAAGGGTGTATGTCAAAAGGGTGTAAGTAGCATCCCTTTATGACTGATGAAAGGAGAGCAGCCGAGAGCAGTTAAGTGGAAGGCAAGACGCAGCAGTGGCTTCTCACGCCATCTTCGTCACTACACAAGGGGAAGTTGGGCTAAGAATAAATTTGTTTTGGTTCCAGGATGAAACTCAAGAGATACAGAAGAAACTGAAAGTGATACTTTTGGCAGAGGGATAGGATAAGAGGGTTTTCAGCGTGTGTGTGTGTGTGTGTGTGTGTGTGTGTGTGTGTGTTGATGAATTTATTACTTATTAAAAAAATGTAAAGAAGGCATAGCATTAAAAGTGGGAGACATATACTGATAATGGAATCCGGGCATTGCTATCTTTCTGTGTCTTAGAAGTTACTGCTATGATTTTAGCCACTTAACTGGCTAGAACAGTTTTGAAAGGCCAAGATCATGGGTTTAAGATTTGAGACTTGGCCAAAAGGTAGCTTTCCTAGTCCTTATCGTAGAGTGCACGCTCCCAGCTTTTGCCCAGCCTATTTGGGGTGCACACGCTCATCGATGAGGGCAACAGAACACAGCATGCAGGCGGAACTGTGCAGGTCAGTCACCACTCCACCTCCTAGCCAGGGTGTCACTCCAATTCCATCATTCAGGTTTCACTGAACTTTCATGTTGGCATTTCATTTAGTTGAATGAACCAGTTTTGTTGTATTTCAGATATTCTCACTGTGTAGTTAGCCTGTTCAGTTTTTGTAGGTGAATGGTAAAGCTGTCAAAACCAGATCTGCTGAAAACCAAAATGTTCAGTGTCATCTTCAGCAGAGGGGATTATCAGAAACTTCTGGGGCAGTAAGGGAAATTTAAGAAGGAAGTTGGGGAAGGTAGGACCTCATGGCTTTGGTTTTTCTGGTGGTCCAAGAGAGGAGGCCTCTAGAGAATTGAGGGGGAACAATAAGTGACAAGCATGAAGAATGAAGAGGGAACTGACCAAGGATCGGTGAGAATAGGAGGTGGCCCAGAGGGCATGGTCAGATGTGGCTATCACAGCTGTCACAGCAAAGTCTTTATGTACTCCGAGAACCAAGCCTTTATCATATATATGTTTTGCAGATATTTTTCTCATACTGTGGGTTGTCTTTTTCACTGTCTTGATGGTATCATTTGCAGCACACGTTTTTAATTTAGAGGAAGACCAGTTTATCTTGATTTGTTTTCTGTCTCCTATGCTTATGGTGTCATAGCTATGAAACCATTGTTGAATCCAGACTTACTCTTACACATTCTTCTAAGAGTTTTTTAATATGAATTCTCTTACATTTGGTCTTTGTTCCATTTCATGTTAGTTTTTATATAGGGTGTGAGGTAAGGGTCCAACTTCCTTTATTTGCATGTGAATATCCAGTTTTCCCAGAACCATTTGTTGAAAAAACAATTATTTCCCTCATTGAATGGATTTGGCACACTTGTTGAAAGTCAATGGACCATAAAAGGGTTTATTTCTGGATTCTCTATTCCATTGGTCTGTATGTCTGTCCTTATGTCTGTACCACACTGTCTTGATTACTGTAGCTCTGTTGTAAGCTTTAAAATCAGGAAGTGTGAACTCTCCTACTTTGTTCTTTTTTTCAAAATTGTTTTGGTATTTTGGGTCCCTTTTGGTATATTGGGTCCATTTTATTCAATGATGTAATGATATGTGTGTTTCCATATGAATTTTAGGATCAGCTTAGCAATGTTCCTTGTCTCTTTCTTCTAATTCTGTAGCCTTTCCTGGGTTAGAATCAGTTAGACTAGGACTAGGACAGTGCTCCCTGGAATCTGCCCAGTAGCTGCTCTGACTGTGAGCAGAGAACCTGTGGGCATCTGGGCACTTAGTCTGAAATGGTCCATAAGGAACCCCTAAAATGTTTAAGTTTCTGAAATCCCTGGTTGTATTGTAAAAAGCTATTTGAATTTAGTATTCTGTTTCATGATTATTATACTTAAGTGTAAAAATGTTTAACTTTTTTTTTTTTTTTTTTTTTTTTGAGACGGAGTCTTGCTCTGTCGCCCAGGCTGGAGTGCAGTGGGGTGATCTCGGCTCACTGCAGCCTCTGCCTCCCAGGTTCAAGCGATTCTTGTGTCTCAGCCTCCCGAGTATCTAGGATTACAGGTGTGTGCCACCACACCCTGCTAATTTTTGTATTTTTAGTAGACACAGAGTTCCGCCATCTTGGCCAGGCTGGTCTCAAACTCCTGACCTGAAGTGATCTGCCCGCCTTGACCTCCCAAAGTGCTGGGATTACAGGCTTGAGCCACTACACCCAGCCTTGTTTAACATTTTTCAGCTGCATGGAAAACTGATATTCTAGGATGTATATTGCATTTATCATTTATCCTGTGGCTTTATGCACCCTCCAGAATGCATACCCCAGCATAAAAGGCCAAGTTAGGGAGAAACCTGCCTGCTGGAGTTCTTAGATTTATAAATCTTGTTTCCTTAACTGTCTGCCCTCTGACCTCTCCAGACCACAGCCAGCAGAGGAGAACTAATGGGCAGAGACAACACTGATCTGCTGCCATCTGCACTGGGCAAGATGGCCTCACCTGACTCACAGCTGTTGCTTTCTCTCGCGAAGCTTCTACCATTTTCTGCTGATTCTTAAAATAGATTTGGATCTTGTCAATTTTGGTCGTCAAAAAGATTGAACTTTTACAGGATGAAATCCATTATTTTCCTAAATTATCTCGTTTTGGGAAATCAGTTCTCGGCCATAAGTGCAGGCTCAGGTGTGCTAAGGAGGGCACCCCAGACACCTGTGCTGCTCTTTGACAGGACTTACCTGTCAAAGGCGAAAATAAGGGTGATGTCATGTGAGTTTTCCATTAAGCTAAATTTATTCCATGTACAGGACTATCTTTTATTCTGAAATTGTCTTCTTGTTCCCTATAACCTCATATTGGAAGTGAGATACTGTCTTTTTGGGTATTAAAATGTCTTTTTTGTAGGATCTTTTTTTTACTGATCTTATTTGTATGTTAGGATGATAGCCCAGTGTCAGTCCTCAGGATTCTTTATGAAATGTTCCTAGTCTGTGAAATTCTAACTCTACAATTTCAGTTTAGACCACAAATCCCAGATTTTTACCTTGTTTACATTTGTAGTTACCACATAATATTGCAAATGATTTATGTAACCTCAAAGCCCATTTTTTTATTCTTTTCATGTAAAATGTCCAGAATAGGCAAATCCATAGAGACAGAAAGCAGATTAGAGGTTGCCAGGGGCTGCGGGGAGGGAGGAAGGGGGAGTAGTTACTTACAGGGATGGGGAGTTCTTCTAGGATCATGAAAAAGGTTTGAAACTCGACAGAGGGCTGATTGCACAACATTGTAAATGCACTAAATGCCCCTGAAGTGTACTTGAAGTGGTTCATTGTATGTTATATGAATTTTCCATTTTTTTGAAAAGCCCATTTTATTCAGTGATATAATGATATATAAGAAGACCTGAAGGTGTAGGGGGAGTGTCGTATTCAGAGGATATACATCAAGGCAAGGATACTCTGTATGCTTGTACACACACACAAATACATATACACAAAGAACATACCTATTATTAATTTCTGTTTCTAAGTATGATCATTAGAAGCTGATTAGGTAAATAAACTTTCTGCTTTGGGACAAGCAGAAAGATTTAATTAACACTTAACTGAAATTCACAGATACTCTTTTTTTTTTTTTTTTTTTTAGACAGTGTCTCACTCTGCCTCCCAGGCTGGAGTACAGTGACACGATCTCGGCTCACTGCAACCTCCGCCTCCTGGGTTCAAGCAATTCTCTTACCTCAGCCTCCCGAGCAACTGAGACTACAGGCGTGTGCTACCATGCCTGGTTAATTTTTTGTATTTTTAATAGAGACGGGGTTTCATTATGCTGGCCAGGCTGTTCTCAAATTCCTGGCCTCAAGTGATCCACCCGCCTCGGCTTCTCAAAGTGCTGAGAGTACAGGCGCAAGCCACCGTGCCCAGCCTCAAAAGATATTCTTTTTCTTACCTCAAAAACTATGTTTTCCAACTTTTCACAGTGGAAAGTTGAAGTCGTGAAAATATCCTCAGGATAAATCTGAATCGTGTTTCTTTTATTGCTGAGTCTGGTTGGCGTGTTCCTGGTATTTAGTGGAACTCTGGTCAACACAGGCTGAAGTTAGTGGGGTTCTCTCTGTGGGGTTCTAACCTTGAAATAGGAGCATGGGGCTTGCCTTCCCCTTCTCCATTCCTCCAAGAAAGAGAAAGGAAAGGAAGAGAAAAGAAAAAGCATCCTGTATTATGTGTAAGTTTGTAAGAATCCTTACTATGAGTTCTGAGTACAACATCTTTTTAACTCTTTTCTCTCCCTCTCCTGCTTCCTTCTTCAATCTCCAGCTACCATTCATTTCCTGATTTCATTTATAGGTCTTACCAGGCAAGAAGGCCAAGCAGAAGGAACCTACATCAGGGAAGTGCTGGGCTACGGGCCCCACCTGGACTTGGGGTTCTGGGCAGCCTGAACACAGGTTTCTTAGTTTCCTGAAGTAATTGAGCTTGTTGCCTTAACTTCAGTTAAAACACTGATCGTGCTTTACTTTTAACTGAGCATTGAGACCTCTTATAATATTCCATAAGGCTGGATATTGTTTTGAGGAAGACGATTTTTCCTCTTAACCTTGCCTCTGTGTTTGTGTGTGTGTTTGGTCGGTGTTTAGACAGTTTTCCATGCATGGACCCTGATTACAGCGGGAGCAGGCAACGTGAGGTGCCCGCAATCAGACATCCAGCTCCACATGGTGGCCTCCCTGCCCCCAGCTCATCCTTACGCAGTGCCTTCAAATTGAGTGTCTTCAAAGGTGCTGCTTAGTCTCACTTTGGTTGTTGTGTCGCTGTCGTATTTTTCTTTTTTCGCAGTATTGAAATGTTCACTCCTAGGGACCGAACACTGGTTTTAGTGTCCATAGTGGCAAAAAAAAAAATTTTTTTTCAAAACTTGTTTCTATTTGGTCCTCTGTGACCCAAGTTGTTGCTTAGCTTTCCTGCCTAGTAAGAGCCAGAAACGAGATTAGGACGTGAATGGTATTTTCTGAACCCTCAGAGTGTGTACAATACCATTTTGTAAAGAAAAGCATCTATATTCAAGGTAGATCTAAATAATTCCTAGAAATGCCAAATTGTTCTCCCATTCATTTTTCAAGACAAATATGTTCTAATCCATAGGAGAGTGAGAATTTCCAAGTTCATTAATTCGGGTTCCTGTTACCAACTCATGTTTTACAGCCCATATGAAGTTTTGTTTCACTGAAACCTTTGATTATCACAAGTAGAACTTGGGAACTCTACACTGCTGTCTCCAGACAAGACACAGAGTTTCACTTACATTAACAAAGGATGATCCATTCAGAACTGTAAACAAATGCTACATTGTGCCCTTGGTGGTTGTGACCCGATTCAGTCCTGCTTTGAGGCTGAGGACAGCCAAGTGTTGGCCCAAATCAGCATAAATCAGAGCAACAGAAAATCCACCCGAGGTGGGGCCCTGGATTGGACGTGCTTTGGACAGCAGGTCCACAGCCTGCACCTGAATGAATCCTGAGGCGGGCTTCTGACTCTGCTCTAAACACTCATCCTGAAGTGTATCTGGATCATTTTAAGTACCACTCTAGCAGTGGTACTTAGTTACAATTAATATAAACATGTCATTCCATTAAAAGAAACCTGCAGCTTCTGTTAAGTTGGGTCAAATATAAGATACTGGGGTTTAAAGATGTAAATAGAAAATTCAGTTTCATCCAGCAAGGAATACAGAGAAGCAGCAATAGAGCCTGCCAGCCCTCGGGGAGCTTGCAGTCTAAGAGAACACAAATATGTATAATTTAAAGTAAAATGGAAGTGTCACTAAGCGGGTGAGAGGATGCAAAGATTGCCTTCAGTTAGAGTGATAAGTAAGTTACCGTCACGGCAGCATTTGCAGGTATTGGAGCTTTATTGTAAGTTTCTTCATTCAGCAAATACTTCCGAGCACTTTTGTGTCTGATCCTGTTATAGCTGGTGGAAAATTATAGACTAACAACCCATGTGCAAATGACAACATCGTGTGGCATGTGCAGGGCTGGCAGCTACATGGGGACATTAACAGAGCCCAGCAGAAGGGCACCTCACTCCACACCTGGGGAGAAAAGAGGTGTGCTGAGTTTTGTTTATTTTTTTATTTGCACTTGTTTTACCATAAATGAAATATGACCCTTCTTAATATGTTATCTGTGATATGTTGGCATGGATATCTTAATGTATAAAACATGCTTATATTTATATATGACATTATGTTTATTTTTGGCTACATCCAGAAAAGAATTTGATAAGGCTTAAACTATTAAAACATGTGCAACAGGCTATTAAAGGAAACAAAATAACTAGAAGCCAGTTAGGAGGACTAGTTCAGCTTTTGAATGGAGCTATTCAACAGTTTCAGAAATTTTTTTTACGCTACTAATGGGCCAGTGGGCATAGCATCTTTTTAAGCTTCCTTCCAGTTTGTGGTACTAAAACCATTGCAGATGCATAAAGGAAGATGCTTATCATCCTGTCTGAGTTGTAAGATGGGACACAACTCCTTATCATAGTACATTCCTTAAATAAGTACAAGAATTACAGTTGACCCTTGAACGTCACAAGTTTGAACTGCACAGGTCCACTTATATGTGGATTTTTTTCAACCAAATGCAGATTGCAAATGCACAAGATTCGAGACCTATGTATACAGAGGGCCAACTTTTCATACGCACGGGTTCTGCGGGCCGACTGTGGGACTTGAATATGCGTGGATTTGGGTAAGCGTGGTGGTCCTAGAAGCAATCCCCAACATGGACCACTGTAGTCTGTTACTTACATTGGCTTTAAAGTTGAGTTTAACTTGTCCAAAGACATTGTTATTTAAGCAGCAATATTATGATACAGCTTTGAAGGCAAAACTTAAAAAAGAACCCATGGATAGCCTTGGAACCATGGAAAGATTCTAACCCTGAGCTTCTAAATAGTATTGCATTTGTAGAACCAAAGACTAGCAGGGGATCAGCAAAGGCTGAGAGCAAGTGGTCTGTATGTCCTCATAATGAAAAGGAGCAGAACAGAACAACAGAGGTAAAGTGATTTTCTTGCTCCTCATTCAGGTAATCATTGGAGATTTGTTCAGCAATAATAGTCAACATAGAAATCTACAGTGTAGGCCAAATAGAGGATTTCTTGTTATCTTCTTTCTTCGTACTGTGGGATAGATAGCCCAGGATTCCTCCAAGTGTGGCAAGTGCACACCACTGCTAACGGCAGTTATTTTAAGTGATTCAGAGTTGAGTATTATTTTACTTTAATAATTATATATTGATGAATGTGAAAATATATAATTAGCACATCAAATCCATGGTTTCTTGGGTTATTATTGCTTAGGACAGGGCTTAGTAAAAAGTGTATCCATTTAAAGCAAAATACCAAGTAAATAAGAGCCTGACTGTACACAGATTTGTGACGATCTTGAAGGTGTTCATGCAGGACTGAAGTACGGGAAACCCCAGGGTGGGCGACTCTGGGTTCCACCTGGGGAATCTGTTCCGAAGACACCTTCCCATCTCTTTCTTGGGTTACAAGCAGTGGAGACACACTTGGGCTTGCATAGATGAAGACAAGTGTTTTTAAGGCACAGTCACAGAGGGACTCCACACAGAGGAGCAGGGTGGAGCGGGACTGTGGAGGCAGAAGGGTCCAGACTCCAGCAGCGTGAGTGACCCCTCTGTGTCCTCATCCACCCCGCCACTCCCAGTCTTTGCGTGTCATGCCCCTTCTTCCCCGCGCTTTACCGTGTAATTTCTCTGCATGCTCTTCTGCATTTACTCAGTAACATAATACAGTTAGCAGTTGTGGGACCTCCAGCAAGTATTGAACTGTTGAGTGGCTGTTCTTCATTTGGAAAATGGGAGTGATAACAGTTTCTCTCTCACAGGACAGTTGTGGATAGTCAGGGAGGTTGCAGTGTGAACACTAGGCACAGCATCTGAAACGTGCTGGAATCAGTCATGTCCACACTGGCAGTGATTAGATCTGCCTGATTCTTCCCATGTTCCGTCTAGTGAGAAGTCGTCAGTAGCTTCAGTTTTCAGGAGGAAAACTTTGACTTGGTCAAAACTTTGTCCTTGATCAAGTTGTTTACTCTCACGCCAAGCCGCCCTGGAGTGTGGTCCAGGAAAAACATGGGCGCCTAGGTCCGCCCCTCGGCCAGCCGTGGCCAGAGGTCACTGGTGCTGCTGTTCACATGGCCGGTGTCAGGGTTTTAATTCGAGGTGGAGCTTCCCAGCCGTTCTGGTAATGAGGAGTCTTGCCTGATATGTCTTGGCCAGCTCTGATTGGTCAAATGTTTGAAGAAGATAGGGTTACCAAAGATTCCTAGACTCTCCAAGTTTGGCAGAAGTTGTTAGAGGATCACACAGTTACCTAAAATGATTGGTTTAATTATATGGTTTGATCATTCTTCAGAAACCACCACCTTGGGTAAACCATTGTTCTTAATTTTCCCTTCATTTTTTGCTCTCATTGTCTGGCCCCAAAGACACACCCCCTTGCGATTTTGTAAAGGATGCATTTCATTGAGAGGACACAGTATGAGGGAGCAGCACATGGACCTAAACTTGACTTCCACCACCCCCAGCCAGATGAATTGCTGAGTCAGTTCACTGTTCCAAAACTGTTTTCTCAAGGCATTATGGTAACAGGCCATGTGAAATTCCCTAACATGACTAGGGGTTTTCACTTCCCAGCTTTATTCAATCCAAGGGTTTTTTTGGCATTTTTTGTTTTTAAGACGGAGTCTCGCTCTGTCACCCAGGCTGGAGTGCAGTGGCGCGATCTCAGCTCACTGCAACCTCTGCCTCCAGGGTTCAAGTGATTCTCCTGCCACAGCCTCCCATGTAGCTGGGATTACAGGCACCCGCCACCTGCCACCACGCTCGGCTAATTTTTGTATTTTTGTAGAGATGGGGTTTCACCGTGTTGGCCAGGCTGGTCTCAAAACTCCTGACCTCAAGTGATCCACCTGCCTCAGCCTCCCAAAGTGCTGGGATTACAAGCGTCAGCCACCACACCCGGCCTGAATCAGTTTTGACATTGTCTCTTCCTCTGGGTGGCAAATGTGATCCATTCAAGACAGATTATATCCCATGTGAAGAGTCACCCTGAGAATTTGAGCAGGGTGTGCTGTGTGGTTACTTGGACTCCAGACCCTTGTCTGCAGAACTGGTGGGACCTTGACTGGGTCCGGTTCTCCTGTCTGCACATGCAGGCCATGGAGGTGCTGAGGTTGCAGCAGTGACGGCAGCACTGAGGGTCAGCTTCAGGGGGACCCTCTTCAAGCCAAACAAAAAGTCTTCTCAAAAAATGGAACTAAAGATGGTCCCTTGATGTGGCGTCTCAGTACGGCTGCTGAGGTATCTCACAAGGCCACCAGCAAGTTAATCTAAGGAGGCATTTTCCTCTTGTGATCAGGCAGCTGTTCCAGCAGAAATGGCTCAAGGAGAAATTCTCCTCCCAGATTCAGTGTCTGGTGGGTGAAACTTCACTGGTGCGTTGCCAGCCCTGGCCTCCAAATCTCTTTAAATTATGAGGTCATAGAATGCATGCTTAAAGCCCCAGGCCTGTCAAGTCGCTTGGGGACATTCATACTGAGGATTTATTAAGATATTAATTTGGTTATCAGGAGTCTGGATGGGGATGAGAGGAGGGGATCTTTATTACATGCTGGGAAAATCAGAAATCAACTCTAATTGACTACCTCTACTCTTTCCTCTCCCAAGATGACTTTGCCAAAAAGCTGTGAGAAAAAGTCCTCAAATCTCAGAGATTGACTTGGTACTTGATTATATCCAGCTCGCTGGTGGGCCTGTGGCCACAGAGCCTCAGAAGAAGGTTAGAAGGTCTGGCCAGACTTTAGCTTTGCTCCACCTACTTGGCAGGGTCAAGCCTACTTGCCAGTGGCTTGGAGAAGTGTTTTGTTTTGTTTTGTTTACTTTTTAGGAGTGTATTCAAAGCACATTCACAGTAAGGAAAAAAAAAATGCAGCCTGTGTCTTCAGGGACTGGGAGTCTCTGATTCCAGCACAGCCGACTGTCCAGCAACCCCAGAATTGGTAGGCTGGACACTGGGCTGCTCCTCATGGCGGTGGGAGCATGGGCTGCTCAGCTGGGGCCATCCAAGGAAGCAAAGATGTGGTGCTGTCCTGTGGCTGGGGGAGCAGGATGAATTGGGATAAGGGAAGCCCAGGGCAGGGTGTTGGCACAGAGCTGGGAGGTGCATTACACCGAGGAACTGACGTGGCCTAAACTCCACAGTGACTTCCACCTGGGATCACAGTTTACAGTCAGCTGAGTGCTCAAGAGAACTCAGTAGAGGGGAATGTTGATGATTCAGGTATTTGGTTGGTGATCATGTTATCAAGTCAGACTTGCAGTTAAGGTAGTGTCCCAGACGTTTGTTCAGAGGGCTCCTTCCCACTTGTCATCTGTAATACTGGCTAATGGGAAACCTGGCCCATGTCAAATTTGTATTAGGAACCATTGATTTCAATTCACGGGCTTTTTCCATTGAGGAATTTAAAGGTCTTAGAAGTAATATTCTTGTTAAGGCATCTGAGGTCTCCCGGGGGACAGACACAGTCTTCATCTTGAGCAGGAACGGTGAGACCACTCTTCTCCCTGTAAGGGACCAGTAGCATGTGTGGGACCACGCCGCCTGCACAGCCGTCCCCTCACGGGGTGCCTCTTGCCCTTGCAGATCACCAGGTGCTCCGAGCTGCCCTGCCTGGGCTCAGGCATCAGCACGGTCCCATCTGAGCGTCGCCTTAACCTCTCTGTAGACCTCTGTCCTTGTCTATCTAATGGGGATGATGGTAGCCCCTCTGTGTGTTCTTACTAGGATTAGTGGGCTGGGAAAAGTTACAGTAATATATTACCAGCATGTAGAAAATACCCAATAATGATGAACTATTAGTATTCCTTAAAAGAATTAAAAGTGAAAATAGTAGGAAACACTAGTAAGATAAAATACAATGGGAAATTAAATTTTTTTAATTACTTAAGGAAATTCCTCAATCCACAAGCAACAATAAATAAGAAACTGAGATTTCCTAGCAGCTGAAAGGTTTTTTTTTTTGCAGTTGAGGCTGTGAAGCTGGGCAGGGTTTCAGCTGAGCTGAGGTTGGAAGTCCCTGACCTTCAGCTGTGGCCGCCTACGGAGCAGCAGGGAGAGCAAACCCATGGAGAACCCCGCGGCCCCCAAAGCATGGACGGAGCTGCCAGCCTTCTCCCCTGCCCTTCTTCCTCTACTCCCGACCTGCCAGCCTTCTCCCCTGCCCTTCTGCCTCTACTCCCGACCTGCCAACCTTAGCCTAAAATCAGAGCTGCTAGAATCACACACACTGTCGTAGCTGGTTTTGTATTGTAAATGAGTCATTCTGTTATTTTGGAAACTTATGTCTCATGCCAGGATCTGCAGATAGTTCTTTTTCAAAATATTGTTTAGACAAAATAAATTTCTTTAAATATAATATCTCTACTTTAAATGCCTGGGGTGTTGCATGCATTTTTCTAGGCTAGCAAAGCTTAAAGATTATTTCTATAATTTCAGTTACATTTACCTTTATAGATGGGTTACTCTAAGTAACAAATTAAACACACATGGATCTTCTAACTTTGGCTTTAAATCCTAAGAAGAGATAGGTAATATATAAAAGAGTATTAAAAAGAAATGGAGAGTAAAGGTATATGTCGGGCAGATGCAGTAGAAAAGCAAGGGTCATGACGTCAATGCTGGGCAAAGCTAAATTGTGAAGACAAAACAATAATGAAACAGGGTTATTCATCACGCTAAAGCGTACAGTCCATAGGATGATATAACTACCATGAATTTGGCCTAAATGATTGAACATTGAAACACATAAAGCGAGAACTGTAGGGGATTAAAGACAAAATCAGTGAGTGCAGTGCTGGTGGGAGAGGCGCCTGGACTTCTTGGCCCCTCACAGGTCATGTGGTAGACATAAGTTGTTATTACTGTGAGCCAGTAGAGACTTTCAGGTTTGATGGCTGGAAAACAAATGCTCATTTTATAAGTTTTTTTTTGTTTTGTGTTTTGTTTTGTTTTGTTTTTGAGACGGAGTTTCACTCTTGTTGCCCAGGCTGGAGTGCAGTGGTGCGATCTCGGCTCACCGCAACCTCCGCCCCTTGGGTTCAAGCGATTCTCCTGCCTCAGCCTCCCAAGTAGCTGGGATTACAGTCATGCACCACCACGCCCAGCTCATTTTGTATTTTTTTTTAGTAGAGATGGGGTTTCTCCATGTCAGTCAGGCTAGTCCTCAACTCCCGATCTCAGGTGATCCGCCCACCTCAGCCTCCCAAAGTGCTGGGATTACAGGCGTGAGCCACCGTGCCCGACCCTCATGGTATAAGTTTTTAAACTTAATATATACTAGCTTACAGAGGAAACCGATGTGATTTCCAAAAATTTGAAATAATTAGAAACCTTATTCTCACATTATAATGCAATAAAAATAGAAATAAACACACAGGCGGAAACCAGGCATCCCTGGGAGTCCCTTGGGGCAGAGAAGAGCTTCGTCGCTCAAGCAAAACTTCCATGGAGGCGAGGACTGTGGGCTTTGTTGGAAGCTTTATCTCCAACCTCTAGAACACGAGCACTAAGTAGATTCTGAACAAATCTTATTAAATGAATAAGAGCTAATAATCCTAATAAATATGTTGAAAGCACTATTCTAAGCATGTACATTTATTATGTCACTCACTCCTCACAGTCCCTGTTCGAAGGAGGTGCTGTCCTCATCCGCATTTCACAGATGGGGGAATGGGAAGGGTAGGCTCAGTCACTTGCCCCAGAATTGACAGCTGGCAAGTGGGAGACTGAGATTCAGGCTGGGCTGTCGGACTTGGCCGTGTTCTCATGTGCAGAACCACCATTGCCTCCAAATTAATGAAAAAATGAGATAAGGTAATGGCTTAGAGTTAATGTGTAAAGATTGTTATTAAATAAGAATCAAAAGAAGTGATTTAAACACTAAAGAGGTAGCAAAGAACCAAAGTAAGTTGAAGAATTACTGTGTTCTTTAAAGACAAAAGCAGAAATGAATCAACTAAGAAAAAGAGAGAATGAAACCAAAGAACAGGTTTTGGAAGGGGGCAGACAGCGATGAAGCGGGGAGAGTAAAGACAAGTAGACCTGGAGCCGGTGTGGTGGAAAAAGGAGAGAAATCATAGCGTGTAAGAAGTAGTAATCGTCGAAGGAAGGTGAATGCAAGCGTCTTGTGAATCTGAAAATGGCATTTTGTAAAATTCACTTTCCATTCCTGATTTGTAGTTTGTTTGCTTATTTGTTAACTTTCTTAAATAATTTCAAAAGCATGGAAAAGTTGCAAGAATGATATAAAGAATTTAATCAAAATTTCACCCATTTGTCAATATTTTGCCACATTTGCTGCACATTTCTCTCATATGCTCTATATGTTGTAACGAGCAGGCGGTCTTCCCAGCCCCTCCTTTACCTTCAGGGCCCTGGCCTCACTTCTTGTCCCCCTCGCCCCAGGAGGCTGTGAAAAGCAAAGCACTGTGCCTCCCAGGCACATGATCTTCTCAGAAAGGAGGAGCCCCAGGGAAGGAGGAGGCAGCCCCTGGCACACAGCCTATCCTTTGAGGGTTGTGTTGTCCTTTCTTCTTGGTTGTATAAATCTTCACTATTTTGGCTGGGCATGGTGGCTCATGCCTGTAATCCCAGCACTCTGGGAGGCCAAGGCAGGCGGATTGCTTGATGTCAGGAGTTTGAGACCAGCCTGGCCAACATGGTGAAACCCCGTCTCTACTAAAAATACAAAAATTAGCTGGGTGTGGTGGTGGGCGCCTGTTATCCCAGCTACTCAGGAGGCTGAGGCAGGAGAATCACTTGAACCTGGGAGGCAGAGGTTGCAGTGAGCCGAGATTGCACCACTGAACTCCAGCCTGGGCGACAGAGCAAGACTCTGTCTCAAATTAGAAAAGAAAAAAAAAAAAAAAGCCGGGTGCGGTGGCTCATGCCTGTAATCCCAGCACTTGGGAGGCTGAGGCAGGTGGATCATCTGAGGTCAGAAGTTCGAGACCAGCCTAGCCAACATGGTGAAATCCCATTTCTGCTAAAAATACAAAATTAGCCGGGAGTGGTGGCACATGCCTGTAATCCCAGCTGCTCAGGAGGCTGAGGCAGGAGAATCACTTGAACCCGGGAGGCGGACGTTGCAGTAAGCCAAGATCGCACCACTGCACTCCAACCTAGGCAACGGAGCAAGACTCTGTCTCCAAAAAAAAAAAAGAACACTCATTTCCAGAGTCAAGTTACGTGACCACAGGTGGCACAGGGCCTGTGAGAACAGCCTGCGACGACTTCCTGCCAGTCCTCTTCTTCCCCATCTGTGCCCCTACTCCACAGGCACCTGTGGACACCCTGACCTGAGCTGGTGAGGCTTCACCAGTGCACGCCTGGCTGCTTCCCTGCCTGCCCTCCGGCCCTGTGATCCCATGTCCTGGAAAGTGTAAACTCTTTACAAAATTCCCTGTCGTTTTAGTGAGGTTTCAGAAGAGAGTAGACTCAGATAAATGTATTCCATCCTCCATCTGTAATCATAAAGTAAAACATTATTTGTGATGTAATGCTTTTAAAGAACACCATGAGAACCCTGACTTGATTTATTGAATCGTAGCACACATGTCCAGTGAAATTTCAAACAGTTGACAATGGCATTACCTATTTGTTGGCATGTGAGACATGCTGGACACGGGGGTGTGGGTAGAGAACAGAGGAGCCCATGAAGCCTGGCTCTCAGTGGTGCGCTCGTCCGCACACACTCGGAGATGCCAGCAGTGTTCTCTCTGGGTTGGCCTTTCCTGTGTTGTTTGGATTTTTTTTTTTCTATTTTACAGTGAGCATGTATTATTTTTCTGAAAAGAAAATTCTTCAAAAATAAGTTATACATGTTTACATATCACATTAGCCATTGAATACTAAGTTGTTTCATGTAAAGACCAGTGGTCACTATACACAGAGCGAAAGATTTCATTTATAGGTTTTTATATGGTCCTTCTTGTAGTGCCCACCTTGTACCTTATTTTCCTGGATTAAAAAACATACATATCACATTATTCTTTTCTCTGTTCCTGTTTAGAGACCCTGTTGTATTTTCATTTTTTCCCCCTCTCTGGGATTTGCTGCTGGCACTCAAGTTCCTGAAAGAAGCATTCTCTCATAGTCTCAAAAGAGTCAGAAAGAACCTCATTTTTCAGGTGTAGAAACTGAGGCCCAAAAAGGTCAAGCAGCTGGTCACGGCTAGTTAATAGCAGCCAGCGTCTCTTGCCTTTTTCGTCCGCTTGCTGCTTTCTGGTTTTTATCTTCTTACCCATGTGAGCTTCCAGCACCACCTGCTCCCCCCACCACCAAAAAAAAAAAAAAAAAAAAAAAAAAAGCTCCACTCCACCGGTCTTTTATAACCTATCAAACTTTAAGGATATTTTTCCATTCAAATCTAGTTATGCCACAGATTGATAATACTAAGATGTTTGTGAACTCACCAAACAGATTGGCCCCCCCATGACCTAGTGGGTACATCTGTAGTAATTGGATTTGGGGTTCATTCAGCCTCTTTCAACCAACATTTAAGTAGTTCCTATTGCACTGCCCTGTTACAAGATCAAGAACAGCAAAGCACTATTGCTGTGCTGTTTATCAGGGCATATGCATAATTGTGTTATGCAGAACCAGACATTGTCAAATTGAGATTCCGCCTTTCATTTGGTACAAATTTAGTTGCTGAGTGCAGTGCATTAGAGGCCTGCTTGGACATGCCTGGAGAGGATGAAAATGTTGCTTCCGTTGGTTGCTTCCATTAGTTGCTTCTGTTACCATCAGGAGAGTAACAAGATTGAGTTATAGATGCTGGTAAGTCACTTGATACATCATTAACAAAAAACAAAAACAACATTTATTGAGGACATGCTATATTTCAGGGATTTTTCTAAGCACTGTACATCTCTTAATTCACATCAACCCCAGTAAAGACAATATTCCCATTTTCCAGTTGAGAAAACTGAGGCCCAAAGAGATCGTTTTCTGCCCAGGGTCACTAAGGTAGTCAGAGGTGGAGTTGGGACTCCAGCTGGGCTTTCTGCCTGAGTTCTTAACACCTTTGTTTTACTGCTGCTTCCTGTCTTCGAGGCTTTACAGATATTTGCTAAATGAAGGATTCAGAGTTAGAAATGAAGGGGGCGACTGTGCCTAGTAATGGCCTCAGAGTGCTGTGCCTTGAGTGTTTTTAGTTTAGCTATAAAACTTGGACCATAGGGAGCAAGTCCTAGGAAGTACTGTGTACAGAAAAGTAGACTCTAGAGGACAGCCTGTGGAGGTTTCCCCAAATGCCACCACCTCTCAGATCACCCAACTGAGCTTCCACATTGAAAGACACGGGGCCGGCTCGTTCCGTGTCCAGACAGACACTTTCACTCTGTGCCTCCGGAGATGAGGCTCCCTGCTGAGCGGTCAGTCCTCACCTGAGGAGGTGGGGCGAGGAAAGGGGGTTGCCCACGGTCACTGTGGTGTTGGTGTTCTTTTTGAAACGAAACCTTCCAGTCGCAGACACAAAAGCCGTAGAGAGTAAGGCAGAGGATCGGCCATGCTTCTGGGAGGCAGGGGAGGGGAGCACCTGTCAAAGGGGACCCTTTGAGGCCAACTGGGGCAGTGGGGCCAGGTCAGGGAGCAGGGCTCCAGGGCCAGGTGGACAGCCAGGAGGCTGGAGTCGTGCAGTCCCTCACAGGCTGCCCTAGGCTTAGTCTGGAAGGTGGGGAGCGCCTCCTCCTTCAGAGACCACTGAGCTCTCAGCTCCCCATGGAGCTTCTTGGCACCTGATTTCTAGTGCCACCTTTTGCGGCTCCTGTGGAGAGTCCAGCTCACGGAGGCCCCCCAGAGCCCTCGTTATACCTGCAGGTTCCCCCCACCAAACCCTGCTGTGTCAGGAAAACAGAAGTTCAGTGGCAGCGCAGACTTATGGGTAGAGAAGGGTCCCCTGTCTTTCAACACTTACCCAAACACTAGAATGTTACTCATTTCCATGAATAATAAAAATATCAAATCTTTAGGTGACGTATCTTCTCCAGTGGAAAAATGAACCTTTTAGCTGGTAAACCTCTTGAATAACCGGCCAGCCATATTACAGTCGTGTTACTTAGGGAGTGTGATATGATGGGCCCTTTGAGAAAGCGATCGAAAGCCAAGGTTTCCGGGTGCAGCCTGCCCCCTCAAGTCCCCACTGAAACAGGAGGAGAGGGCAGGAGCGCCCGTGGGCTCTCAGTGGCTACGTTGCTTGTTGGTTTGCTTTCCTGCCTGGTGAGCGGCCACTGGAGCATCCTGAGGAAAGGGGAGTGAGGAGCAAGCTGGGGTTCGGCCCCAACCGGGGTGCTCTGCGTGCACTCATCAGGGTCCCCACCCAGGTGTGCTGGTGACAGGCATGAGGGTACTGTACTGGGGAGCTGTGAGTCACCACCTGAGGGGCGCCTGCTTCTATCCCAGAATCATCCTCCAGGTCATGCATCTATGTCCAGCCCTTCCCAGGTGTGGTCAGTCCCCTGAGAGCAGCGTGGCCGTGGTGCCTGCTCACACCTGGCATGGGTAGACCAGCCTTAGCTCGGGAGGGCATGGATGGGAGTGATGTGTCTTTTTTCTTTTTTTTTTTTTTTTACTTTATTAAAATACTGAGTTTTATTTCGCATGTATTTTTTTTATCTCCCCACCATTTCCGTGTCTGATCACCGCTACTACTATGTCCTATCATACTTACTTAAAACCATACATACTTAAAACCAAGCAGAGAGTGGAGTTCCATCTTTAATAACTAAACAGGCATTTTGGGCTGGGCACAGTGGCTCACACCTGTAATCCCAGCACTTTGGTAGGCCAGAGGGGAAAGATTGATTGAGCCCAGGAGTTCAAGACCAACCTGGGCAACACAGCAAGACTCTGTCTTCTACAAAAAAATAAAAAGATTAGCCAGGAGTGGTGGCATGTGCCTGTGGTTCTAACTGCTTGGGAGGCTGGGGTGGGAGGATCGCTTGAGCCCAGGAAGTTGAGGCTACAGTGAGCTGTGATCACACCACTGCACTCCCGCCTGGGTGACAGAGCAAGACCCTATCTAAAACAAACTGGCATTTGGGAACAACATATTCTTGGCAATGGAACCTGGACAGCATTGATCAAACATGGTAGGGAAAGTTCTCATTCTGCATTATAAAAAGGACTGCCAGATATCAACTGTTAGAGATACGAAATAAGATGGAACATTTTTAACTGTTTATTTTCTTAAAGAGACTTCCTGCCCTGCCAGAGATCTTGAATAGCCCCCTAGTCAGTCATCCAGAAGCCATTCACATAATTGATTTTCTTGGCTTCCACTCTGAAAAGAGAACCACCTTTTGCTATACTTGGCTGCATGTTTGCTTTAATGTCTTCTGCAGAACTAGGTTCTTCTGGTGTTTTAGGAGTATTTTCCTATTTTTTGAAGGATTCCTGACCTTTTCTTGACATTGGTGACTTGGAGTCTTTTCCATTCTGGTTTGATTGTTGTGCATGATTGGGTAGAGTATCTCGTATAGATTTCTTCACTGGAGATTTGTCTTCAGTTTCCTTATCATCATCATCATCATCTTCAGCAACAGCAAATTTTACTTTTTTCTGTGGAACCTTGCTGCCACCTCCAGGGGGAGATCGCTTTCCAGATATTCTGAAGAGTTTCACATCCTCCTGTCTCTGACTCTGCATCTTCCTCCCCAGCTACTAAGTGCCATCCATTGATACACACGGGCCCTGAACCACACTTCACCCACAACGCCACAGGTGGTGGTATTTCATAGCCCAAGGGAAGCCCTTGGCTGTACAGATGTTTTCAAAGCCATCAGTGTTACCGTAATCGGACTACCTTCATCATTCATTGCCTCTGCTTCAACAATGCACAATTCATCCTTTGCCCCTACGATCATTCTTAAAGATAGCTAGTGCTCATTTTCATCATCATCCATCTTAAAGTGATTATCTGTTTTTGGTGTTTTTTTTGTTTTTTTTTTTTTTTTGAGTTGATGGCCAGGTGAGGTGGAGGCCAGAACGCAAAGTAGGTTAATACCAATACCAGGTAACTAATTCGAATCTTAGAGAGTGGAACGGTGGGTATTTGACAAGTTCGAGGAGGCTGGCAGCTTGCGGGAGGGGCCGGAGCGGTCTGGCACTGGTTTCTCTCTGTCTCACCTCCCCAGAGATTGGACACACACGTGCACACAGTTCTGATATCGTGGTTTCTGGCACGTGACATGGTACCCGTGTTGCTCTGTGGCCCTGATCCCCCGGCTGCCCCTGCAAGGCTGGAGCTCCGGCAGCACCGCAGGGCCCGGTAGGTCCTGGCACACAGGCCGCATGCTCATTGGGTTGTGTCTGTCACCGACCCTCCCTGCTGTCATCCCCGGGCTGGACGTCATTTGAAGGAAGAGCCAAGTTTCAGCAAGAGTTCGTGTCTAGAAGGAAGCACTTGAACCTCCTCTGTCTGAGACATGGAGAAAGGAAGTAGAGAACATAAAAAGGGCCTGGAAAAGTGTGTGTATTTTCAGTGTATCTTTTTCACACCTCTACACTGCTTTGTCTGCTGGTAAACATATTGAAGGTTCTGGAATCAATTTCAAGATGGAATTGAAAAGAACTTATTACATCTTCTTGTCAAATGTTAAGAGCTGTTACTTTTCCTGAGACAGTACCTGCCTTTGTTCTTTGGATAAATGAGCTACTGCATTGTTGGAGCTTCTTGTCACCAGGTGCAGTAATATTGTTAACATTCAGTATTTCACCAGTCATGCTAGTGAAAGTGGAAGATGAAGCGATAACGGGCTGCACGAAGGGTGTTGAGCATTTAGTAATCAGTGCCCTGGGTGCCTGTTCTCCCCAAGGCTTTCTAGAACTAGAGTCCTATGTGGGAAATATGGCCTGTATCTGGAAATAATGCTGTGCTGGATTTATATCTTTATCCCTAGGAGTTTGTTTGACCTGTCTCAACCTTTCCCTGTTTAAAAAAAAAAAAAAATTGAATCTTCCAATTCAGCTAACACCGTTGAATTCCTCTTGTTGCCTGCAGCCGGAGTGAAGGTTCATTCTGAATGTGCATGTGTGTCCACAGGAGATTTTACAGCTGAGGAACCTGAGGCTGAGAATAATTTCATGACTTTACCATGTTCTGATTTGGCAGAGTCTGAACCGGGAGTCAGTTTGTTCTTCCATATGACTCCCTTTACTGAAAAATTCACTGAAGAGCTTTTCCGAGGAAAGCAGCCTCTCCTGGCCTTTGCCTATTTCAGCCTGACTTCTCTCCATCCGGGGCGCCTCTCCACTCCACTCCACCCCACCCTTCCCCACCCATTCCCTGGTAGAAGCTGCCAGTCTTCATGGGCGGAAAGCATGAATGAACTAGAATTTAGCTTCAACCACTGCCTTTTGAAATGAAAAATATCTGCCTTATTAAATTATACTGTTAATTTCATGAGAAAGGGATGATGGGGTTGGTGGTAGAAAGTTGTGGGGGAAGTGAATACTACCCCTTTCTTCATATGCAAATAAAACCAGGCTAACAAATCAGAAAAACCCAAAGGGTTTAAGGTAGGAGCAGCTCAGGTTTGTGAGGGAACCCCAGCTTGGTCCTGGGGTTAGCAGATCTTCCTCTCCAGGAAAGATAATGTAACCTTGGTACATGTGTACAACAAAGCTGGATAAACCACAGCATTGGAACGTTATGGTGGACTGTGAGCCATGGGTTGTCTCTATCCAAACATGTAAACGAGTGTCAGTGTAGAAACTGCAGACCAGCCCCACGTTACCAAATTTATACCCAAATGAAGTGTACCTGGCGGTACTGTTCATTTTGCCCGAAATCCACCCACACGGAGTGGAAAGATGGTTTCAGCATCCCTGGTGACAGGAAGGGCTGTGCACCACCTCTCCGGGTTTCTCATGGAGCCCCGCCAAACAGACCTAGCTACAGGCAGCCACATGCTGGAACCGGGAACACTTAGAGTGGGCACATTGAAGCCAGCTTGCTTCAACTCCTTCACATTGGGTGGTACAGACAGACCCGGAGGGAGGCGGGGACATTGGCTACATTTGAATGAAATAACATCCATTTAGAAACCTGAGCAGAGGCACATGTGTGCAGGGAAGCTAAGATACCATATCTCATCACACCTAAGGCACTGTTCATTGTAGTCCAAACCATTTTTAAAGAATTACCAAAAAAAGAAAAAGGAAAGTGAAAGATGTAACTTGATTTTAGAGACATTAATATGAAAAATGTATGTATTAGAATGGATAAAATAAGACACTTGCACTTTGAAATTAAGAAGGATTTATTGTAAATTTCAGAAGTCATCTACCGAGTTACAAACAGTACGAGAAGATTAACC
Organism: Homo sapiens; assembly: GCF_000001405.40. Lineage (NCBI taxonomy): Eukaryota > Metazoa > Chordata > Mammalia > Primates > Hominidae > Homo > Homo sapiens. The sequence goes on from NC_000014.9 coordinate 101,846,523, forward strand.
CAATTTTGAAGTTATGTAGGTGCTAAGGGTCAGGGTAGAAGTTAGTCTTGACATTTTGTAGATATATAGAAGTATTTCATTGTTATGTTTATTGAGCTTTCAAGTTGTAGAAGCTTGGATTTATAGAGTAAGAGATCCTTGTTACCAAAAATGAGGGCTGGCAGGCCTGTACCGGGGAAGGCAGAGCTTGTGTGTCGGGTTTGCCTGGAAGAGGGCTGAGGGCTGGGTTCATGGGCTGTAGCTAAGGGCCTTCTCTTCTGAAGGAGAACTGCCTACCTCTGGCTTCTTGGTTTCAGTTCACCCATGTCTCTCCTGAACAGAGATCAAGTTGGATCGCTCATCTGCTTAAAAATCCTCTGATTCAAATCTCTCTTCCCACAGAACTTTTTAGATTTTTCTATCAAAGCACCTCTGACTGCAGAGATTCCACAGAAGAGAAATGCCTACTAAGAGCAGTTTCTTTGAAGACCTGAGTTTTATCTTAAAAGTTTATGTAGATGTTGCATTCTACTCTGATACAGGTGGCGTTATTTTGATATAAATATATTTCAAACGGTACCTCTCAGTTAAATTACCTGAGTTTGTTTTCCTCAGATGGATCTGTTCATTCAGCAGACATCTGTGGTCCCACTATGTGCTGGCCAGTTTTAGATGCTGAGGATAAAAATGGTAAAAAGACAAAGTTCTCCTCTGAGAAAATTTATAATTAAGCATCCAGTATGATTAATGTAGGGTATATAAATTATTATCAATTGTTCTCGTTTTGAAGATACTGTCTTTTGAGGAAAATTGATTTTCCAGGAGAATGCAGCCTGATTAATATCTCCTGTAACTTCAGGCCCCTGTGATTGACAAGTGAGTGCCTCTAGACAGTCTCCCCATTTAGTGCAGCCTTCAGTGCCTTCCCAGCAACTGCAGCCTCTCCTCAGCTGTGGTTCCTGTTCTCCCTGAGCCTTCATCCGCATGTCTCCCAGCAGAATTCATCACCTCCCATATTCTGGTAGTTTTCTTTTAGATCAGATACTGTCTTTTAATGTATCTATCATCAGTGCCTAGCACAGTGCCTGGCGTGTATGTATGGGATGCGTTTGCGAAATACTTCCTAGTGATGCAGGCTGTGTCCTCATGGTTGGGGCTGCTCTTTTTTTTTTTTTTTTTTTCCTGAGACGGAGTCTCTATCGCGAGGCTGGAGTGTGGTGGCGTGATCTCAGCTCACTGCAACCTCCGCCTCCTGGGTTCAAGCGATTCTCCTGCCTCAGCCTCCCGAGTAACTGGGACTACAGGCACATGCCACCACACCCAGCTAATTTTTGTATTTTTAGTAGAGACGGGGTTTCACCATGTTGGCCAGGATGGTCTCAATCTCTTGACTTCATGATCTGCCCTCCTCGGCCTTCCAAAGTGCTGGGATTACTGCGCCACTGTGCCCGGCATGAGCCAGGCATGAGCCACTGCGCCCGGCCTTGAGACTTTAGTTCTTATATCCCAATTGCTCCCCACCCATGCTTTAGATCTGATAAGCATGTCATACCACAGTTTTTATTTTATCCATTTGCAAGCATAATTACTGATCTTTCTTTTAAGAGAGAATCTTTATATAAATAGAAAAAAATTAGAGATCACCTAGATCCTTATCTTAATTGGGAAAGTTTTTCAATCAAAAAATTAGAAGCTTAAATTCTTCAGCATGACACACTATGTAGAGGAACGTTAGAAAGTGTGTTGGGGGGCCGGGCGTGGTGGCTTATACCTGTAATCCCAGCACTTTGGGAGGCCAAGGCAGGCGGATCACAAGGTCAGGGGTTCGAGACCAGCCTGGCCAATGTGGTGAAACCCCATCTCTACTAAAAATACAAAAATTAGCCAGGCGTGGTGGCGAGCACCTATAGTCCCAGCTACTCAGGAGGCTGAGGCAGGAGAATCGCTTGAACCCAGGAGGCGGAGGTTGCAGTAAGCCGAGAGCCAAGATCACGCCACTGCACTCCAGCCTGGGCAACAGAGCGAGACTCTGTCTCAAAAAAAAAAAAGAAAGAAAGAAAGAAACTGTTGGGATTTCGTGAGTGCGAGTATGTCTTCTGGTCTCAGGTAGATCCAGGTGAGTTTAGAGGTCGTCGGTGTTGACGCATCTAAAACCACGCAGGAAACGGCTGACAATCGTGCAGCCGAATGTACCCCTGGAGCAGCCCAGGGACACCCCGATTGGCAACAGCGGGAGTTGGGAGAAGAGAGGGAGGCCAGAGGGTGGGTGTGTGGAAGGAGACTCACGTCTCACTAGGTTCTTTCCATTTTCATTTTTTAGCCATATGCATGTATCTTTAGCCTTTGTTATTTGAAATATAACTCACATACAGAAGCATATGAAACAAATGTGTAGTGAATAATTATAAAGCAAATACCCACATAACCACCATTCAGGCTGGGCACCCTAAAAGCCCCCTGTAAGTCTTTTATAGTTTTAGGGATTCCTGTTTCTTCCTATAAATGAAATTATACTGAATAAATCCTCCTTATCTGCCCCTTTGATGCAACAGTATTTTGTAAGGCATATCCATATTGTGTATAGCTGTATTTCATTCATCTCTATCGCTTTGGAATGTTACATAGACTGCATTTGCATTTACCTAATCCACCACTGATGGGCATTTGGTTGTTTCTAGTCTGAGCTGTTAGGACGTTGTGCTGTGGACATTCCTTTACCTCGGTTGTGATGGACGTGTATGTGAGTGTCGTGAGGTGGTATGCCAGGAGTGCTGTCCTGGCTGTCAACCTCGTGTATCCTCAACACCACTGATAATGCACTGCCCCGCCCATGGGTGGTGTTCGGGCTCCAGCCACAAAGCAGCTCCTTGAGGCACTATTTGGTGTTGTCCGTAGTGGTTTTAATTTGCATTTCTCTGGTGGTTATTAATGAGAGTGACGAGCCCTTCATACGTGGTTAGCCATTTGGATCTATTTTGTGAAGAACCTGATTAAGACTTTTTCCTATTCTTCTATTTGTACTCTGAAGTTTTCTTACTGAGTTATTGGACATGTTTATATATTCTGGATATGAGTCTATTGGTTATATGTATTCAAATAGTTCTATCCTGTGCCTTGCCTTTTCATCCTTGTGGATGTCTTGATGAAGGAAAATGTTTAATTTCAGTGTAGATATATGTATATAATTTGATCCAGTTGCTTCCTTTCTTTCTTTCTTCTTTTCTTTTCTTTCTTTTTTGTCCCTGTGTACCTAGTTGTCCCAACACAACGTGTTGAAAGGCCGACTTTTCCTCACTCCTCTGCAACCCTCTGCTGTCACAAGTCAGGTGTCGATTTATGCATGAGCCTGTGTGACAGCACAGAGCCTGGCTGTTTTCATTCATGAAGCTTTACAGGAAGTCTTGATTTCTGGAACAGCAAGTCCTCCAGCTTGGTTCTTCTCAGGGGTGTCTTGGTTAGTCTTAACCCCTTGCATTTCCACATACATTTTAGAATCCATGTATTCAGTTCCACAGAAGTGTGTGTTGGAATATGGATTGGGATAGCATTGAATCCGTAGGTCAGTTTCTTACTCGGGTAACTGTTATCCACAGGCTGCTAGAGCAAGCATCAAATCAATGGTTAGCTAGTAAAAGCTCCCCTCTGAGTCGGGGATGGGTGCAAGGGGCCGTTCTCACTGCTCCTCTCAGCGTTGCCCAGAGGTCCTGGTCAGCGCAGTAGATAAGAAAGAGAAGAACAATGTGGGGACTTGCAGATGAAAGGAAAACCAGAGGGATTTAGCAAGATAGCTACATGTAAAAGTGATACTCAAAAACCATTTTTTCTGTATTGCAACAGCAGTTAGAAAATTAAGTGTTTTTAAAGATACCATTGACGATCACATCAAAACATAGCAAATACCTAAGAATAAAATCTGAAAATTAATGTTTTGCACATTTTGAGAAGAAAATTAGAAGACTTTATTGGGAGACATTTAAAGAGAACTTGAGTAATTGGCGAAACAGTCCATGTTCATGAATTGGAAGACTCAATCCTGCCAAATTCTTAAGTTCTCCCCAGATCTGTATGGGAAATATAAAGGGCCATGAGCAGTGAAAACGTGAGGAGGGACCAGGTGCAGGAATCAACCAGACATTAAGTCTTCTAGGGCTCTAGAAACTCAGACTCCAGGTGGTGCAGGATGAGGCAGTGGCCAAGAAGAGAGAGAGCCCTGCCTGCACAGACACTGCTCTAGGACACAGGAGACACTAGAAGTCATGGAGAAATGGTCATTTCAAAAAGTGGCATGTGAATATTATCTTTAAAAACAAAATAGAACTGCTGAGCTTTTGTTTACTTGGTGGGGGAAACTCATCCTCTGCTAAGTTTCCTCATCTGGGACATAGAGGGGAGTGGAATTTAGTACATATTAATGATGAATCCCAAATTTGCCCCAAGTTGTTAGTTCAACTTTGTTCCTACTCGTTTTGTACTAAGAATAAATACATTTGAAAGACAAGATGGCACCGTCGCTAAATGTTGGCTCCTGCCTTTCCGAGAGCTTGAGCGCTTCTTTCTGTTTTGCGTGAGATCTCTTGTCTGTGGGCTCGCGACTTGCATAGACCTCCCCAGGACCCTGGGAGCACCTTGCATGGAAGAATACACTTGGGGCTGGCATGGTGGCTCACACCCGTCATCCCAACATTTTTGGGAGGCTGAGGCAGGAGGATCACTTGAGCCCAGGAGTTCAGGACCAGCCTTGGCCAACATAGTGAGATTGTGTCTCTATAAACAATTTAAAAACTAGCTGGGTGTGGGTGCATGCCTGTAGTCCCAGCTACTCAGAGGGCTGGGGCAGGAGGATGGCTTGAGCCTGGAAGGTCAAGGTTGCAGTGAGCCAGGATTATACCACTGTACTCCAGCCTGGGCAACATAGTGAGACCCTGTCTCTAGTTAAAAAAAATAAAAACGTGCATGGAAGCTGAGGGTGCTGCTTGACCTGATGACGCTGTGGTCTCTGTGTTTGAAACTTGGCTGCTTCAGCTGCTTAGTGAATATTACGTGAGTGACCAGGGAGTACTTCCCACCCTTGTGAGCCTGCACATTCTGGGGTATCTTTTGAGTTGTCACTGTCTAGGCTGGTAGTTTTTGCAGCTGTGTCTCCTTGCTCCATCGGGGTAATGCTTATTTGGAAGGCCCCAACATCTGTGCAGCAGAAAGTCCTGGTTCTGCTGTCTTTCTGCAGCTGCCATGCTGAAAGTTGGTCCTTTATGGTGTCTTGGAGCATTTCTTTTGACCACCAAGACTTTTCATGTAAATGTGGGCTTGGCTTCTTTTTTTCAATCAGTTTCCTATCCACAGTTTACATGATGCCTCTTGGTGCATAGTGACAATTTAGTAATTCAGCCTTACTTCCTCATATTCTATGATTTGGTGGCTAAGCATGTATGTCACAGCTCTCACTCCCTTCTGTAATTGAGGTACATGTTGCTAGCAACATCGGTGAAGTTGGCTGTGGTATTCGCCGTTTAGGACTCATTTACAAAAGCCTTCACTGCCCAGTAGTGGTCTCCAAACTCTTCTGTCCACGCTTGCCTGGCAGCAAAAACAACCTCCAGCACACACCTCCACTGCGTGTAAATTTGTCTGTTGAATATTAGTATGTTGTAATTTCTTGTTCTTTGTAGAAGAAAGTATAAATAGACACCCTGCTGTTTTCTTCCTACGTTCCAATCTTGAGTAACCCCCAGGCTCACCCTGCACTCTAGATATCACTGACCAGTGAAACGCATTCAATTTCTGTACCTCCCTGACTGTTGGGACCAGGAGCATGTATAAAGCTAGACAGGAATGCTCCCAGCCTACTTTAAAGGAGATCTTTGTTAAACATCTCTATTTATCACTGATTAATAACAGGCTTCCCTTTAGTAAATACGTTTTTTAAAGAATAGCACATTCTTTTTTTTTCTTTTTTTTCATTTTCTTTTTCTTTTTTTTTTTTTTTTTGAGACAGAGTCTTGCTCTGTCACCCAGGTGGGAATACAGTGGTGTGATCTCAGTTCACTGCAACCTCAGCCTCCCGGGTTCAAGCGATTCTCTTGCCTCAGCCTCCCAAGTAGCTGGGATTACAGGCACCTGCCACCACACCCAGCTAATTATTTTGTATTTTTTAGTAGAGATGGGGTTTCACCATGTTGGCTAGGCTAGTCTCGAACTCCTGACCTCAGATGATCCACCCATCTCGGCCTCCCAAAGCGCTGGGATTACAGACGTGAGCCACCGCGCCTGGCCAGAATAGCACATTCTTATCTCCACCTTCTTTCTGTCATTTTGGATGCCCTGGGTCTTTTCTCCTCTTCTCCTACGGGTTTTGCATGAGTATGTCCATGTATATTGCTCCGGGGTATGATTGAGGATTTATCTTGAAATATTTGGAAATTGTCTCAAATTCACAATAACATATTAATTAAATAATGGGAAAAGCTAAAATGATCTATACAAGTATGAGGCATTTGTAATAACACTTTACTGTTACAAATCAGAATACGTAAAGGTATGAAGCATATTCTTCCACCACCTCCACCCATTTTTGTTTCCCCGTGGTACAGTCCTGTCAACGCAGCAGAAAATAAGATTTTTAAAATATGTTGATGAAGAAGTTGTTAAATTAACTTGTATTCAAAAAAAAATGGAAATATTTGATAGGGCCCAAGGATGCAGTTTTTTACTTTTTTACCCAATTCATTGTTACAGGTTTTTTTTAAAACAGTAAAATTCTTTTAAAAAAAAAATAGTCAAATGAGATTTTTTAAATGAAGAAAAGAAATGAAAAAAAGAGCTCATGAGATTATAATCACAGGCATATCTGCTTATGGTCTATAAGCAAAAATTCTACAGAAACACCCTGTCTGGAAGCCTAGAAGAATTGAAATTCACTTGCCTTTTAGAACAGTTTGGATAGAAATTTTATTAAAAACCGTGTTACTCTGCTCTTCCTTCTTAATTGTAATAAATTTGCTTTTGTGTTTGAATGACAACTTAGTCTTTTATTCTGAGTATCAGTTACTGTGCAGTGTTTATAACGCGAATGATGCTTTTAGGGCATTTTGAGGCATGTAAGAGTGATTTAACTCCACTCTGAATGATCCCAACATCCTTTTGAGTTTCAGTTCCCTGAAAAGGGTACATTTGGCCCTCGTGTCCGTATCTGCCACTTCATAGCACCGTGGCCTTAGGCAAGCTGTGTTGGCTCTCGTACCTGTGTCCTCGCCTCTAGATCGGGGTAACGGCACTGGCTTGAACTGCTGTTAGGAGGATTTGGCGAGGACATGTTCTTAAAGGACTTAACTGGCTACTCCTTAGGAGCCAAGCTGTGCATAGCGTGGCTCTTAGGGAGAACGGTGGACTCTCAGTTCTCTGTAGTGCCAAGAATGTGAGAATGCCAAACAGCTCCAAATACACAGGCTGCGACAACACACACGAGCTCATTTAAGGTAATCCTGGCAAATTAGGGTACAAACAAAGGTGTAGAATTGATGAGAATTGAAGGCAAGCAAAGAGGTAATTCCAAAAATGAACGTTTTTCATTGAAAAAGACTGGATATCTGAATGTGAAGAGTCCTGAACGCTGTAATGACAGTTACTCGTTTCAAATAGTTGCACAGCCACTGAGTTCTCAGAGTATTTAGGAATAAAATTTTTGTTCTCATGGTGTTTTAGGATCCTACAGGCAGTACACCCCACTCCCATGGCCTTGCGTGTGTGCTTCTGATCTCTGAATGCAGCGTAGGAAACAGGGAAACCGTAGCTTCCTACAGAATGGGTCTGCTCAGACAGCAGAGTCTGTGTGCTTGTTATTTGCAAGGCTCAATGTTGGGCCTTTGGGCATATAGAGAACTAGAAGACATAGTCACATGGCACCTACCCTCAAAAAGCATCTAGTTGGGAGTAAGAGGTACTAAGCAGATAGCTAACTGTTTAAAGCACTAACAAGTGCCAGATGACTTGCTCAGAGTCATACATCTTACCTAGGCAGTAAGGAAAGGCCTTGTAGAAGAAACCTCAACAGGAAGTTGACAGTAGGGGCAGGGAAGGGCAAGAGGAGTGTGGAAATGCTCGGCACCAGAGGAAGCAGAGGAGCTGCAGGAAAGCAGCAACACCCCGCCGCCCCCAGGACACTCCCTGGAGCGAGGCTGGCATGGGGCAGTGGGTCTCAGGGCCCCAGTGCTCCTAAAAAACTCTGCAGGACGTGAAAGAGCACTCTTTATGTGAATTTAGCTATTGCTACTGACCTATTTGAAATTAAACTGGAGAAATTTTTAAACATGTATTTATTAATTTACTAAAATATAATAAACATATTACATTTTAACAGAAATAACACATTTTTAAATGATCTAGCCACGTTGGCCAGGCGCATTGGCTCACACCTGTAATCCCAGCACTTTGGGAGGCCAAGGCAAGTGGATCACTTGAGGCCAGGAGCTCGAGACCAGCCTGGCCAACGTGGTGAAACCCCGTCTCTACTAAAAATACGAAAATTAGCTGGGTGTGGTGGCGCACATCTGTAGTCCCAATTACTGGGGAGGCTGAGGCACAAGAATCATTTGAACCCAGGAGGCAGAGGTTGCAGTGAGCCAAGATCACACCAGTGCATTCCAGCCTGGGCAACAGAGTGAGACTCTGTCTCTAAAAGAAAGAAAGAAAATACCCATGTTTTCTAAAACAAAAACTAATTTAGTGGTAAGAGTGGCATAGTTGTATATTTTTGCAAATCTCTGCAATGTCTGGCTTACTAGGAGACATTAAGACAAGGATTCCCCTGTCCGCTTCTGCATTCAGTCTGTTGCCATATGTTGCTTTGGTGGAAGTTTGGGAAAACGTGGTTGGGAAGGGAGGAGTATTTTAGTAGCCTTTTCAGATAGTCGTGGACATTTGCTTTGATATTACACCAAAAGTTAGTATGGGTCGTTTCTTAAAGGAATCTGTAAGGTGGAATCTGAAACTATATCAGTAAAAGCCGTCTGTAAATTTTATTCCATTAAATCAAGTGGTCTACTTTGTACTTTGAATGGCTCTTTTGCCCTTGAATGGTGTTAACACTATTTATTCATCATTTGGAAAATACTTGTTCACGGAGTTATGCAAATCTCCTAAAACATTTTGCAAATCTTTGACACATTTCAGTATGTATGTCAGTCAGTCCCGTTTATTCGTGTCACCACTGATCTCCTCTTCAGCCCAGGGAAGATGTCACGCTCACAGTGGCAGACAGAAGTTTTCCAGACTTCCCAGAATACTGGACCGTCATTCAGAGCTTGGTTTGAATTTAGCTTCATCCACTTGCCAGCACTGAGTGATTTTCTAAACCTCTTTCTTTATGTCTGTTGTGCTGTTATAAAGATTAAATGGCAAGAAAGTGTCAATATGTGTAAAGTTTTTAGGATGATGTCTGGCCCAGGTAAGCACTCACTAAGTAATAGTTACCGTTATTGCTGTTTCTAAATTGCCATCATCATTAACGTCAGTCGTCATGTGTGATAAGCCTTGACTGTAGACCAGGATGAGGGAAATGCAGTGTGCTTGGTGGGGCTCTAAGGTGCTAACTCTTTGAATGTTTGGAAGTTAACAGTCAGTTTGGACTGTTACATCTTTGGACTGATGCCAGTTGCTCTGTCATCTAGCAAGCGTGGACAACCACCTGCCCTTCCCATGTTGTAAGCTGAGGGCCTATAGGCAGACATAAGGAGGCATCCTTCCCCCTCTGGTCTTTTTTACCCTGCCTGAACCTAAATTCTGCAGATATCACCTGGTGTCAATGTGTCCACGCCCTTTCCCCAGACATGGACCTTACTGGTTGCCTCTCATTCCACTGCCCGACACGGTGCCTGTGATCATTGCTGCTCAGAGAGTATTTGTTGAATGAACACATGTAGATGGAGTTTATTTCTAACAGTGCTCTCAACATGGTTTGAAAGAGTTAAAAAGCATAAAAACTTCCTCATACCAAACATATAATATGACCAGCGACTAGCTGGGTTTTTTCGTTTTATTTTCTTTAAGGAATAGCCTTTGTTTACCCCACCCATCTCCTTTTTTCTTGAATCTCTATTCAAAATAAAAATAGAAGAAAGCTTAAATGTGTTTCACAATAACTTTGGGTTAAGCACTTTTGTGATCAATATACTTTGCTTTCTGCTTTTCAGATGTTCCTCCTGCTGATCAAGAGAAGCTTTTTATCCAGAAGTTACGTCAGTGTTGCGTCCTCTTTGACTTTGTTTCTGATCCACTAAGTGACCTAAAGTGGAAGGAAGTAAAACGAGCTGCTTTAAGTGAAATGGTAGAATATATCACCCATAATCGGAATGTGATCACAGAGCCTATTTACCCAGAAGTAGTCCATATGGTAAGTGATTACAGTTTAACCAGTGTGTCCCAGTTCTGATTTATAAACAGGACAGGCCAAGATCTCTGAGCCTAACACAGTGCTACCCAGGAGAAGAATCCTCCTGTTCCAGAATTTGTAGTTGTGCTTGAAGAATGAAAATTTTCTTTGTATCCTGGATTGTAATGATAATAATAGGAAGGGAAGTCAGTTGTCTTCTAGGGACCAGTCTAAGTGCTTTGCATTTATTAACTCATTTAATCCTCACAACTACCCTATGGAGTAGAAGTGTTAGAATTTGTATTTCTATTTATTATTTTATCTTCTTTAAATTTTTTTAAAACATATTTAACATTAATATACTAGTGCCTTTTTATAGTTCAGAAGTAAACATTTTGTCCATCCATGTGCAGGAAAATTCTAATGATGGGATGGAGTTGAAATATTGACAGAACCAAGCTGGTGTCAGAATAGTTCATGCTGATTGGCTGAGAAGGCCTCCACCTGTCAGTGCTGGGATCAGGACAGCCCATGCTGATTGGCTGAGAAGGCCGCCACCTGTCAGTGCTAGGATCAGGACAGCCCATGCTGATTGGCTGAGAAGGCCTTCCTCTGTCAGTGCTTCCTCTGTCATTCCTCTATCAATGACAGTATGTCCTGACTGGCTGAAATAGTCTTATCATCCTGCAGTTAGTTCACTGTTGGTTTTATTCAGCCCCCAGATCTCAGTCCTCTGAAGTGTCAAACTTTACAGCCCATTCCTCAGTCAGTACCACCTGGAAACACTTCATTCAGTGCCATTACCAAAATTCATTGTTTGACGCTGAAATCCAGTTTTCTGTTGATTTTTCTTGAATTGTTGATATTTTATCTGCCTTTGAAACTAGTACCCCCCACACACACACTTACTGGGGAGTCAGTGTGGCTTAGTGTAAAATGTTAAGTCCAATTTTCATTGAACTCTTTGTTAAGTTACTGATTTTTTTTTCCAAAGCTATATATTTCAGAATTGACTGGACTTCTTGACCTAAAATACTTTTATTTCCTTCTTTAGTATGTTTGCTTTGGAAAAAGATGAAAGTAATGTTCTTCGTTGTAGTTCAGTCTACTGTGTCAGAGGTTGAGATCAACTTGATTGTTTTAACTTGTTGTTTTTAACTCTTAAAGTTCAGAATTCACTGGCATGGCTACCATGTAGTCGGCCTAAGGACTACAAAGGCCATGCGGGTTCCTGTCCCAGACTTGTGCCTGAAGAAGAGTAATAGGCATAAACTGAGCAGAGAATATATACCCTAAAACCTTACCTGTTCAGACTAATGACACTTGGGGAATAGCTTTTTTCTTTCATTAATTTTAACTCTCAATTACTTTGGAGGCCCACTCTAGCCCCAGAATCATAAAAATCTCTAATATTTTCTCCTATTACTTTCATAATTTTGTTTTGCGCATCACATTTTATAATCTTTTTTCTTTTAGGTATGGATATGTAATAGTTGTACATATTTATGGAGTATATGTGATATTTAGGTAGAAGCATAGAATCCGTAATGATCAAATCAGGGTAATTGGGGTTTCCATCACCTCAAGCGTTTATCATTTCTTTGTGTTAGGAGCATTCCAGTTTTTTTGTTTGTTTGTTTTTTGTTTTTTGTTTTTTTTTATGATGTGGGTTAGGGATAGAACTTCATTTTCTTTTAAATTTATTTTCTTCTAAAATTATTGAAAAATTATTTCTCCCTACATCATGTATTGACTATTTCATTTCCCCCTATTGCTTAATGCTTCCTTATTATGTGTTCATTTTATTTTACTGTATGTTAGATTTATAAGTATATAAATTCTATATTAAGTTTACACGTGTGGAAGATTTTCCTATGTTTAAGAAAGTCTCTGATTCCCACTCTTTAACCTAAGAGGGAAGAATCTACAAAGAATGACAAGACTCCCGCTGGCCTGGTTCAGGTCAAATGCCCGCCCTTGAACCGAGTGTGCTCCCGACTGCTTGAAACCGCCTCTCGTTTGTATTTCACAGTAGCAGTGTGGGTTACTGGCACCACTTAGGATACTTAAAAGCCCTTGAGGCTGTTTTTATAGATTAAGTCATCATTGCCTCTCCTCTCCCTGTCATAATTGTTTCCTAACTTGATTCTCCTCCTGCTGTATTAACTTGTTTCCCACCCAAACCTCGCGCTGGGCTCCAGAGCGTTGCCAGCCCCTGGGCTCCCTAAGCAGTAAGCAGACACTGAGCATCCATCATGGGCCAGGCACGTTTTGGGGTGAGGAAATAGAATGGCGAACAAGACTTCTGCCCTCCTAAAGCTTTCATTTTCACCTAAAGCTTTCATTTTCACGTGGGAGACAACCATAAAATAAGCCAACCAATAATTTTCATTTTAGATTACGGTGATGCCGTGAATAAAAGTAATCCAGATGAAATAGATAGGGTTGCAAGACTGGGAATGTGATTTCTGCCTTATGCCCACGTGGGCGGGAAGAAGGCGCAGAGTGGAAACTGGGTGATGAATTAGACTGTCCTGTGAAGATGGGCACACATGAGATGCTGTCTGTGGTCACTGTGAGAGCAGGGGACATTTTCTTTCCTTTCTGCTCTAAGTTCAGAAGGCAACATAGCCTTTCCCTACCCCTTGTTTGTCTGGATCTGGAGGTAGAATAGGGGATGGGGACAGATTGGATTTTTGGTTTTGTTGTTTTGTTCTGTAGCTAGAGGGCATTGATGAGAAGTATAGTGAAAGAAGGAAGAACACAGGCGGTGGGGTGGTGCCTGGCCTTGGTTTGTGACCCTCTTGTCAAGAATTTAAGCAACCAGTACAAGGCCTCTGTCCCAAGCAGTGCCTGGGCCTGGTGTGGCAGGCAGCAAAAGCCTGGGCCTCTTTGTGGTTCACGTCTGATGAGAAGCTCTGCAGCTTAGAGCCCCTGTGTGCCCAACACTTAAGCAGCCTTTAGCCATGCCTGTTTTTCTCTTTGTTTCTTATTGGGGATGGGGGTGTGTATATTTTGGTCATAACAGTTTTAGAGACATTAATTTCCACTTTTTTTTTTTTTGAAGAATCCAAAGCTTTATAGTTGTTGTACTCCTGATGCTGCTACTTTTAAGTATCCTGCTTATTAGACTGGACTGCTAGATGGTTTTTTTTAAACAGATCTACTGAGGTATTATTCACATAGCCTAGAATTCACCCATTTAAAGTGTATGAGTCAGTGATTTTTAATATGAATATAGAATTGTACAGCCAGTATCACATCTGGTTTTAGAACAGTTTCATCCCCTCAAAAAGAAATCCTGTACTCATTAATAGTCACTGCCATTGTTCCCTCCTCCCTCACCCACCCCCAGCCCTGAGCAACCACTGATTGACTGTTCATCTCTATGGATTTGCCTGTTGTGGACATTTCATGTAAGTGGAATTACAGAATATGTACCCTTTGGTGTCCGCCTTCCTTCACTTAGCATAATGTTCTCAAGGTTCATCCACGTGCCAGTACCTCATGCCTTTTTATTGCCCCATAATATTCCATCATACAGATATACTACGTTTTATTTATCCACGTATCTGTTGATGGACACTATATTATGTCCATTTGGGGGCTGTTATGAATGACTGTTGTGAACATTGATACGCAAGCTTTTGTATGAACGTGTGTTTTCGTATCTCTTGGGCATATACCTAGGAGTAGAGTCGCTGGGTCATATGGTAACTTTAACATTTTGAAGAACTACCAGACCGTTTTCACAGTGGCTGCACCATTTTACGTTTGTATCAGCAGTGTACGGGAGTTCCAGTTTCTCCATATCCTCAACACTTGTTATGATCTGTTTTATTACAGCCGTCCTAGTGGGTGTGAAGTGTACCTCATTGTGGTTTTGATGTGCATTTCTCGACAACCAGTTGTGTTGAGCATCTCCTTGTGTGTTGTGTATTTTTATACATCATAGACTTCAGACCTAGAAATTAATGGAAACGTCCTGATCATCTAGCTTGACCCTTTTCTTTTCCAGATAAAAAGGCTTATTGGGTTCAGAGAGATGCGGGTGGTGAGGAGCAATTCCCAGGGGAGCCAGTTCTTGGCGTGCAGTTTCCCAGGCCTAAGTTATACCAGCTCCATCATTAATTTCAGCCGTATTTAAATATAATCAGCCTCCTGTTTTTTCAATTAAATTATCTAGTTAATCTGTTTCTCGGGCACAGACCTTCTTCTGATAGTCACAATACCAGTAGCAAAACTAATTGTAGCTTTTAAAAAACTCAATGTAGTAAAAGTAAAGCTGCTTTGTTAACAGTAACTAAAGAGTTAAGGTTAGGGGTTGCACCCTTTCAAAATCTGAAACTTTGACATATCTAGCAGTTTTTACATGGTTTCAGAGGGTTCAAGCCTCTTAGAGCCTACAGTAGACCCCAAATTAGGAAACGTAGAGTCTCTTCTAAATCGGGATTCTCATCCAAATCAGGGGATCACAGATACCTGGTCTCCTTGAGAGCCTTTCGGAGGGCCTGTGATGTTAGAACTATTTCCATCATACTGCTAAGACTTTAATTGACTTTTTCACTGTATTGAAATTTGTACCGATGGTGCAGAAGCAGTAGTGGGTACAACATTGCGCACCTTAGCAAGAAGCACAGTGATGGCACCAAGCTGACAACCACACACCCCAGTAGAAATAGAAACAGCCAGTTTCACTTAGTGGTCTAAATGAAGCAATAGAATAGATTAATTGTATTATTTCATGACCCTTGTGCACACATGGTCTTAGGACTCTATGATGAAATGTGAAGGTTTCATAAAGCTCTTCTGCTGCCGGCGCCAGTCAGGAGGGAGAGCGCTTGTGGGATGGAGCTGCCAGCCAAACATGCCGCTGTTTTCATGGAACACCATTTTTACCTGAAAACTGACAGACAAACCAGTTATTCGGACTTTGAATATTTGGCAGGCATCTTCTGAAAAAATAAGCAAAATGAGAAAGTCACTTTAAGGAAAATAACTGACAGAGTTTGTTGTCAGTGATAAAATGTGAGCTTTCTAGGGAAGTTTTGTTTCATTTTGTTTTTAGAGATGCCGTCTTGCTCTGTTGCCCAGGCGGAGTGCAGTGGCACAGTCATAGCCCACTGCAGCCTCGAACTTCTGGGCTTGAGTGATCCTCCCACCTCAGCCTCCTGAGTAGCTGGGACCACAGGCTTGCACCACCATACCCAGCTGATTTTTTAAATTTTTTTGTAGACACGGGGTCTCCACTCTATTGGCCAGGCTGGTCTCGAACTCCTGTGCTCAAGCAATCCACACGCCTCAGCCTCCCAAAGTGCTGGGATTATAGGCATGAACTATCGCACCCAGCCAGAAATTTTCAGTTTTGGAAAATTTGTATGCACCAGGGTGAGCTTCAGCCTCCCAATGCTGCAGACACTCCTGCTGAGCTCAGTGGTGATGGGAATGAGTGGGATTTTTAATAGATATGATGAAGTGAGTCACCACTTGGAAGAGCCACCTAACTCAATGAACAAGTATTTTCCAAATGACCGGTAAAGGTTACAGAGTCATTTGTGGCAAGAGAGCCATTCAGAGTGCGCGATCCAGCACTGGATTTGAATGTGAGAGTATAGACCCCTCACTGATAAGGTTTCAGCACCCATGCAGGAGCTCACCCCTAATAAACTACTACTGGTTGAGTTTTGATGTAGACAATGACCTAAAAACACTATTAGATAGATACTCCTCCCTTGTCAACTACATTGTCTGTGTGAGACCAGACTTTCATCCTATATTTCAACCTAAACATTCTGAACACAGAAGCAGATATGATAATCTAGCATTTTTCTATTAAAACAGACATTAAAGAAATTTACAGAAATGTAAAACAGTGCCACTTTGCTCACTTAATTTGTTCTGGAAAATATAGTTATTCATAAATACATGTCATTTACACTAAGACATGATGGATTTTTTTTTTTTTTTTTTTTTTAGATGAGGTCTTGCTCTGTTGCCCAGACTAGAGTGCGGTGGCATGGTCATTACTCACTGCAGACTCAAACTCCTGGGCTCAAGCAATCCTCCCCCTCCCCCTGCCTCAGCCTCACAAGTAGCTGAGTCTACACTGCAAGTGTGCGCCACCACAACTGGCTAATTTTTTTTTAAAGAGATGGAGTCTGGGCCAGGTGCAGTGGCTCATGCCTGTAATCCCAACACTTTGGGAGGCCAAGGCGGGCGGATCACCTGAGGTCAGGAGTTCAAGACCAGCCTGGCCAACATGGTGAAACCCTGTCTCTACTAAAAATACAAAAATTAGCTGGGTTTGGTGGCACACTCTTGTAATCCCAGCTACTTGGGGGTCTGAGGCAGGAGAATCGCTTGAACTTGGAAGGCAGAGGTTGTAGCGAGCCGAGATTGAGCCACTGCACTCCATCCTGGGCAACAGAGTGAGACTGCTTCTCAAAAAAAAAAGACATGGAGTCTGGCTATGTTTCCTGAGTTGGTCTTGAACTCCTGGCCTCTAGTAATAATCCTGCCCCAGCCTCCCAAGTTGGGATTTTTTTTTTAATTTCTGTGGTTTAATTTATAATATGGCCAATATCAATAGATATAGTTCTTATAAACAAAAGTTCTTTAGGATTTGCAACCGTTTTGAGGAGTTTAGTAGGGGCCTAAGACCAAAAAGTTTCAGAGCTACTTTTCTAAAACAGTGCCACTCAAAGGCTGCAGCTTCAACAGCCTTTAGGCTTGTTAGAAATGCAGATTCTTGGCCAGGTACGGTGGCTCACACCTGTAATCCCAGCACTTTGGGAGGCCAAGGCTGGCGGATCATGTGAGGTTGGGAGTTCTAAACCAGCCTGGCCAACATGGTGAAACCCCACCTCTACTAAAAATACAAAAAATTAGCTGGGCGTGGTGGCAGGCGCCTGTAATCCCAGCTACTTGGAAGACTGAGGCAGAAGAATCACTTGAACCCGGGAGTGGGAGGTTGCAGTGAGCCAAGATCGCACCACTGCACTCCAGCCTGCGCACCACAGAATAAGACTCTGTCTCAAAAAAAAAGAAATGCAGATTCTTTGGGTCCCACCCTAGACCTGTGGACTCTCTGGGGGTGTGTTGCAGTGCTGTGTGTTTTCAGTGCTCTCCAGGTCATCCTCAGGCAAGCCAAAACTTCAATAACTGTTTTGAATAATCGTCCTGCATTGTCCCATCTTTGGATCGTCAGTTCCCCCAGAGAACAACTTGTTATACTCTTGCATTTCTTCCACTGAATTCAGCACACTGCCTTTTATAGACTCAATAAATATTCATTCAATATGAGGTTTTCTGCATAGACTTGGGCATTAAGACTCGTCTTAACAGTCACAGATGAAAATAACCTGAAGATCAGAAAAGGAATTGCTTGGATTGGTGATTGAATGAGTCGGATGACTCAGAAGTACTTCGCATTAGAGTGGACCTCTCCAGAAATATCCAAATCTATTGTGCTGGACCACTGAGAACGCAACCTGGTGTACTCAATCATGCAAGAAATGTGTATTGCAGACACCATGCTACCTCTTGGGGCTACCCCAAGAACTAAAATAATATAGTCTCTACCTATATGGCATCCACCCTTACTGGTCTGGGAGACAAGAAGAGGCAGCAGACGTAATGATACGAGGGCCAAGGACTGCGGTGGCGGTCAGTGTAAGGTCTGGTAAGAGCACAGGCATAGGAGGCCTAACCCCTTGCCTGGGCGCCCCAGAGAAGTGGCCTCTCTACACCAGCGGCCAGTGCTTCAGGACTAGCTGGCTCAGTGAAAGCAATATAGAGGAGGGAAGGGGAGGGGAGTGTTCCCAGCAGAAGGAACAGCTCCTCTAAAGCCCAAAGACTAGAGAAAGTAAGACGTGTTTGGGTTTGAGCCAAGCCTGGAGCTCCCGATTGGGTGGGCTAGAGTCTGGATCCTGGGGAGCTTGATGGAACCCGAGGACCTGAGGTTGGGTGGGAGAGCTGGGACCACCCCGTTTGCTCCGGCTGCAGTGTGAAGAATAGGTGGGAATGGGTGTCAGAATGACGCATGAAGGGACCAGCTCAACATCTGCTGCGGCATTTCAGGAGAGAAGTGGTGGAATGAGCCAAGCGGCTTTGATGGCAGAGAGAAATGGGCAAATGCAGAGATGTTAAGAAGGTAGAAACACGATTCGGGGTGGATTTGTTTGAGATTCCTGGGGAGAGGAACCAACGCGCAGGTTTCTGACTTGAGCAAGTGGAATGCTGGTTCAGGGGAAAGAGCATGGGCCCTGGTGTAGGAAAGGCCTGAGGTGGGTCTCATCTGCTAACATTATTTAGAGCTCTTTGGGTTAACGGGGGCAGGCACCCAATTCACTGTTGTTTACACTCACAAGGGAGTTTACCAGGCAGACACTGGGTCTCTCACACTTAGTCCACAGAGTCACAGGGACAGCTTTTCCTTCCGTGTCCCATGTCCCCGCTCTCTGTATGCAGCCTTCCTTCTTTGGGGCATCCCTCTATGATGACAGAGGAAAGCATGGCCCTTGCTGGCTTGCCAGAAGAGGCCTGATGTCTCCTGTCTCCTACCTGCCCTTGATCCCGTTGCCGTAACTAGGGAGATGGGGTACTGTGGTTGTGACTCAGACTGGGTCATGTGCCCACCAAACCATGCGATAGAGTCAAGGAGCAAGAATTCCCCAGAAGGGAGGGAGTCGTGTGCTTCTCTGGGCAGATGAAACGGTCGGATCTGTACCCAACTTTAATCTGCTAACTGTGCTACTTTGGGTGAACGGCTTGGTTCTGCAAGCTTGGTTCTGTCTGCTGCAGACAAATAGCTGTAATGCTTCTGCCTCACAGAGCAGCTAGGATGAAAGGGGAACACATGGAAAGCTTGGGCAGCCCCCGTGACAAAGTTGTCAGTGTCCTCGGAAGTGGCCAGAAAGAGACAAGCCTCCAAGATTTCTCAGAATGCTTACCAGGGGGACGCCTCAATGCAGCCTTCTTTCTTCATATTCGTACGGGACTTATTTCTAATTCTCGCTCCAGACTCTGATATCTTGAGGTTACTTAACTTTTTTTTGAGACAGAGTCTTTCTCTGTCGCCAGGCTGGAGTGCAGTGGCGTAATCTCGGCTCACTGCAACCTCCCAGGTTCAAGTAATTCTCCTGCCTCAGCCTCCCAAGTAGCTGGGATTACAGGCATGCGCCACCACACCCAGCTAATTTTTGTATTTTTAATAGAGACAGGGTTTCACCATGTTGGCCAGGATGATCTCAAACTCCTGATCTCAGGTGATCTGCCCACCTCAGCCTCCCAGAGTACTGGGATAACTGGCGTGAGCCAGCGCCCAGCCTCTATTTTCTTATTTAGAAAGTTATCATGCTGTGGAACTACTTCATAGAGAGTTAGTTAGATTAGTTTAAATGGTGATTGGAAGATTAAAAATACATGGTCTGAAGTATGATTTCATGTTTGTAACATATAAATAAATTCATGAAAATAAAATCAAACTTAGGGAGAGAAAGTAACTTGTGAAATACTCTACAGAGTACGGTGACCCAGCCCTGTGGCACCATCCACACCACAGATTGATTTGGTTCCATTTTATCGATAGATTTTTAAAATAAAGCTGAAGGCCTCGCCAACATGGTGAAACCCCATCTCTACTAAAAATACAAAAATTAGCTGGGCATGGTGTTGCACACCTGTAATCCCAGCTACTTGGGAGGCTGAGGCAGGAGAATCGCTTAAACCCTGGAGGCGGAGGTTGCAGTGAGCCAAGATCACGCTACTGTGCTCCAACCTGACGGACAGAGCAAGACTCCGTCTCAAAAAAATAAATAAATAAATAAAAAAGCTGAAGGAATATAGTACAAACTGTTAATAGTAGGTGTCTTTGGGTGGTATCATTAATTTTTCCCTTTTACTATACACTTTTGTAATTTTTAAAAAAATTCAGAATGGGCCAGGCACAGTGGCTCATGCCTATAATCCAACTTTGGGAGGCCAGGGCAGGAGGATCACTTGAGATCAGGAGTTGGAGACCAGCCTGGGCAACGTAGCAAGACCTTGTGTCTACAAAAAAAATTTTTTTAGGCCGGGCACGGTGGCTCACACCTGTAATCCCAGCACTTTGGGAGGCTGAAGCGGACAGATCACCTGAAGTTAGGAGTTCAAGAGCAGCCTGGCCAACGTGGTGGAACCCTGTCTCTACTAAAATTACAAAAATTAGCCAGGCGTGGTGGCGCATGCCTGTAATCTCAGCTACTCGGGAGGCTGAGGCAAGAGAATTGCTTGAACCCAGGAGGCAGAGGTTGCAGTAAGCTGAGATCATGCAACTGTACTCCAGCCTGGGCGACAGAGCGAGACTCTGTCAAAAAAAAAAAAGCAAGAAGAAAGAGAAAGTTTTTTAATAGCTGGGTGTGGTGGCGCACGCCTGCACCTATATGCCTAGCTACTCGGTCGGGGCTGAGGTGGGAGGCTTGTTTGAGCTCAGGAGCTTAAGGCTGCAATGAGGTATGATTGTGCCACTGCACTCCTACCTGGGCAACAGAGCAAGACTCTGCCTCAAAAAAAAAAATTAATAATTATGTACCACATTTGTCATCATCAAAAACCAGTAAAGATATTTTTCTTTCTTAAAAATAAAAACAAGCGGCCAGGCGCGGTAGCTCATGCCTGTAATCCCAGCACTTTGGGAAGCCGAGGCAGGTGGATCACCTGAGGTCAGGAGCTCGAGACCAGCCTGACCAGTATGGTGTAACCTCATCTCTACTAAAAATATGAAAATTAGCCAGGCATGGTGGCGGGCACCTGTAGTCCCAGCTACTCGGGAGGCTGAGGCAGAAGGATTGCTGGAACCCTGGAGGTGGAGGTTGCAGTGAGCCAAGATTGCACCACTGCACTCCAGCCTGAGCGACAGAGCAAGATTCCATCAAAAAAATTAATTAATTAATTAAAAAGATAAAATAAAAACAAGCTATCCGTATGTAATATAGTACTGTTTTTATCAGGACTCTTGTTGGTTTCCAGGGAAAACTAGTTGATCACATTATTTTAATCCGCACTGTCTGTAAGTGATTTGATGTTGACTTACACGTTTTATGGGCATGAGAGTGTTCTTAGGATCTGTTGGCCGGGTCCTGGGGGAGGTCTCACACCCTGCACCCCCAGATGGGTGTCCTGTGCTTCACTTAGGGACTGATGTGGGGCACGTTCCTTCTTCTATTTTTATAGCTGATATTTACAGTGTGTTCTGGAAAGTTTTACTTGCTATAAGGGTGATGATAGTTTGGGAGAGGAAAGAATGTGTTGAATTAAGAGGGATAGTACATTGACCAATGGAGTTGCAGTCAAATTTATTTCAAGTGAGGATTTAAATCATGCATTCCCAAGTACTTTTTGAAATCCAGAGAATGATTTTTCTACTTTAAATATCAGTAAGCTGTTTTTTAGAGGTTTGTTTGTTCTTACGATTTTGAGATTTTCCTTTGATGTTTTTAAATTATAAAAGAAATACATGCTTATGTGATAACAAATGAAACAAATACGAAAGCATTTTAAAAAGTTAATCTTTTTCCTACTTCACCCCTCCCCAGTTCTACCCATCTCTACCTCCAATCAGCCAATTCATGTTTATTGTATTTTCAGAAGGCTGCTGAGAAACTTTTGGGATGATGAGTATGTTCATTATCTGATTATATGATTGTTTCACAGATATATGCATATGTTAAATATCAAATTTTACACTTTAAATATGTACATTTAATTGTATATAAATTATATCTCAGTAAAGCTGGGTGTTTTCAGATGTCCAAACTTGTTAGGTATTTCTTTTGGTCTAGGGGTGCAGTGAAGAAATTACTAAGACACCAAGGGCATTGTGAACCAAGAAGTTTTGGGAACTTATGACCTAGTGAATATCTTTCCATAACTTTTTTTAAATTAATTTTTTATTTACATATAGTGAAATTCACTCTTTCTTGTGGCCAGTTCTCGGAACTTTGATAAATGTGTATAGTCACGTCTTCCGCACCACAGTCAGGATATAGAACAGTTTCTTTTGGTTTTGTTTGTTTGTTTGTTTGTTTGTTTTTGAGACGGAGTCTCTGTTGCCTGGCTGGAGTGCAGTGGCACCATATCAGCTCACTGCAACCTCCGCCTCCTGTGTTCAAGTGATTCTTCTGCCTCAGCCTCCCGAGTAGAAGAACAGTTTCTTCAGCCTCCAGAAACATGGCTTTATGCTCACTTTGTAGTCAGAGCCTTCCCCTTCCTTTCTCTCTGCCCCTCACTAGTCTGTTCTCTATCACATCATTTTGTCTTTTCCAGAATGGAAACTCCATAGAAATGGATTCAGTGTATAGCCTTTGGGTCTAGCTTCTTTCGCTTAGCTTGATGCATTGGACATTCGTCCATGTTGTCACACAGTTTGTTCCTTTTCCTTCTCAGTGTTGTCTCATTATATAAAAGTAACACCATTTGCTTATCCATTTCCTATGGAGGGATATTTGAGGTGTTTCCAGTTTTATTTGGAGCAATAAAACTTTTATAAATACTTACATACCGATTTTAGACATAAGCTTTTATTTAACTTGGGTAAACACATAGGGATGCAATCGCTAGGTGAATGGTAAGTGTGTGTTGAGCTTTCTAAGGAACTGCCAAACCGTTTTCCAAAGTGGCTGCCCCGTGTGATTCCCCCAACAGTGCGTGAGTTCTCATGCCTCCCGTATCTTTGTCAATATTTGGTGTCATCAGTCCTTTTATCTCATTTTGATTTTAATTTGCATTTCCTTAATGACTAATTATGCCAGGCTTGTTTGTTTGTTTTTTGGAGACAGGGTCTCGCTCTGCCAGCCAGGCTGGAGTGCAGTGGCTCAATCATGGCTCACTGCAGCCTCCACCTCCCAGGCTCAGGTGATCCTCTCACCTCAGCCTCCTGAGTAGCTGGGACTGCAAGCGCCCATCACACCCACCTCATTTTTGTATTTTTAGTAGAGACAAGGTCTCACTGTGTTGCCCAAGCTGGTCTCGAACTCCTGAGCTCAAGTGATCCCCCTGCCTCAGCCTATGAAGGTGCTGGGATTCCAGGCGTGAGCCACCACACCTGGCCCAAGCATTTTTTCCCTGCGCTTTTTGTCGTTTGTATATCTTCATTGGTGAATTGTCTGTTCCAATTGTTTGCCTGTTTTTCAATTGGGCTTTTTTTTTTTTTTTTTTTTTTTTTTGAGTTTTGAGTTTTGAGACTTCTTTACATATCTGGGTACAGATTTTTTGCGAGATACATGATTTGCAAATATTTTCTCTCAGTCTGTAGCTTGTCTTTTTTTTTGTTCTTAAGTGTCTTGTACAGAGCAAAAATGTTTAATTGAGATAAAGTCCAACTTAGGATTTGTCCTTTATCAGTAGTGCTTTTGGTAGCATATCTAAGAAGTCTGCCAAACCTAAGCTCACAAAGATTTTTCTCCTATATTTTCTTCATCGTTTCACATTTTACATGTAGGTCTGTGATCCATTTTGTCTGCAGTTCGTTCTTTGGCGTATGGATTTCCAATTGTTCTGTTTGTTGAAAAGACTGATGAATATCCATTGAACTGCTTTTGTTCCTTTGTCAAAAATCAGTTGAGCATGTTGTGAGTCTTCTTCTGGACTCTGTCCTGTCGCGTGTTTGTGTATCTCTGTTTGCCAGTCTCACACTGTCTTCAGTACAGTACTTGATAGTAAATTTTGAGATCAGGTTGTGTGACTGCTATAACCTCTTTCTTCTTTTTGAAAATTGTTTTGACTATTCTAGTTATTTTACCTTTCCATATAAATTTTAAAATCAGCTTGTTATCTACAAAATATTCTCCAGGGGTTTACTGCATGCAGTGAACATGTAGACTTGGAGACCATTGACCTCTTAACAGTGTGAGCTTTGCAGCCTATGTACACAGCATGTCTCCCCATTTTGGTCTTCTTGTTTTGTAGTTGTCAGCAAACAGATGCTATAAATATCTTCTTAGACTCGTAAATTAGTATTTTGGTTTTTGGTTGTCATTGTAAATAGATCTGTTTATTTCCCATTTGTAATTGTTTATTGTCTTGTTGTAATTATATCAGGTTTTGCTTCATGTTATATATATTCATATAAATATTCAGTGTATATCCCCTCTTGGTGAATTAACTCTTTTACCATGATAGATATGACTGTATTGCTGGTAATATTATTTGCTCTGAAATCCACTCCGTCTCACCTTAATATAGCCATTCCAGCGCTCTTCTGACTAGTGTTGGCATGGTATGTCTTTTTCTTCCCTTTTACTTTTGATCAGTTCGTATCTTTATACGTAAAGTGGGTGTATGGTAGATAGCGTATTGTTGAGTCTTGGTTTTTTTTTGTTTTGGTTTTTGTTGTTGTTGTTGTTGTTGTTGTTGTTTTGAGACAGAGTCTCGCTCTGTCACCCAGGCTGGAGTGCAGTGGCACAATCTCTGCTCACTGCAAGCTCCGCCTCCCGGGTTCATGCCATTCTCCTGCCTCAGCCTCCCCCAAGTAGCTGGGACTACAGGCGCCCACCACCACACCCGGCTAATTTTGTATTTTTAGCAGAGACGGGGTTTCTCACCATGTTAGCCAGGATGGTCTCGATCTCCTGATCTCGTGATCTGCCCTCCTCGGCCTCCCAAAGTGCTGGGATTACAGGCGTGAACCACTGTGCCCGGCTGAGTCTTGCTTTTTTATTCAGTCAGACAATCCCTGTCTTTCAGGGTGTTGAAACCATTTATTTTTCATGTGATTATGAATGTACTTGGGTTTAAATGTACCACCTTCCTATTTTTTTTCTATTTGTCCCACCTGTTTATCGTTTCTCTTCTTTGTCTGCATTCTTTTGGATCAATTGAGTACTTTTTATGATTCCCTTCTATCTCATTTGTTGGCTTCTTTATGATAACTCCATATTGTTTGATTTTAATTGTTAGTCTTTTCTAGAACACACCTTTAACTTATCACAATCTACCTTCAAGCGATAACATACTATTTCATATAGAATATAAGACATTTACAACAGTATACTTCTATTTCTCCTCTCCCAGCCTTTCCGCTATTATCATACATAAACCCCTCAATATCTTATTATTTTTGTTTTAAAGAAATTTAAGTGATTTTTAAAAATCTTTTTTTATTATACTTTAAGTTTTCGGGTATTAAAAATCTTTTATATTTACCCAGATAGTTACAATTTTCAGTGTTCATCATTCCTTTGTGTAGATTCAGATACCCATCTGATATCAATTACCTTCTGCTTGAAGGACTGTCTTAATATTTCTTATAGCACAGGTCTACTGATGATGAATTCTTTTAGCTTTCGTGTATCTGCAAAAGCCTTTCTTTTCTTTTGCCTTTTTTTTTTTTTTTTTTTTTTGAGACAGGGTCTTGCTCTGTTACCCAGGCCAGTGTATAGTGGTGCAATCACGGCTCACTGCAGCTTTGACTTCCAGGCTCAATCAGTCCTCCCACCTCACACCCCAACCCCAACTCTGCCCCAGTAGCTGGGATGACAGGCACATGCCACCATGTCCAGCTAATTTTTTTACTTTTTGTGGAGACAGGGTCTCACTAGGTTGCCTAAGCTGGTCTCAAACTCCTGGGCTCAAGCAGTCCTTTCATCTTGGCCTCCCAAAGTACTGAGAGTACAGGGGTGAGCCTGGTCTTGCCTTCAGTTTTGAAAGATCTGCTTGCTGGTATAGAATTCCGTGTCGACCGTTTTATCCTTGAAAAACTTTTGCTCGCCTGTTGTCTTGCTTGCATTATTTCTGATGAGATGTCTCCTGCCATTCTTTTCTTTGTTCCTTTGGACATAATGTACCCTTTCCCCCTCTGGGAGCTTTCACAGTTGTCTCTTTTTAAGTCATTTGATTATGATGGGCCTTGGCATGGTTTCCTTCATTTTGCCTGTGTTTAGAGTTTGTTTATAATTTTCATCAGTTTGAGAAATTGTCTCTTCAAATATTTTTTTCTGTCCCATGACCCTTTCTCTCCTTTAGGGATCCCAATAACGTGTATTAGGCTTCTTAGAGTTGATGCTGATGCTCTATTTCTCTTAATTCTTTTTTTTTTTTCTGTGTAACATTTGGATAGTTTCCTTTGCTTTCTTCAACTTCTTTAATCTTTTCTGCCATGTCTATTCTGTTAATTTTTATTACAGTAAATTTTTCATTTCACACATTTTTTTTAATTAAGTGAGCAAATTTACTTAAGCAATTAGAGATCTGTGGGTACATATTGTTGTTGTCATCTCTAGTGGTTTGATTTGTGTCTTTTTAAAATATCTTTCACGTCCACCTAACTTTTTGGACACAATACTGTATTCATGTCCTTGTCTGCCAATTCTAACATTTGTGTCATTTCAGTTTAGTTCAGTTGACTGGTTTTTCTTCTCATTATAAATCCTTCTCCTGCTTCTTTGCGTGTCTGGTAATTTTTAATTGGATGTCTGACATTGTGAATTTTGCTTTGTTGAGTGCTATATCTCTATTCATGTTCTTGAGATTTGTTTGGGGATGCAATTAAGTTACTTGGAAATAGTTTGATCCTTTCAGTTCTTGCTTTTTCAGATGTTTTAGGCAGGAACAGTTATATTAAAACCAGAGCTAATTATTCTCCACCACTGAGACCTTTCTGATTAGGAAGCCAGTGCCCTATGGATTATGAATTTTTCCCATCTGGTTGGTGGGAACAGACACTGTTCCCAGCCCCGAACAAGTACTGGGTTCTCACTAATCCTTTCAGGTGGTTCTTTTCCCAACCTCTGGTAGTTTTCTCACACAAATATGCTGATCTGTACTCTGCTGAATAGTTGAGTGACCTCTACAAATAAATCACTGTAGTTCTTCTCTGTGTGCAGCTGTCTCCCCTGTGGAACTCTGCCTTGCAAATTCTAATCCAGTTTGAATCCTGGGTCCCACCTGGGTTCTTTCTGCCTATACTACAACCTAAAAATCTATCAAGGCAGGAGCCTGGGGCGGTGTGGGACGTGCCTCACTTGTTCCCATCTCAGGGATCACTGTCCTTATCCTTCGTTGTCTGAAATCCAGTGTCTTGAAAACCGTAATTTTATATATTTTTGCCCAAATATTTGGTTGTTTCAGGCAGTAGCATAAACCTCATCCTTGTTACTCCATCTCATCTGGAAGCATAAGTCTGCTTCATTTATAATAGATACTCAATAAACACTTAACTCCGTCCACCCAGGGGATCTAGCAATTATTATAAAAATGAAAGACTGTTTGCATAATTTATAATGCCATAATTTCATACGTCATTTGGGGTTAGGGGAAATGGCTGTGCATACATGACTGGGAAGTGATAAGGAGTTTAGCTCTGAAACTTCCCTTCTCAGTTGATTTATATCACGTTGGATAGAGAGTATGTTGTTCTGCTATGCTAAAGCATTACTAAACTTTCTCATACCTTACTGCAAAAAGAAATCAGAATACATGATAAAGCAAATATATTAGAATGCTAATGGTAAAATCTAGATGATAGCTGTTCGCTATAAAATTCTTTCAACTTTATTGCATTGAAATTTTTCGTAATAAAAACATTGGGAATACATCATTCAGAATCTATACGAAACTAATCTTTGGCCCAGAGTAAATAACTTAAGAGCACTTCCAAATCCAGTGTTATCTTTAAATGACACTAGTTGAATTGAATTATAAGTATTATGAATTATTTCTTATGTATAAATATTCTAAACTCAAAAAATATAAACTCATGCACATAACTGTAAATGATTTATTTTCATGCTTATCTGAAGATGATCTTGTTATGAAACTGTAGAAAATTAAAATATTCATTGTTTGAAAAGTTTAGACTAAATTTCCTTTATTAAGTATTCTACAAAGGTTTGTAAGTTGTTTGTTTTTTTTTTAATTTGAGACAGAGTCTTGCTCTGTCGCCCAGGCTGGAGTGCAGTGGCACGATCTCAGCTCACTGCAACCTCCACCTCCCAAGTTCAAGCGATTCTCCTGCCCCAGCCTCCAGAGTAGCTGGGATTACAGGCCTGTGCCACCATACTTGGCTAATTTTTGTATTTTTAGTAGAGACAGGGTTTTGCCATGTTGGCCAGGCTGGTCTTGAGCTCCTAACCTCAGGTGACCTGCCCGCCTCAGCCTCCCAAAGTGCTGGGATTACAGGGGTGAGCCACCGCGCCTAGCCCGTAAGTTTTTATTTCCATATCTTTAACTGCTATTTAGGAACATATTTGAATAGATTGTAAAAATAGCAAGTTATTCAAAGTAAGAATTTTCAATGTTGTGGTTCTTTTCTTGACTGTCACATCATGGCATCTATTTGGAGGTGAAATCGATTCTTTGAAAGCAGCTCTTGCTGTGGAGGAAGCGCGAGGTAGATTTGTGGGAAGAAGGCTCTGCTCTCCCTTACCTCTCTTCACTGCCGAGCACTCATTGTGTGCCAGGGCCAGCAGGAAGATATTAAACCAAGGACTTCCCGGCCACCCAGTCATACTTGAGATAAATATTCCAAAGAAAATGTACAGCATCATAGAAGAGCTTAAAATTAGGGGCCCAATTAGGACTGTAATTATTTTGCAGCTGAGACGTAAAGGTTTAATGAGACATTTTTCACAGTTTCCAGGTAATTAATTGGTGTTGCAGTTAATAAGGTGACTGATGCGTGCTTTTCCCAGGATCCATTTACTCTCAGCAAGTGTTTGAGGACCTCCTAGGTGCCAGGCACAGTGGTAGGTGCTGGGATTGCTGTGCATTTATGTTCTCTAGATGATAGCTGAGTTCTGGTGCCATGAAAGCAGATTCAAACTCACTTTACAAATGGGGAAAGGGGTAGTATCTCCCTTTAAGACTGCTACTACGATTTTTACTATTCTACCTAAATTTTAGGTTAAGTTCATTGAGTTCATCAAAAATTCAGTTTAAGATTGTGTCTGCTTTATACATTGCTCTGCGAAGTTCCATCTTTGTAATATGATCTCATTCCACATCAAAGGTTCCTCCGTTTTTTCGGGCATTCTTCAGTGCCTTTTATTAGAGTTTTCTGCTTTCTCCATCAAGGCCTTGTAACTAGGTCAGTAATTCCCAGGCACTTTGTAGTTTTTGTGTCTGGGTAGCTGGAGTCTTCGTCTCTGTTTCTTTTTTGTATTTGCTTAATTGTTAGTGGAAAGGTGGTTGCTGTTGGTTTCATATTTTTGATATTTGCATGTGGTAGTCTAGTTGTGATGGTCTGTCTGTTGCTTCTGTTTTCCAGCTATATCATTTGCAAACAAATGACAATTTTGTACTTAAATATATATATATTGCGAAGGGGCTTAACACTTTCTGCCCTTCCCAGAAATGTATCTCTTAGCAATATGACTCGTAGAACCTAACAGTTCCATCACAGGAGGAAGTGTTCTGCAGTAACTGTAATTTGGCCTTTGATGGATTCATCTGTTATAAATCCTGTTGACATGAATAAAACAGAGAATAAATAACAGAATAACCCTTGTGGTTTTGAACAGAGAACTGTAAATAATCAAACCTTTCTTTCCTGTTGCCTCTAAAGTTAGACTGTCAGCGGTTTTTTTTTTTAATGTATCCCTTCATGTCTTAAAATTTTTATATGTTACACTGCTGCAGTTATGTTACGGCATAAATATTCACTCATTGGTAATGAATGATAACACATACAGAAAGGCTGCATGATATTGCTGAATTGTAAGAATTTTCCGTAAAGTTGCTTCTTGGGCCATTCTAGTTTACATCTAATTTAATAAATTTAGCAATTTGGAGAACATCTGCAGGACTGATGTAAGTACTGAAAGTGGAAGTGTCAGGGAGGCAGCAGAAGCAGGTGCTTCCTGATATTAACCAGAGACGGTCCTGGCACAGATGGGGCCGTGTGAATCACATGCAGACATACGTATGCACTCACGTGCGTGCCATTATTTTCATGTGGAGGTCAAACAGTCAGAAACGTTTGGGAAGTGCTGTGTAATGCTAACTGTTCGTGCATAATGTTTTCCCATTTAGTAAGTGCTGTTGCATGTGTTTTCTGTGATTCTCACCACAGCCCAATGCAAAAAATAAAAAAAGGATTTACGCTTTTTTTTTTTTTTTTTTTTTTTTTTGAGATGGAGTCTCACTCTATTGCCCAGGCTGGAGTGCAGTGGTGCAATCTCGGTTCACTGCAACTTCCACCTCCCAGATTCAAGTGATTCTCCTGCCTCAGCCTCCCGAGTAGCTGGGATTACAGGCACCCACCACCACACCCAGCTAAGTTTTGTATTTTTAGTGGAGATGGGGTTTCACCATGTTGGCTAGGCTGCTCTTGAACTCTTGACCTCAAGTGATCCACCCGCCTCGGCCTCCCAAAGTGCTGGGATTACAGGCATGAGTCACCGCGCCTGGCCTTTACCCTTTCCAATGGAGGAGAAAATTGAGGCTCAGGCAGGCTGTTTGGTCTGAGGTCCTTCTTCTAGGTGGGAAGAGGGTGTAGAGAGACTGTTTCCATGAGGCTGTGCTGCCTTTGTTGGGCAGCGTGATTCTGCGTCTGTGCCTCTGGGTGTGCGCTGGATCCGTAGGTCTCATTTGAGAGATCACAGTGACCCTGTGTGCTGCCCAGAAGACCCGGGACTCCTTAGACCTCAGAGCTTCTTTGGTGTTCACTGCATAACGTTGATGTCTTCTCTGTTTCCTCAGACCGGATCCATGCATCCAGGTAGCATGGCAGTGACATTTGCACACAGACATCAGCACCCCAGGTTTCTGTACCTGGGGCTCCTGCCCCTGATTCGCCCCTGCAGCTTTTGTGTTAAGAAATGTTGCTAGGTCAGAAACCCAAGAAGAATTTGAGGTGATAGACCGTTGGCCCTCTGTTCCTTCCCCCCGCCCCAGTATTACTTTTTACTTAACCTTTTCTAGAGATATGCACTAAATTAATGCAATGTAATGTGGTAAGAAAGGTGTGTAGAAGTTAGGAGTGCAAGTTTTTTTCCTTACACATGAGAAATGACTTTCAATCAATCAGAATTGGCCTGGAATGAACCTTCCCGGACCTAGGTCGGTCATCAGTCAAGGACGCTGTATCAGTCTGCTCAGGCTGCCGTAAGAAAATACCACAGGCTGGTGGCTTAAACCACAGAAATGTGTCTTCTCTCCATTCTAGAGGCTGGAAAGTCTAAACTCAAGGGTGTAGCAGGGTTTGTTCCCTGCTGAGGGCCTTTTCTGGCTTGCAGACGGCCACTGTGCCCTCCCATGGCCTTTGCTCCGAGCAAGTGCAGAGAAGGCGAGTGTGAGCCTTCTACCATCCCTCCTTACAAAGACACTAATCCTGGAGGGCCAAGGCCCCACTTATGACTTCATTCACCCTTCATTATTTTCTCTGAGGACCCATCTCCAAATCCAGCCACACCAGGGTTTAGGTCTTTAACATGAATGTGAGGAAGGGAGGCCACAAGCATTGAGTCCATGACAGACACTGAAAAGAGGACATTGTGTTCAGAGCAAGCCATCTGAGTCACCTTGCAGGCCCTCAGCTCAGCATCAAGGATTCAGTGAGTGTGCAGGTGTTTGAG
This sequence comes from Homo sapiens, assembly GCF_000001405.40. Taxonomy (NCBI): domain Eukaryota; kingdom Metazoa; phylum Chordata; class Mammalia; order Primates; family Hominidae; genus Homo; species Homo sapiens. The sequence goes on from NC_000014.9 coordinate 101,878,413, forward strand.
ACGGGGCCTAGCTGCTGGGCTGACTGTCACTGTGCGGGAGAGCTTCAACTGGAAACCCTAATCACTAGCTTTCCTGCTAGTAGAAACCACCAGTTTACTTAGGAATCTCAGCTGACTGGGTGCCTCAGTCAGGGCTGTGCAGAGAAACAGCAGGAGAGACAGAGATTGAGATCTCAAGGACTTGCCTTCTGCAGTGGGTGAGTCCAGCGGGCAGGTCTGGACTCCGTGGACAGGCAGCGGGCACGAGACTTGGCCGTGGTGGACACTGCAGGCCGCAGGTGGACTCTCCTCAGAGAAGCTGCAGTTTGGGTCTCACAGGCCTCTCAGCTGACTGGTTGAAGCCCCCACATTCTCAAGAGTGATCGCTACTTGAAGTCCATTGATTATAGGTGTTAACCACATCTATAAAATGCCTTCACAGGAACACCCACAGCAGTGTTTGGACAGCTGGGCACTGTGGCCTAGCCGGGTTGACACATACGGCCAGCTGGCACAGTCGGGGACATTTTACTTTTTTTCAGTTATCGCCTTTAACCACGATGGGTGAAATCACACTTTCCTGTGCCTAAATAACATCTTAGGCAAGTTGGTTAACTTCTTAGTCATCCCTGGTCACAGAAATCCAATCTAGGTTAAAGCTTTCATCTCAGACCCTCTGCAAATGGCATCTAAGCCGCACCCCAGGCAGCCTGGCCAGGGAGGGACATGCTGTGGGAGAGGAGGGGAAGCAAGGGTGGCTCCGAGCCCCTCTTGCCCGCCCTCCCCCGGGGCTTTGAGCAGAACCCAGAGCAGAGGGGAAGGGCAGCTGCCTGTTCTGCTCAGTTGCTCCCTGTGGCCTCGGCCAGAATGGTGGTCTCTTCCTCTGTGGCATGTCTGTGACTCTTGGGCAGCAGGCCTCTTCCAGAGGGACGGCTGTTTCCTCTCCCCCAAGACCTACAGCCTCGTCTCTGGGTGAGCTGACCCCTCTCTCCCTTGGCAGCTTCCTGGGCGGCGTGGCCCTACGGCTCCTGCTCTGGCCTCTGTATCCCTGATGGGCAGCCCCAGAAACCTCGGAAGCAGTGACCGTGCTTTCCTTCCAGGCGCCATGGTTCCTCAGGCCCTGATGTCACAGGCTGTTCCCAGAGTCTCCTGCCAGGCATAGTCCTGTTCACAGATTCCTCTGCCACCCAGAGTTCGTGCCCAGGCTCTGCCCTCCCCACACTGTGCTCTGCCCCTGTCGGCACCAGGCCGGGCCCACAGCTCTAACCCACCGAAGAACAAAGTGCCATCTCCCTTTCCTGAAGGTGACCCTGTCCTGTGGGTGACTGGACCCTCACCCCAGTCTCTTGGCTTTGAGAGAGAGGGTAGAAACCCCAGTTCACGAATGCCACACTCCCCGTAGGAGCTAAAGACTCAATTCAGACTTTCCTTTCTCTGCCCTTCATGGCCCTGGAAGTTATGGAGAGCTTCAGCAGTGGCTGCTAATGACAGGACCCTGGGAGGACATGGCGGCCTGCCCAAAGTGTGTGTGTGTGTGGCCTTTCCTTAATAGTTGAGCTTTTAGCATCTGCTTGTTCACGTCTGTGGGCTTTGGGGTCAGGGTGCCAGGAGGGGCAGACTAGACCCCTGTCTGCGCCGAGTGCCTGTGGGCCAGCAACTGAGGCAGGGCCGTCCACCTGTCAATCACCGTTCTTTGGGAGGCTCCTTGCAGTGCCCTATACACACACTAGCTTCACAGAGGAGGGGACAGTCCCTGGAGAGTAGACATTGCCAGAAATTATAACACCAGTGAGAGTCAGGTTAACTCTCGGTTTTAGATTGCAAACTTTTGTCTTTGTACCTATGTCTTAGGAACATTACTCATACTTTTACTAGAAGTGTTTTTTAATTAGTTGTTCCTGGCTTTTCAGCCCCTTTTTTCATCCCTGCGTTTCTACAGTATCCGTGAAGGCCATTACAGTTGGTCTTTACGTCAGCTCCCCTCTCAGATGACACAGAGAACAAGCTCAGATGCTTGATACTCAGATGCTTGATGCTCAGAGCTTTTATAGCTGATGACTTTCTGAAAAATGATATTAAGGTTTGGAGTTCAGTATCAATACCAGTAAAGAAGGGAAGAAACAGGCAGGTGCGGTGGCTCACGCCTCTAATTCCAGTACTTTGGGAGGCCGAGGCAGGAGGATTGCTTAAGCCCAGGAGTTTGAGACCAGCATGGGCAACGTAGCGAGTTCTTGTCTCTGCAAAAAATAAATAAAATTAGCAGAGCATGGTGGTGCGTGCTGGTAGTCCCAGCTACTTGGGAGGCTGGGGCAGGAGGATCGTGTGAACCCAGGAGTTGGAGGCTGCAGTGAGCGATGATGGCCACTGTACTCCAGCCTGGGCAGCAGAGAGATGCCCTGTCTTTAAGAGGAAAAAAGAAAAGGGAAGAAACAGCAGTGGTGACATTGAGTATTAGCTTGGTCTTTACAAGACTGGGTATCTAAAGCCAGCCAAGTTTGCCCTGGACTCTCTAGAAACATCTTCTCGTTGTTATCGTAGAGTCAGATTTTAATCTTTTATGTCAAAGGTTTTGATTTTGTGCTTCTGAGAGTGGTGGGACTGGGGTTGTGATCACCTATAAGAGCCATTCACCAGAACCCAGTTATATAACTGGCATACGATCCGTTCAGAGATTCAATAAGGTAACCAATCATATTTAGACTTAGTATAAAAGAGGGTTGGGCATGGTGACTCACGCCTGTAATCCCAGCACTTTGGGAGGCTGAGGGGAGCGGATCACTTGAGGTCAGGAGTTTGAGACTGGCCTGGCCAACATGGTGAAACCGTGGTGAAATCCCATCTCTACTAAAAATACAAAAATTAGCCAGGCATGGTGGTGCACGCCTGTAATTCTAGCTACTCGGGAGGCTGAGGCACAAGAATCACTTGAACCCGGGAGGCAGAGGTTGTGATGAGTCGAGTTCGCACCACTACACTCCAACCTGGGCCGCAGAGGGAGACGTCACCTCAAAAATAAATAAATAAATACATAGATTTAGTACAAAATAAAAATAGGTTATAAATGTATGACATGGAAACAGTAATCTTTTCTGTTTATGTCACTGATCTGTCAGTATGTGTTATACAAGTCCAAACAGACTGAGAGAAATCTAACAGCCCATGCCTGGGCGCACAGCCATGCTGCCCCTACCGATCCTCTGTGCCCCTGAGCAGTCCTTTCTCTGGAAATGATCTTAGCTGCCGACTCAAAGGTCGTCCCACTCTGACTGTTGCTTTCCTCATCGTTGCGGATTGCAGAGGATGTTGGTGCCATTGTCACACGGGTCCTCCCTGCGTGACGCAGCCCTTGCCATTTCCAGCATTTTCAGCTGTGAATCTCTGCTGCGTCTTTCGTCATCTCATCCCTTTCTTACTCTCATTTTGAGCATTCTCCTTGGTCTTGCACCCACTGGATAGTATAAGACCTCAGAAGTCATCACTGTGCCATCAGCCTTTGTTGGTGTTGGTTGTCATTCAAAGTTTGACAGTCAAGAGTCCAAGTAACTTTGGTGGTCAACTTGCGTGCGCACCTGTCCAAAGTGATGTTTCCTGCTGCAGTTTTGATCCAGGCTCTCTCTGAGGACCCACACAGCTTCTGCGTTTTGAGGATACGGAGGAGCTAAGTTACCATGGGAAGCGGCTACTGTTAGAATTACCTAAGACTTTATAAAATGTTGTCTGTAAATATTTTAAATGCCCTGATTGTAATTATAGAATATGTGGATTTTAGTTTGCAGTTAACATGTTTCGAACATTACCACCTTCCTCCAATCCTACGGGAGCGGAATTTGACCCGGAGGAAGATGAACCAACGTTAGAAGCAGCCTGGCCTCATCTACAGGTATCGGGCTCTGGGTGATAGACTCGGAGGGCACTGGTGACACATGGGAATGGCCTGGGATCCACAGAGCGGGCGCACTGGTCTGGCCAGATGGACCTCTCCTCCTCAGTAGCATGGGCCTCGTAAACCCATATGTACAAGAAAAATATTTCAGCAGAATAAAGTTAATGTGTGTGTTTGACCACTTTACAACAGCCAGTGAAGATGTGTAATTGTGAGTATGTTCTCAGTGAAGATGGCCGCTGTGTTGATGGCCGTTGAATTGAATTCAGGCCCAGAGGTCCTAAGCCAACAATCTCCCAGTTTTTGCTCCTCATATTTAATAGGTGCCTGCTGGGCCCCCAGGTCCTGCGCTGGCCACTGCCTTTCCCCAGGGCATTTGTAAGGCAGAAGGTTGGTTGGCAAGGAGGCGCCAGGGTCGGCATGAGCAGAGCGGGGGCCAGGTGTGCGGGTGGGAGGGCCATCCATCCGTGACAGGCGGCCCACGCTGTCCCACCCAGCATGTCTGCACAGGGAAAGAATTGTCCCAGCTCCAGGAGGTCATGATTCTGGGTCCACATCTTAGGGCCCTCTTACCTGGCAGCCCCAGAGTTCCTGTGTATTTGGTTGGCTCTGCGCCTTGGCATTGTGGGACACTCCTAGGCGACAGGCTGCAAATCCCCCCTGCAGAGTTGGGTCATGGCTTGGTTTGTGGCATCTGTGCCCTGTAGTCCCTGAACAGTGTACTATAACTGATGACATCAGCCATGGAGATCATTTTGTTTAAATGCCGTTTAAGGGTGTAGTCTGTGGGTTTCACCAAATAAAATAATTACCATCACCATTTATCATTGAATTAAGCCATGTAATTTAGCATTAATTCTGTAGATATGTGGCTTTGAGAGGCTAATATTTGCATACCAATAAAGATTCAATTTCTGGTATATTTTAACCGCCATTCAATAAAATCTCATGTTATTTGACTCATTGTTTTTTTTCCTCCTAGCTTGTTTATGAATTTTTCTTAAGATTTTTAGAGTCTCCAGATTTCCAACCTAATATAGCGAAGAAATATATTGATCAGAAGTTTGTATTGCAGGTAAGGTACAAATTAGCTGACACTCTGAAAGCCCTGATGGAATGATGACACCCAGCCACTAAGTGTCTTTTTCTTCTCAAAGCTTTTAGAGCTCTTTGACAGTGAAGATCCTCGGGAGAGAGATTTTCTTAAAACCACCCTTCACAGAATCTATGGGAAATTCCTAGGCTTGAGAGCTTACATCAGAAAACAGATAAATAATATATTTTATAGGTAAGTCACGTGTGGATGGCGTTGTCCTTGTGTGTGGTGATGCTCATTTCCCCCCTCGATGCTCCCCTACCCCATCGTCTCCTCTGACAGGACTCAGCATGTGGAGGGGGTTTCTCAAAGCCTATTTGTCATGTGCAGGTGGACCCCCTTGTGCACTGTGTGCAGGGGGCTGCTGGGCTCATCCTCCCTGCCTTCCTCCCCTCTCCCCACAGCTCCCTCCTGAGCCACCAAGCTCCCCAGCGCCTCATCCTGGGTCCCTCCATTGTTCCTGTTTCTACTGAAAGGTCAAGTTTCCTGGAAATGTGGATGAATTGGTTCCATCCAGACCAACTGTATTAGTGAAGGTTCTCTAGAAGGACAGGACGCATAGGATAGATGAATATATGAAGGGGAGTTTATTAGGAGAGTTGACTCACACGATCACAAGGTGAAGACCCACAATAGGCTGTCTGCAGGCCGAGTCCCAAAACCTCAAAAGTAGGGAGACGGACAGTGCAGCCTTCAGTCTGTGGCGGAAAGCCCAGGAGCCCCTGGCAAACCACTGGTGTAGGTCCAAGAGTCCAGAAGCTGAAGAATTTAGAGTCCAATGTTCAAGGGCAGGAAGCATCCAGCACAGGAGAAAGATGGAGGCCAGAAGACTCAGCCAGTCTAGCCCTTCCACGTTCCTCTGCCTGCTTAATTCTGGCCGCACCGGCAGCTGATTAGATGGTGCCCACCCAGGTTAAGGATGGGTCTGCGTCTCCCAGTCCACTGACTCAAATGTTAATCTCCTTTGGCAACACCCTCACAGACATACCCAGGCACAATACTTTGCATCCTTCAATCTAGTCAAGTTGACACTCAGTATTAACCTTCACACCAGCTTTTTCCTTCTACCTGTGCATCACCTCATTCTTCCCGTGGAGTCTCAGTGAGAGGAGGCGGGGCAAGAAGTGATGTCATTCATCTGTAGAAAGCCTGAGATCTGTGCACCTCGGTTAAAGGTTTGGAGACTCCCACTGTGCACCAGGGGAGGGAAAGCCCCGCTGGAGCAGCCGGTGGAGGAGGACAGAGTCCAGTGGCAGGCCCACCTCCAGGCCCGCCCCTCCCCAGCCAGCCTCTGCTCAGCTCCAGGCTCCTTCCACGCCAGGGCTCTGTAGCCAGTGTTGGAGCCTCCTGGAATGTCTTTTTTACACCAGCCCTTCCCTCAGCCTCCCAGGCTTCCTGAAACATCCCTTCACTGGGAGGCTCTGCCTGACTTGGCGGTGGGTCTGGTCTCCCGCAAGGGCAGCCACCATGTCAGTTGATTTGTCGCACGCCCCACCCCACTGCCAGTTTCGTGCTCCCCACTGCGGTGGCACCAAGTGAATGTCAATAGAGGAAACAGTTCCTGTTGTTTCTTTTTGTTCCTGGAAAGTTCACTAAATGAGCAGTTTCTTCTACAAGTTACAGCTTCTCTGGTCAGCTTGCCTCTAAGGCATCTGACTCCAGGATGTTGCGAGGTAGTGACACATCCTGGTGATGGTGGGGACGGTATGATGGCGTGTCTCTGTGAGATAAGAGCATGAGCAGGTCCCACACAGCCTCGCTGCAGGGCCAGGGTGTGGACAGAGCACGGGCCATGGCCTGGAGAAGGGGCCAGGTGTCAGCCACGCCCAACACGGGCCTCGGGGTCCTTTCTTAGTCACAGTGACCACGGGAAAAGAAAAGGGGCATCTGAGACAGACAGATGGCAGATGAGACCCCCCCTGCCAAAACCCACAGCCCTGGCCCCTCCCATCCCGTGCCGGCTTGCACAGCCTGCGTCGGGAGCACCCTGCCTTTCCGTCTGCAGTCATTAGGGCCCGCAGCCCCGGCCTCTCCCATCCCGTGCCGGCTTGCACAGCCTGCGTCGGGAGCACCCTGCCTTTCCCTCTGCAGTCATTAGGGCCCACAGCCCCGGCCTCTCCCATCCCGTGCCGGCTTGCACAGCCTGCGTCAGGAGCACCCTGCCTTTCCCCTCTGCAGTCATAAGGGTTGCATTCCCTCCTGACCTGCACACCTGATAGGGCATTTCGGCGTGAGAGCCTTTGATTTTGCGTGTGGCTTTCCTTTGAACTCCTTCCAAGTACCCCACATCTCGTTTGTAAAATGGAGCCCGGTGCTGGACATAGCCCAGACCTGACACATTAACTATAACAGAGAATGATGTCACTTTCCTAAATGTTATGTTTCTATTTTATGTTTCTTGGTATCATGATTCCTTTTTAACAAGATCATTACTTGCCTGGTATACTTATCTATGAAAACATAATATACATTATTTAACATACAACAGGTACAATTTAAATTTCCAGTCTTCTTGACCTAAAATTAAAGCTCTACCTAACATATTTCTGTTTTCTTAATTCTAGTAGGTTTTGTTCAGATAGCAGAATCACAAATCTATTGAACATCTGCATTTAAGAAGTAGAAAATGGGCCGGGCGTGGTGGCTCACGCCTGTAATCCCAGCACTTTGGGAGGCCGAGGCGGGCAGATCACAAGGTCAGGAGATCGAGACCATACTGGCTAACACGGTGAAACCCCATCTCTACTAAAAATACAAAAAATTAGCCGGGCGTGGTGGCGGGCACCTGTAGTCCCAGCTACTCGGGAGGCTGAGGCGGGAGAATGGCGTGAACCCGGGAGGCGGAGCTTACAGTGAGCCGAGATCGTGCCACTGCACTCCAGCCTGGGCGACAGAGCAAGACTCCGTCTCAAAAAAAAAAAAAAAAAGTAGTAGAAAGTGTTTTGTACCTTAAAGAACCTTAGGAAATACTTAAATAGATTAGTATTCCAAAGTTATTACGCATAATTTACTTGAGTTCTCACTAAAGGCTTGGTGCTAGAATATGGCATTTGTGTCTGTGTGCATGCTTTTGATAGTCTTTTCTGTAATTGTGTGCATGCTTTTGATAGTCTTTTCTGTAATTGTGTGCATGCTTTTGATAGTCTTTTCTGTAATTGTGTGCATGCTTTTGATAGTCTTTTCTGTAATTGTCCTGATACGCGCAGTCAAAAGCAAGCATGCTATCTAGATTCCGTGATTGGTTTGGGTCCTCATTGTCAATACCACTACCTCCTCATTTCATGTGAGGAAAAAAAAAGAAGAAAGATCTTGAGAGTTGCATTCAGCTCATCTAGGTTTTTTTCTTTTCTTTTCTTTTCTTTTCTCCTTTTTTAAGGCAGGGTCTCACTCTGTCACCCAGGCTGGAGTACAGTGATGCTGTACTCCATAGCTCACTGCAGCCTCAAACCCCTGGGCTTAAGGGATCCTTCTACCTCAGCTTCCCAAGTAGCTGGGTCTACAGATGTGTGCCACCACATGCGGCTAACTTTTAAAATTTTTGTAGAGATGGAGATCTGTCTCACTGTGTTGCCCAGGCTGGTCTCAAACTCCTGGCCTCAAGTGATCCTCCTGCCTCAGCCTCCCAAAGCACTGGGATTACAGGCGTGAGCCACCACACCCAGCCAGCTCATCTAAGTTCAATATAGAACAGCTGTGTCTTGTAAGAAAAAACATTTTGAACATATTTGGCTCAACTTAACTGAAAATGTAAATATAAGGTTGCTGTTTATTTCTATGGTTTATCATTACCGTCAGCTTAAGTGTGAGTTAAACAGTGCTGTCCATAACCCATGGTGCCTGCTCTGGCACACAGCGGGACCTGGAGGCTGGGCGGGCAGGGCAGTGTGCCGTTCCTTCTCTTGCTGCATAACCAGCCATGGGTCATGCTCTATCCTCACCCTGGCCCTGCAGCAAGGCTGTGCAGCACCTGCTCATGCTCTTATCTCACAGAGAGATGCCATCAAACTGTCCCCATCATCACCAGGATGTGTCACTACCTCACACCATCCTGGAGCCAGGAGCCACCGCCAGCTCAGTGGCTTCTGTCAGCATGGTCCATCACTCCTCACGATGCTGTCGTCTGCGCTAGGCTCATCCAGACGGTTCTGCTCCGTGGCGTGTGCTGGGGCTGGAGTGTTCACAGGGGCTGCTGAGCAGGTCCCCACGCTGCCTCTGTGATGCCTTGAGCTCCTCCAGGTTGTCTGAGTTTCTACAGCCACGGCCACGTCCAAGAGGGGAGAGGCAGGACCCCCAGTCCTCCTAAGAGTTTGGCTTGGAACTGGTGCAGAGTGACTTCTGCCCTTTGTGTTGGTCAGAGCAGGGCACAAGGACAGCCCAGCTTCAGAGGAAGGAGAAATAGAGTCCACCTCTTCCCATGAGGCCAGAATACATCATACAGGCAGGAAAGGCATTTAGAATCCTTTCTGGAGACTTCTATAGCCAGCAGGTTCCCAGCTTAGTGTCTGGGGGGTCTGATTCCCTTTCTGCTGAAAGAGTGAGAAACACTCTCTCCGGCTCCCAGGGATCTCTGTTTCCCTCCCAGGGTGTCCCTGTTTGTCTCCCGCTGGAAAAGGAAGAAGGAAAAGAACTGTCCTTATTTCTTCTTTCTTCTGCCTACATCAAAGCAGGTTTAAAAAATTAGAAATTAAGAATTTATCAGTAAGAATGTAGTAATGTTGATTTAGGAAAACAAAATGGCTTATAACTGCAAGCCATCCTTATGTAAATGTTAAAGCTGATGGATCTAGACCAGAAGGGGTCCAGGGGTCTTTGTCTCGGAGAGGCCCAGATCACAGCTCTCCAAGGTCCATGCGAGAGGAATAGTAAACTGAAGCCACACGGCTGCCGTGTATGCAAAGGGAGCCTGCAGGGTGAGTTTCGTAAATTAAAGCACCTCTCGGTGTAGACACACACAGACTGACTTCTGCTTGGTCACAGCTTCCAAGCCTCAGGGTAGGTGCAGGCTGAGGGACACCAGGTGCGAGCATTTTCTGTTTCTTGTCATGGCACCAGTGTCGTTCCTGTCACCCACGGCACTGAGCTCTGCCCTGGTAACGTCCCTCCCTCCCTCTTAGGCTTTGGCCACCTGCATTGTTGTGCTACTGGGTCTCCCTGCTAAAGGTTCTGCTTCCTGGTTCCTGCAAGAGCAGATCTCAGTTTTTCTGTTGTGTTGTTTTGTTTTGTTTTGTTTTGTTTTTTGTTTTGAAACAGGGTCTCTGTTGCCCAGGCTGGAATGCAGTGGCGCCATCTCAGCTCACTGCAACCTCCATCTTCCAGGTTCAAGTGATCCTCCCACCTCAGCCTCCCACATATGTGGGATTACAGGCATGTGCCACCATGCCCGGCTAATTTTTATATATTTAGTAGAGGTGGAGTTTTGCCATGTTGGCCAGGCCCGTCTTGAACTCCTGACCTCAGGTGATCCACCTGCTTCAGCCTCCCAAAGTGCTGGGATTACAGGCATGAGCCACTGTGCCCGGCCAGATTTCGGCTTTTCTAAGCTGGCCTTCCAGCCTCTCCATGCATCTTGCCCACCCCACTCCACGGCACAGACCTTTGTTCCAGCCAAACGAGTTCTTCTCCCTCTCCACACTGCCATATAAAAAAAAAAAATCTGTGAAAATCCTCCTTCAGTACCCAATTCAAGCACCACCTCTCAGTGCATTCTGATGTTTGGGAACATAGAAATGTTAAGACCCATTCTTGAAAAATATTTCACATCTGTGGATGTTAAGGTCACACTATTTCATTTGTTTCAAACAAAGTGAACGAAATTTCAGAGTTGAATTTTTTAATCTTCTCAAACTTATTTTTGGCTTAGAGCGGTCTCTAATCAAATGGTTTTCATCTGATGGGCAGGGATCTTTCAGACCCTCTCACTGCATGCAGGATACCCCTCGTGGACTGCTCTAGACCAATCCCAGGTGCACGAGGCTTGGGGCAGGAGAGGCTTCTTTGTTTCTGTAGGAGCCCTTTGCGGGGAGGACATTTTCCTGTTTCCTAACATGTCCCTGTTCCCTCTCTTTGTGCCCGGTTTATTCAGCAGACGTGTTTTCAGCATCAAACAGATGCCAGGCTTGCTCCTAGCCCTGGGAACATAGTCACGAGAAGTCCTTGGCCCTGTCTTTGCAGTGGCCCCATCTGGAGGGAGACAGGCTGGCACAGAGGGTAGGGTGCGTGTCCTGGGGCTCCCCTAGAAGCAGGCGCAGTGGACAGAGATGTCTCAGAGGAAGGGAGCTGGGTCTGTCGCAGATGGGTGCTTCAGAAAGATCGCACCTGAGACAGCACGGAGGATGCGTGTGGGTGTCAGTGGGGAACTGGGCAGGTAGAATAAGAGGAGTTCAGGAATCACTTCTACCCTTTGCAGGAACTGTGCTAAATATTGCGGGCTTTAAAATTAAGTAAGACATTGGCCTATGTTGAAATACAGCAAAAACGTAAGATGGATTAATGAACGAGTAAAAGATGGATGAACAGATGTGCGTGTGATCAAGCAGATGGAGCACATTGCTCGTGGTCGAATCTGGTGGTTGAAATGGGTGTTCACTGTAGAATTCTTTCCGTTTTCCTAGATGCTTGAAATTTTCCAAAATAAAATATTGAGAAAAAAATTCGTGCAAGACCAAGTTCTCTGCCCTCGAGGCATTTACAGCTGCAGGCCTTGAGGAGTTTCTTTGGTTCCTGAAGGGCTGCTTGCTCACCACGAGCAGTGTTTGCACAAATAGATGCGCTTCTTGTTGCCTGGCTCCATGGCTCCTCCTAGAGCATTGTTTTCTTATTCAGGTTAGTTCAGTGTCTAATTCTAATGGGAAAATTGTTTTTTCTAGGTTTATTTATGAAACAGAGCATCATAATGGCATAGCAGAGTTACTGGAAATATTGGGAAGGTAAGCCTCTGTTATGGGTAGCAAACGGCTGTAGATGGAATTTATACCAGAGTGATCCATTTCATTGAGTCCAGCTGCCCGCTTTAAAGCAAGGCAGTTTAAACCATTCTCTAAAAGAATTCAAATACAATTTCACTGAAAGCAGGAGTTGGTGAGCTCTTAGATTAGAGCACGCCAAATGACAAATCTCTCCCATTTTTATGGTTCTGTACGTAGATTCTACTTCGTATACCTCAGTATCATTACTATGGAAACACAATTCCAGTTATTTCCTCAAGAGCAATGTTAAAAATAGTTAACCTAAGAAGGTTTATATTAGAAGCTTGAAAGAAGAATAGATTGTACATTTGGGGTATCATGTAAATGCTAATATTTTTAATTACTTCAGTTTTTTATATGTATATTTATAAAATAATTAACATTTCAAAACTTTCATCATCTTTATCCAAGTAAAGTTTTTAGTTGCCCTTTTTTTTTTTTTTTTTTTTTTTTCTTTTTGAGACTCTTGCTCTGGCACCCAGGCTCAAGTACAGTGGCACGATCTCGGCTCACTGCAATCTCTGCTTCCCTGGTTCAAACGATTCTGCTGCCTCAGCCTCCCGAGTAGCTGGGACTACAGGTGCCCGCCACCATGCCTGGCTAATTTTTGTATTTTTAGTGGAGATGGGGTTTCACCATGTTGCCCAGGCTGGTCTCGAACTGCTGGCCTCAGGTGATCTGCCCGCCTCACCTCCCAAAGTGCTGAGATTACAGGCATGAGCCACCACGCCCGGCCACTTTTATTTAATTGATAACCCGTAGATTTTATATTAGACCTTCTAACCCACTGTTTCCCAGAGTTCCTCAGGGTCCCATGGTTAGTAAGTGTGGAAGTGCTTTTTCCTGCACCTTTTTAGGGATGTAGTGTAGATGGGCAGTTCCGGGTTCTCAGGAGCCTGTGGTGGAGAAGTCTGGCACTCTGGATGGATCTAGTGACGCTCTGCAGCTCCTGAGCACAAGACTCTCTTCTCAGGGTGGATCAGGTCCTGCCCAGTAGTTCTGAGAAAAGCTATTCTTGCCACTTTAGATGTAATTTGAAAAAATGTCCTCGCTGACAATTCTTTTAGTTTAGACAAACTTGGGCGGGGTTTCTCCCTCAGTGCAGTGCAGTGAGTGGTGAAGAGGATGCCTCTCTTACTAGATGTGTGACCATGGGCAGGTACTTCTGTAAGATAGGCGCATCCTCGCATTTCCCTCCTAGGTTGTTGCAGGGACCGGAGCGCTGTATGACATGTGTTCCACAGCCCGCCATGCCGTGTGCGTAGGGCCCCCGTGTGCATAGGGCCGCCGGGCAGCTCCCGCCGAGAGGCTGATTAGTTTTATCCTTCTTCCAGATGAGGCTGAGCCTTCGGGTGACCCTGTGAGTGAGCACACCCTCCTTGATGGGCCGCTCCAGGCTCGCCCTTCCCGCATTGTCCGCTGTGCCGCGCAGAGTCAGTAATGGAAGACCAAGTTAGAGACAGCTCTGTCTACTTCTGCAGCTCAGTGGCAGTCACTCCCGTTTGCCTAATTACAAAACCAAGACAATAAACTAGTTGTTTGAGACAAAAACTTTGCTTTGGAGGCTCTAGGTAGGACCTCTTTTCTTGCACAAGGGAACAGCTTTCTGTTTTTTTGTTTGTTTTTTGTTTTTGTTTTTGAGATAGAGTCTCGCTCTGTCACCGAGGCTGGAGTGCAGTGGCCCGATCTCAGCTCACTGCAAACTCTGCCTCCCAGGTTCAAGCAATTCTCTGCCTCAGCCTCCTGAATAGCTGGGATTATAGGAGCCCGCCACCGCGCCTGGCTATTTTTTTGTATTTTTAGCAGAGATGGGCTTTCACCATCTTGGCCAGGCTGGTCTTGAATTCCTGACCTCAGGTGATCCACCCACCTCAGCCTCCCAGAATGCTGGGATTACAGGTATGAGCCACCGCCTGGCCCTAACTGATTTTTAACCAGCTCTCATCCAGCATCCACTGGGTCTCTGTTACCAACATTAGAATAACATACCTGAATTACTCCAGGCAGCAAGAATGCCTACCAGATGGATAAGGCTGAGGGAAGGTGTTGGGTGGGGGGTGGGGGGGGTCCCACGTGAACTGTCCCGTCTTCCTGGCCTGTTTAGGGAGGAAGATTTTGCCACCAGGAGCTCCTGCTGTTGAGCCAGCTCCCTGCTGTTCTGGGTAACACCTGTAAACCCAGAATTTTTAAATTATGTAGTTACAAAGATAAAAATAACTATACTTCCTGGTAGGCATTTAGCATTTTTAAACTTTTTGCTGGTATCCTCTTTTTTCTGATACACACACACATACACACACACATATGTATATATATAGGAAGAATCCTCGGATTTCCCTCTTAGGCTGTTGCAGGGACCGGAGCACTATATGAAGTGTTCCACAGACCCCTATATAGGATCTCGCTATACTACCCAGGCTAGAGAACAGTGGCTCTTCACAGGTGTGATTATAGCGCACTACAGCCTCGAACTCCGGGTTCAGATGATCCTGCCGCCTCAGCCTCCCAAGTTAGCTGGGGCACAGGTGCATGGCAACATGCTTGGCTACGTATATTTTGCCTGCTGGGTTTTGATGGTGAAAACAAAAATTGAAAGACGGCAAGATATTTGTTTAAAACCTGGAATTCGTAAATGTTCAAACCTAATAAATGTTCTTTTTACAGTATAATTAATGGATTTGCCTTACCACTAAAAGAAGAGCACAAGATTTTCTTATTGAAGGTGTTACTACCTTTGCACAAAGTGAAATCTCTGAGTGTCTACCATCCCCAGGTAAGGGGCAGCAGGACTCTAGGAACACAGCTGTTGGCATTTGATCAGGATTGAACACGAGATAGTGAATCCGGCCTTGACTGAGAGTGCTTTCTTCTTTATAGGCCTGTACTAACTTTGGTAACAAACTTCTGGTGATAATCGAAAGAATAAGGGGGTAAAGAGAGATTCCTTTTAAGAAATTCAGAAAAATCTCTGTAATACAGAATTTTTCAGTTTTAAGCATTGAGAAAGGAGTAACTCTCTGAAAGGAGTCTAGGAAGACTTCTGAGAGGAGTTTTCTGTAGTGTAATCTAAAATTCAGTACCTTAAAGAGAAAAGCCTATATAGGTCCATGGCCAATGAATGGCCTATGAAAACGTTTTTTAAAAAAATAAAGCTGCCTATAATCCCAGCACTTTGGGAGGCTGAGGCGGACAGATCACCTGAGGTTGGGAGTTCAAGACCAGCCTGACCAACATGGAGAAAACCGTCTCTACTTAAAATACAAAACTAGCCGGGCATGGTGGCACATGCCTGTAATCCCAGCTCCTCAGGAGGCTGAGGCAGGAGAATCGCTTGAACCCGGGAGGCGGAGGTTGCAGTGAGCCGAGATCGCGCCATTGCACTCCAGCCTGGGCAACAAGAGTGAAACTCCATCTCAAAAATAAATAAATAAATGAATGAATAAAGCTGTGAATTTTTTAAACTGTAGTAATCTAAGTACAGCTGTACTGAAAA
Organism: Homo sapiens; assembly: GCF_000001405.40. Lineage (NCBI taxonomy): Eukaryota > Metazoa > Chordata > Mammalia > Primates > Hominidae > Homo > Homo sapiens. Next base: position 101,893,829 of record NC_000014.9, read on the forward strand.
ATTGGTCAATAAGTGGTTAATGGACTGCATTTACCTGGATTTGGTTTTCTCTCACTCTTTGGCTGCAGTGGGCGTCTTTGTTCACTTCCGGCTGTCACAGGGCCAGGCACTGAGCAGTCACGCCCCAGCACAGGCACAGGGGTGCACAAGGCTCCTCTCTGCCAGGCCCCACTTTCAGAGCTTATGGTAGGGGCTAAATGACAAAAAGTATATTCTTTAATTGATTCTTCCTAGAACATATTTATTTTCTCTGACTGCTCTTAACTGGTAATATCTTTGCATCCAGCCAGATTATCATATTGTTGTACAAAAGAAATTAATAGTTCAGAGATTTAAGATGGAACCAGATTTTAATTTGTTGTTCCCCACTGTTAGATGACTCGTTGATTGTAGTCTGCACAAGGACCCCAAGAAAATCCCATCATACTGGATTGACTTAGCGGTGGTTAGACTAAAAAGACTGTTTCCTGATTTATTTTTCTTATTTTTATTTTTCAGCTTTCTGATCTATCACCAATTAATGGGCATAAATGTTAATGCCCGTTAATCACACAAGGGCTTTGTCTGTACCGTGGGTCCTTGTCTTGCTGTGGGAAGGTGTTTAACGATGATTCTAGAAGAAGCACAGCAGCATTTTTATGTTGAAATGTTAATGCTCTTTCTCCTTTTACTTTTTAGCTGGCATACTGTGTAGTGCAGTTTTTAGAAAAGGACAGCACCCTCACGGAACCAGTAAGTACTGATGCTAGCGCGTCTTGTAAGATGTGTGCATTTCACTAAATGTAAATATTACAACATCTGCTTCACCAAATTGCCATTCATTCAGACTTTTTCATCTTAAATTGCAATACTAATAAACAGGCTCATTTCATTCATGGGTTATAGGTTTTCAAAGTATAGTCATTTTAATTGCAGATTCCTTTATTATAGTGATTATTTTATGTAATGAGATTGCCACCTTGTCCCTCGTTGCACTTTACTGTTTGAACGTAAAGCACTTGAGCGGTTATTGTAGCCACTAAATTTTAGTGTGCAATTCAGTAGTTTCACATCTGCTTGGTTTGACAACATATTGAACTGATTATGATCAGAGGAATTATAGTTAGGGTTTGAAATTATTGTTGTACTAAAGAGGCTTTACCGCCTTGAAAATACTTCCCAAGTTACACTGTAACTATTTTATGATCATTGAATCACAAGTGAACGTTAGATTACTGCTGTTCTGTGCGTGGATCTGTAATTTTTTTTCAGCCTCCATAATTATGTCAGAGGATTTATAATTTTCTTAACATTTTATGTTTATTAAAATAGGCTATCATAGCCAGGGTTAACAAAGCCAGACATGTCAGGTGCCAGTTTAAGCATTTAAATACATTTTTTGAAACAACTTTATTGAGATATAATTCACATACCACACAATTCACCCATTTAAAGAGTACAATTCAAAAATTTTTGATACGTTACATTTTGAATTTTTTTAAATTGTGGTAAAATACATATAACATAAAATTTGTCATTTTAACCGCGTTAAATGTACAGTTCACCAGCGTTAATGACATTCATAGTGTTGCGCAACCATCACCACTATTTCCAAAGCTTTGTCATCATCCCAAACAGAAATTCTACCCATTAAACAATAACTCTCCGTTCTCCCTCCCTCTGGCCCCTGCTGACCTGTAATCTACTTTATCTCTGAATTTGACTATTCTAGGTACCTTATATAAGGAGAATCATAAAACGCTTGTCCTTTCACACCTGGCTTATTTCACTCAGCGTAATGTCTTCCAGGGCTCATTCTTGGGTTGCGTATCAGAACTTCATTCCTCATCATGGTTGAATGCTGTTCTATCATATGGATAGAACACATTGGGTTTATTCATTGTTTTTTCAGTGTACACCTGGGTTGTTCCCACCTTTTAGCTATTGTGAATAATGCTGCTATTTGGATACTGGTGTACAAATATTTGCTATAATCCCCATTTTCAGTTCCTTTGGATATATATCCAGGAGTGGAATTGCTGAATCATATGGTAATTGTATGTTTAGCTGCGGGACAGACCCCCATACTGTTTTCCACAGTGACTGTCCCGTTTTACATTCCCTGCAGCAATGCACAAAGGCTCCCATCTCCCCACATTCTCACCAGTGCTGATGCTGCTGCTGCTGCTGTTGCTTTCTTTTTATTTATTTTATTTTATCTTATTTTTTTGAGAGAAAGTCTCACTCTGTCACCCAGGCTGGAGTGCAATGGTGCAATCTTGGCTCACCACAACCTCTGCCTCCTGGGTTCAAGCGATTCTCCTATCTCAGCCTCCCAAGTAGCTGGGATTACAGGTGCCTGCCACCATGCCCGGCTAATTTTTGCATTTTTATTAGAGACAGAGTTTCACCATGTTGGCCAGGCTGGTCTCAAACTCCTGACCTCAAGTGATCCACCCGCCTCAGCCTCCCAAAGTGCTAGGATAACAGGCGTAAGCCACCACACCCGACCTGTTGTTTTAATTATAGCCATCCTAGTGGTGTGAAAGAGTATCTTGTTGTGGTTTTGATTTGCAGTTCCCTAATGACTGATGATGTTGAGCATCTTTTCAGCGCTTGTTGACCAAAATCTGTATATCTTCTTGGCCGGGCGCGGTGGCTCACGCCTGTAGTCCCAACACTTTGGGAGGCTGAGGCGGGTGAATCACTTGAGCCCAAGAGTTGGAGACCAGCCTGGGCAATATGGCAAAATCCCATCTCTACAAAAAATACAAAAATTAGCCAGGCATGATGGCGTGTGCCTGGGCAACACAGTGAAACCCTGTCTCCAAAAAAAAAAAAAAAAAAAGTGTATATCTTCTTTGCAGAAATGTCCATTTAAATCCATTGCCCATTTTTTACATTGGAGTTTTTTTTTAATTATTTGAGTATCAAAGTAAGGAATGTTAGGAACCAATTCAAATGTTTGAATGCTCTTTTAAAAGTCACTGTTAGACTAGAAAAAGTAGATCTTGTCACTCCTGGGCCCTTTCTCTCTTTCACAGTTCTTTTGTGAAGTTGTAATTTTTATAGTGAAATTGCATGAGAAATTCTTAACATTGAATTTCTGAGTTAAACTGGCTTTTGGGCTCTGCTTTCTTGTAAGTTTTTAAATTCTATGTGTAGATTCCCTCCATTTCACCCACAAAATTCAAGAAGAGCTCTTGTCCTATGACTGCAGAGGTAGCAGGTGCTACAGAGCCACGAGCTGGGCCCGCCCTGTCCTGCCGGGCCCTCGTGGAAGGACGCATCCCTGCACACTCTCCCTCCAGCCCCTAGATACCTCCGCCTGAGATTTTGGGGACCTCCCAAGGAAATGTACCAAATCTCATCACACTTCAGCATCAAGCATAGTCAAGGCTTAGGGTGAGGAGGTGTTATTTTTATCCTTCTTAACGACTGAAGACATGTTTAGGTAGGAAAAAGAAAAATGAACAGTGTTAATAAAACTCATTGGGGATTTTTTTTTTAAACTGTATTTTCTCCAGTGGTTACATGCCCTAACTCTTCTGCCTATATCTGAGGTATTCTCCAAACTGAAGGGTGAGAGGTTGTATTTTTTTTTTTTTTTGAGACAGGATCTCGCTCTGTCACCCAGGTCCCACAATAGCCCGTCTGCAAGCTGAGGAGCAGGGAAGCCAGGCCCGTTCCAAAGCTGAGGAACTTGGATTCCGATGTTCGAGGGCAGGAAGCGTCCGGCACGGGAGAAAGATGCAGGCTGGGAGGCTAGGCCAGTCTAGTCTTTTCACGTTCTTCTGCCTGCTTTATATTCTGGCCTCTCTGGCAGCTTAGGTGGTGCCCACCCCCATTAAGGGTGGGTCTGCCTTTCCTAGCCCACTGACTCACATGTTAATCTCCTTTTGCAACACCCTCACAGGCACACCCAGTGCATCCTTCAATCCAAACAAGTTGACACTGAGTATTAACTATCACAGAGGTTTTACTGGAGAAAGTAATATGTAAAAAAAAAAAAAAAATTTATCTCTCCCCTCCTCTCCCACCTTTTCCTATTCAAAAATAAAAGACAACTGGGCACAGTGGCTCATGCCCCTAATCCCAGCACTTTGGGAGGCCAAGGCAGGAGGAGCCCTTGAAGCCAGGAGTTTGAGACCAGCCTGGGAAACATAGTGAGACCTCCTCTCTACCAAAAAAAAAAAAATTTAATTAGCTGGGCATGGTGACATGTACCTGTGGTCCCAGCTACTCGAGAGGCCGAGGTGGAAGAGTTGTTTGAGCCCAGGGGGTCAAGGCTGCAGTGAGCTATGAACGCACCAACTTCACTCCATCCTGAGTGACAGAGTAAGACCCTGTCTCAAATAAATAAGTAAATACAAATGGAAGGGAAAAAAAGCTATGGAAGGAGAGATTTTTGAAAGTATGTATTTTTCTTTCATGAATTTTCTTTGTGCGTATTTCTCATATCCTGTAGTGGCTGAACAATTCACCAAATGCCACATTGCGTTTACCACAGACAGAGGCTGCTCCCACCTAAGCCACTGTCCCAGCATCTCTATCCCGCCATCCACTGTCTGTCAGCCTGACCCTAACCTTCTCCACCGAGGGCTCGGTGAATGAGCCTCACCCTATTCTCTCTTCCACCGAAAAGTAACACAAAAGCAGAGAATGTTTGTAAAAGTTTTTAATTCCCACTAATATAGTAAATAAAGTGAATATCACTTTGCAAGAGTGAGAGCTGTTAATTGCAGTCCTGTCTAAAAGAGGGCAAGAGACCCCGTGCCGGCTTCAGTTGGGTCCTTCCGGCGTAAATGTTACATGCAGGACTCTGACTTGGCACCAGCACAAAGGAGGTGCAAACCCCACCAACCTAGGCCCCGATGTTCCCACCCGGGGACACTTCATTGCTTAGTTTCCTGCTGCACAGATAATGTAATAGTACCGTCCTGGCTTTAGAAAGCAGATTCAATTTCCTACATGTTAAGAACATTCAGACCCTCATGTCAGTAAATTCCCTCTTTTGAAATGCCTATTTATGAAAACACAAAGGCCATTTTGTCTTATTTCAGCATTGAAAGCTTGTTAATGAGATGATCAAAGTATAGGCTTTGGTGCAGGTGTACATCTCTTGGTAGCACTAAGGACACCTGGTGTCCACGTCCATCTCCCAGGCCTGCACCAAAGGGACTCCTGAAGCCATCAAATGTCCAGGCTCAGGAATGTTTAAAGTAAGATCCACTTAGAAGACTGAGATATGAAGGACATGTGTTGCCCCATTTGTAGCCTGTAATTAGTATTTTTCATTTGCTAATTGTGTACAGTGCTCAAAAGCTTTCTGGGCACATGAAACACTTTCTCTGTTGGAAGAATAACAAAAGCTCATCAGAGATTTTACAGAAGTAAAACTGTGTTCCGTTTTCACCCACCTGCCTCTTCAGTCTCATCACATTTTACTACATGGCATAGTAGCGGCTCTCCTTTCTCCTTGGTCTACCAGGACAGGAAGGGGGCTCCCCAAGACTCAAGGCTGGGGCCACTGGCTCGCCTGCCCTCTGCAGGGAGCGGGCAGTCCTTGGGCTTCCAAAGGAAAACTCGGGGCCTTGTGCTGCACCCAGCAGCACACAGCCATTGTTGCCTCGGATTCACATTCCCTGAGTAGACACCCTCCTCCACAGAGCACGCCACACTGACGCAGCAAAATAGCTGATACCGATCACAGCTCATTCCAAACAATGTGAACAGGAAGGCCCGTGTGTGAATCCGATCCCAGAAATGATACCTTTTCCAGAGAAATGGAATAGCTAAATCGGTTGTGTTGTATAGTTCACAAATTAACATATTTCTCCTAATAAAATTCCATTTGACAAATGAAGAGAAATAGATGTAGGAAGTGATTTCCATCTGCTGTGTCCTTAATAGTGATTCCAATACACGCAAAGTGTGGTAGGAACACAATAAATACTTATTCAATAGTTTTGAGCTAGGAGAACCATTAAATGATGCATTTTTAGAAATAATTCCTTTTAAAGACACTTGTATGGTAGATTTTTATGTCAGACTTGAAAACTAGCAGCACTTCCTTTTTTATTTTTATTTGGCTCTTTTGGGGTTTTTGTTTGTTTGTTAGATTCTTGGAGTACAGTGGCGCAGTCATGGCTCACTGCAGCCTCAACCTCCTGGGCTCAAGCAATCCTCCCACCTTAGCCTCTCGAGTAGCTAGGACCACAGGTGCCCATCACCACACCAGGCTAATTTTTAAATTTTGTGTAGAGACAGGACCTCACCACGGTGCCCAGGTCGGTCTCGAACTCCTGGGCTCAAGCATTCCTCCCACCTCGACCTCCCAAAGTCCTGAGATTACATGCGTGAGCCACCACGCCCAGCCTTACTTTCCTTTGTTTCATGAATTTTGGAGTTTTATAAAGTGTAATATCATAAAAGATTACCTGGGAGCCCAAATGCCAAAGCATCAAAACAAAATTTTTCTAAATGGATGTTAAATGTCCACCTTTTTAAAAAATCACTGTAATGACTAAAAGGCTGGCCTGCTAAGCCATGAGTTGGTGCGATCTACTGAGCTGGAAATGACTAGTGAGTGAAAACGACCAGGCGGTCCCGGGGGCCAGCACTTGTGGCAATTGCACAGCACAAGAGTCGGGTAGAAGCCCCGCGGTGTTGCTGTGACGAGGCCAAAGAGCTGCTCTAACGCACCGGATTGCACTTGTACAATTCAGTGTGTAAGCACATATATGCACTTCATATGCAAATGCCTGTTTTGGATTGTTGTACTCTTTTAGAACTAAGATGGCTAAACTCTAAAAATATTATGAAATCTGCATGGATTCACATTCAGTATTTTGTACTGGTATGATTGTGGTAAGACATTTGGAAACTACAGGAACATATAAAGAAAGGTTGCCCAGTGGAAATTCTTTCTAGCTGTCTGACTTGGCCAAGGAACATAAAACATCCACTATCCACAAACTGGGAAACCACTGCAGTCCGACGGGCTGTGCCTGGCAGAGAGCTGGTGGCACAGACCCTCTGGGTGGTGACAATCCTGGCTACAGCTGCCACTGCAGCCTGCTCACCGCAGGCCCAGCACTGCTCAGGCTGTTGTATCTGACGCCCACAGGTGTGCGCACAGAGAGCACAGTACGCCCTGCCCGGGAGGTCCCATCGCAGTACCTGTGGATGTGAGTTAATAAGGTCAGCTTAATTCACATCACTCCTTTTGATATATTTTAACACAGTTGAAAACACTGTCTATGCATACAGAAGTATGTGTGTTTGTGTATAAACACATATGGATGGTTGATAAATTTGAGAAAGAAATGGGTTGTGTACACGTGGCCCACAGTTTCAGTACTGGCTGCTTCCACAACTAAAATGTACACATGAATTGATAATGCTCTGTGTTTTCTCCGTTGATCTTATTCTTTCTAAATTATTGTCCTAACTTCTTATTTTTTTTTCTTTTTTTAAAAAAAGGAATGGACTCTTACTGAAATGGTGTTTGATCAGAGAAAGTGGGTTATATAAACTAAAATTGTGTAATTTCTGAAGTGTATAAAATTAAGCCAGGCAGGTGGTACGTGCCTGTGGTCCCAGCTACTCAGAGGCTGAAAGAGGAGGATCACTTGAGCCAAGGAGTTCAAGTCCAGCCTGGACAACATAATGTGACCCATCTCTAAATAAATTGATTGATCAGATAGATAACCAGACAGACAGACCTACTTCTCAAATACAGAAAATCACATATGATGACTGAGTCACTGTTCCCTCTGTAAGGAAGATGGCACCATCTCCGTGTGTTGCCTTGCAGTGGGGCCACCGCAGTGAAAACACAGACTTCTTACCATGCAGGTGTTGGGGCCTCGTGGGCATCAGTCACTCCACGTGTCATTTCTTTTGTAGGTGGTGATGGCACTTCTCAAATACTGGCCAAAGACTCACAGTCCAAAAGAAGTAATGTTCTTAAACGAATTAGAAGAGATTTTAGATGTCATTGAACCATCAGAATTTGTGAAGATCATGGAACCCCTCTTCCGGCAGTTGGCCAAATGTGTCTCCAGCCCACACTTCCAGGTATGTGGGGCTTGGGGGACCTGATTAAATTCTTCCAGTGTTCATTTGGGAAAGGAAAAGTTCCATGCGTAGCTGGCCATGCTTTGCCTCTCATGCAATTTAAAGGTAAAATCCAAGTTTTTACTTGAATTATACTTCAAATACGATGCTGTAACTTGAATTCTATAGAATACCCTTGAGCATCTTGTCCCTTCTGCCGCGATACTTTTTCTCACTAAGAGCAGTCATCTGGCTTCTCTGTAAAGCTGTCTTTATCTTCATGTTCAGTGTGCTTCCAAGTTCATAAACACCCTCCTTTCCACACCTGAGCATCAATATTGATAGACAACGGGTGGCCAAAGCCTCGGCTCTGAGATGCTCTTGCTGCCGAGGCCCTTCGTTCCTGACACTGTGTAAATCTGTCTCCCTTTACCCTTTCAAAAAGGCTGAGAGCTCTGACTTTTGTCACTGCCAAATTCCTGTGCGAGAGGACGACCTTGGTCAGAGCTACTTTCTACTTTCTTTTCCCAATTTCCTTAACCCTTCAAGCCAGCCTCGGCTCATCACCTCTTTTGAAGGCCACCCCCACACACCTTCCCAGCCTGCCTGCCTCTGTTGGACGTGCTAGCCACCTGTCCTTTTGCATCATTGAGCGGATTTTATTGTGCACTCATCATGAACAAGGTGAAAATAGGCACAAAATAAGCAAGACCTCCCGGTGCCCAGGGAGCAGGCCACACAGTGGAAGAGAGTGACCATGTCACACCACCACCTTACAGCCAAACGTGAAGGGCCAGGTGGCGTGTGCAGCAGGCTCTCAGAAACACATGGGCAGTTACCTTAGCACAAGTCTAAGTGGTTAGAAAAAGTCCACAAGAATGAGGGGTCCTCCAAACTGAGCCTTTCAAGATGGTTTTGGAAAGAGATCATTGAAACCAACAAAACTAAGACAAGAAGGCAAGTGATAGAAGAGTAAGAAGCTCTGGAGCACGGGCAGCCATAGTAAAGTGAGGCCAGGCTGAGTCGGGTTAAAGGAAGGAACTGCTGTGGTGTAGTCTCTTCCATACAAATATTCAGGTTATTTTCATTTTATAAATTCCAATGAGTTTTCACATTAGGAACTAAGAAAGGAAAATTATGTTTTGGGTTTTTTTTTTTTTTTTTTCATCAATCCTGGCCTACAGAGAAAATAATGTTTCTCAAGGCTTTCAGTGTGAGCACTTTGCACAAAGGAGCATGGTTTCCTAGAAACTGTAGAGACCAGCGCCACGGAGCCCTGGCTGAAGTACAGGGCGTTCGTATGCCAAGGAGAGACTGGCAGTCGTGGGAAGTGTCCCAAAAACTTGAGCCCCTTCCCCAGATGCAAAATTAGCTATCGCTATGGGTAACGTTAGACCTTCAAGAGAAGACAGGGACAAGTGGACTCACAATGTGCTGTTTTGCATAAAAGCATGTGACAGGGCAAGGAGGAAGGGAAGTCCAGGTGGGGAAAGCAGAGCCAAGGTGGCCGCGCAGCTGCCAGTGGCTTGGGTGCCACTCCACATGTCACAGAAGCCTTCACGTCCCTGCCAGGAACAGAGCATGAAGGCTGCCAGGGCGGCCTGCCATGCCTCTGATGAGGGAGTTCAGTGCCAGGACCCACTCAGGCCTTCAGCTGCAGGCCCAGCCCCCCAACTCGCCCTCGTCTGTGTCCCCCACGCACGCTTGCGCCCATCTTGGCTTCTGCTTCTTAGAGGACCTGATCAGCACAGAGTACATTCCAGAATCTTTTCCAGACACATATGCATAAGGCCAACTCATTCTTAATTTTTTTTTTTTTTCCTTTGAGATGGAGTCTCACTCTGTCCCTGAGGCTGGAGTGCAGTGGTGCGATCTCGGCTCATTGCAACCTCTGCCTTCCAGGTTCAAGTGATTCTCCTGCCTCGGCCTCCCGAGTAGATGGGATTACAGGTGCGTGCCACCACACCCAGCTAATTTTTGTATTTTTAGTAGAGACGGGGTTTCACCATATTGGCCAGGCCGATCTTCAACTCCCAGCCTCATGATCCGCCCACCTCGGCCTCCCAAAGTGCTGAGATTACAGGCATAAGCCACCGCGCCAGCTCATTCTTAACTTTTAGATGTTTTTTTCACACCCAAAAAAAGTACTGGTTTTAAAAACTGGAAAAATTTAAAGTTTAAACCATCAAGCATCTTAAGCTTCTGTTTTCTAAATCAGGCTTAAAATATTACCCCCAAATATATTGGTGGGTGGTGGGTGGGTGGATGGATGGATGGATGGTTTTGTTTTTGGTTTGTTTTCTTTTTAGACAAAGTTTTGTGCTTGTTGCCCAAGCTAGAGTGCAATCTCAGCTCACTGCAACCTCTGCCTCCCAGGTTGAAGTGATTCTCCTGTCTCAGCCTCCCAAGTAGCTGGGACTACAGGCGCCTGCCACCACACCTGGCTGATTTTTGTATTTTTAGTAGAGACGGGATTTCACCATGTTGGCCAGGCTGGCCTTGAACTCCTGACCTCAAGTGATCCACCTGCCTCGGCCTCCCAAAGTGCTGGGATTACAGGCGTGAGCCACCATGCCCGGCCTAGATGGTTGCTTTTTAAAGTACAAGGTATTGAACTCTTAAGTAAGAACTAGCCTAGGAGCTGTGATGCGATTGTGCCTTGTTTTGAATCCACGCCGCACTCTCATGCATGCCCTCCCCTCCCCCATTACCTAACTCACTCCTTTTCTGCAAAGTTCATCCCAGCTCACTGCCTCTGAGGAATCAGCCCTGATTCCTGAGCCTGGCACAGGCTCACCTGCCATTCTCTCAGCATCCCACCCATACACACCGCACCACAACCTCAGGATCTCTAAGCTGTAGGCTTCTGGCAGGAGAAGCGTCAGCCCCATGCTGCTCAGAGCCTCCAAGTGCTGCTGTGAGTTGTGTGCAGATGAAGGGTGTTGACAGTAGTTATACAGGTGAAGCTCCTCTTCCCAGAGGCATACATGCTGTGATGGGGACAGGCCAAGTGTCCTGGTGACTGCCTCGAACTCCCAGATAGTTCTGTGGAACGTGCACTTGTGTGCTGGTTTACTACGGAGAGAAAAAGCAAATAGGGTAGGGTATGAACAGTGTTGAATCTGGGTGGAGGGAGGTGGGCACTCATTATGTTAGTCTTGCAGCTTTGTCTGTTTTTGAAAGTTTTAGTAATAAAAATGGGGGGCTGAGTGCAGTGGCTCACGCCTGTAGTCCCAGCACTTTGGGAGGCCAAGGCGGGTGGATCACCTGAGGTCAGAAGCTCGAGAGCAGCCTGGCCAACATGGTGAAACCCCGTCTCTACTAAAAATACAAAAATTAGCCAGGTGCGATGGCGCATGCCTATAGTCCCAGCCACTCAGGAGGCTCAGGTAGGAGAATCGCTTGAACCCAGGAGGCAGAGGTTGTAGTGAGTCGAGATAGCACCACTGCACTCCAGCCTGGGCAACAGAGTGAAACTCCATCTCTTTTTAAAAAACAAAAATGGATGGGCTAGGCGTGGTAGCTCACGCCTGTAATCCCAGCACTTTGGAAGACCAAGGCAGGTGGATCACCTGATCTCAGGAGTTCGAGACCAACCTGACCAACATGGCAAAACCCTGTCTCCACTAAAAATACAAAAAAGCCGGGTGTGGTGGCGTGCGCCTGTAATCCCAGCCCCTCAGGAGGCTGAGGCAGGAGAATCGCTTGAACCCGGGAGGCAGAGGTTGCAGTCAGCCAAGATCACGCCATTGCACTCCAGCCTGGGCAACAAGAGCAAAAATCCATCTCAAAAAAAAAAAAGAAAAGAAAAATGGGGGAACCACCCTCTAGTGGCTTCCCGTGAGTAAGCGCCAGTGCACTCAGGCCCTGTTCCCCTGCCCTCCTACTGTTCATGCCCCCACTGCCCTCTGCAGTGGTCCTCAGCCAGCCCCGTGCTGACAACTCAGGACCTCTCCTCCCTCTGGTCCTTGCTCAGATGTCACCTCCTCCCCATTGAAGCCACCCCACCGCACACGCACCGCCGCTGCCTGTTCTCCTGCCCTGCTGCCCTTTGTATGTGACTTATCGTTTCTAGTAAATTAATAATCATCCATCACCTGTCTCCTCCCCACTAGAATGTAAGCTCCGTGGAGTCAAGGATTTCTGCCTTGCTTTGTTCAGTGCTGAATGCTCAGCAGAACACAGCACGCCCTCTTGACCTGACAGATGGGGGAGGCGGGTGGATAGGTGGAATGGCCTCCTTTGAGTTGTCTCCTCAGCATCTAGCCAGCATCTAGCATAAATGTTTACGGAATAAGTAGAGAAATAGGTGACAATGTTCTTGATGAGTTGATGTACAAGAAGTTGTCTGCCTCTTTGTTGAAGGCTCTTCAGGGTTACAGGTTACAGTCTAGAATATTTTGAATTTGTAGAAATAATCATAATTTTCTGGTCCAAGGTAGTTCATTACCCGACTCACAGGTTTAACAGCAAGGACAGCCACCTGATGTCTCAGGCACAACCTCCAGCAAGCCATCCACTTGTGTCTTTCAGGTGGCAGAGCGAGCTCTCTATTACTGGAATAATGAATACATCATGAGTTTAATCAGTGACAACGCAGCGAAGATTCTGCCCATCATGTTTCCTTCCTTGTACCGCAACTCAAAGACCCATTGGAACAAGTAAGAAAGAACTGGCTGCCATCTTTTTCAGTCATTTTAAAATATGGCACGTTTTACTGCTACTTCAGTAAGAATAAATATCAGAATTTTAAATATCAATTAAAAAACAAGAAGGTCAGTTGCTTTGTGGACTCATAAATTAAGTAGCAGCGTGGGTTGTTTCTGTGGCCGTTGAATTTACCACCTTATACCTTCATTCCTGCCAGTATAGAGGCACATTGGTTTGCAGCCACCTCCCAGTAGCAGCAGTTTCTAGGCCTCTTCCTGAGCGTCCTGCAGAGAAGCTGAAGGTCTCTGCAGAGCCCAGTGGGGCTCAGCCCCGGCGGGGGCACAGTGGCCACTGCATTCTCGGGGTGTCTATTGAGCTCTGCTGACATGCACCCTGGATGAGCCCCTGTGTGAGACCCAAGAACCACCCCACAGTGGTCACTACCTGGAGAAGAAGAGGGAAGCCAGGTGATCTGAACACAGCCCCATAGTCCCAGCAGCCAAAAACATTTCCTCCTACTCCGCTCCTTCATCTTTTGACTTAAAGAGGATGAATAAATCCGTTTACTGAGCAATAGTCTTCTGAGACTTTAAAAGGAAACTGTTGATATGGGTGCCACATTATTTATTTATTTTTCTTTTTTAAAATTTGTATTTTATTTGTTTATTTTTAGACAGGGTCTTGCTATGTCCCCCCGGCTGGAGTGTAGTGTCACGATCATGGCTCACTTCAGCCTCGACCTCCTGGGCTCAAGCAAACCTCCTGCCTCAGGGTCCTGAGTAGCTGGGACTACAGGCACCCACCGCTACGCCTGGCTAATTTTTGTATTTTTTGTAGAGATGGGGTTTTGCCATGTTGCCCAGGCTGGTCTCGAACTCCTGGACTCAAGTATTCCACCTGCCTCAGCCTCCCAAAGTGCTGGGACGACGTGAGCCACTGCGCCCAGGCCATATTATTTATTAATATGGTATCATCTAATATTCCTGCTATTTAAAGAAATACGACTGAGTTTTTCTTTCCCCACCTTCTTTCATCTCTTTCCATTGTATATTGTAATTATAACTCAGAACTTAAAGAAGAGCAGGTTATGCTATCCAGCCCTCCTCCCTTAGTTTATGGGTGAGGAAGGTGAGACTTGGAGGGCATTCGCAGCCCAGTCTGCGGTCCCAAAGCTGGTGAGCGGCACTCTGGCCCGGTGCGGTCTCCTAACTCGCAGTGTCTATTGGGCACCCCTCTGGCTGTGCTGCACAGTCACCCTGCTGCCGGCGGACCAGCCCTCTCCCATGCACCCTCTCTCCTTGTCCGCTCGAGGCTGCAGGTGGCACTGCCTCCTTCCCAGAATTCTGCAGGGCAGCAGCCAGACAGGTGTTAGCCCTGGAGCTCTGAGCCAGACCCCCGAGCGAGCGTCCAGCCAGTCCACTCGCGTCAAGTCTTCTGAGGGTTGCCGCCCAGAAATTCAACAGAGAAGGGCAGGCAGATCAGAGTGAGGATGACTTTGGTTCACATTCCTGCCTTCCTCCTGAGCAGCTGTCTGAACCCGGGGAAGTTAGCTCTCACCAGGTCTTTCTTAGCCACAGTTTCTCTTTGGAAAAACTGAGAAAGTAAAGTGCTTTGCCTTGCAACAATCTTCACTTGGTTGTGAGGATTAAGATAAAGTTAATATGCGTAAAGTACCTGGCTTATGATAGGCACCAAGTAAGCATTTGCTGTCACTTAGTGGTTGTAGGGCCAGCAGCCATGCTGATAGCAGTGGAGGCAGCAGCCAAGACCCTCATGGCAATAGCGTGGTGGTTGTAGTTGTTAATACAGCACATCCACCCTCAACAACCTGTTCTTTGTAGCATTGATTTATTTTATTTATTTATTTATTTTTGAGATGGAGTCTTGCTCTGTCACCCAGACTGGAGTGCAGTGGCACCATCCTGGCTCACTGCAGCCTCCACCTCCCAGGTTCAAGTGATTCTCCCACCTCAGCCTCCCAAGTAGCTGGGACTACAGACATGAGCCACCACTCCTGGCTAATTTTTGCATTTGTAGTAGAGATGGGGTTTCACCATGTTGGCCAGGCTGGTCTTGAACTCCTGACCTGAAGTGACCCACCCGCCTCAGCCTCCCACGGTGCCGGGACTACAGGTGTGAGCCACCGCGCCTGGCTTGCATTGATTTTTTTTTTTTTAATCGCAACAATGACAACAAAGCCCCTGGAGTGTCGCCATGTTTCTTGTGTGTAATTTAGTTTAGTATGTAAGTCAGCACAATTCATAACTGACTTCCAATCCCCGCCCATTGCAAAGAAAAAAATGTTCTTTTAAGTGTTTTCTAAGTACAACTTGGGTTTTATTACAAAGTGGATTAAGAAGGAATTATGATTTGAGGGTTACGTTTTTTGGGATTTATTTGTTTTTAGCTACTGGCACCTGTTGCTCACAGTCCTGCGGGTCGAGCAGGTCCTGCTGCGCAGGCTTTCGCTGGTGTCTGCTGGGGGATCGGGGCTCTTACAGGGCTGCAGTCCCATGGCAGCTGGGACTAGAGTCACCCAGAGGCTCAGCTGGAACAATTTGGCCTCTTTCCCTCTCCATGCGTGTCAGAGCCTGAGAGCTAAGCATTGATTAAGCTGTTTTATGCTCATTTTATTTTCTCTTTCAAAGCTCTGTGTTGCCATTATTAAAATTAATTTTTCTGTCCTCAGGGAATAAGATGAAAAGAAACTGACATTTATAGGAAATCAAGTATTGCCATTATTGTCCTCTTTATAATTTTGTCTTAACTATATTTGTTCAAGTTTCAATGTTTTTAATTCAGTTTCTGAGCAAGGTCGTTTTTGGCTACTGTCAGCTGGAGACAGTGAGTGGAGTGGCCTCTGTGGCTATGTGAGAGCCACTGTGAAGAAAGTCTCGGGATGTGTGGCTGTCAGAAAACAAGTAACGCGGAATGAGCAGGCCTTGCATTTTAGACCTTAGGGATCCTGTGCGATGTGGGACTGTTGGAATATGGAGCAGCCTGAGAGTGGAGAGGCGAGGGCTCAGCAGGAATGCGTGCTCCCAGGCTCACCGTGCGGTTTTCTTTATAGGACAATACATGGCTTGATATACAACGCCCTGAAGCTCTTCATGGAGATGAACCAAAAGCTATTTGATGACTGTACACAACAGTTCAAAGCAGAGAAACTAAAGTGAGTTGTTCCTTTCACAAGTTACTGTTTCCAGGATTTTTTTCTTAATCCTAAGTAAACCTCTTCCACTGTTTTGTCCTAAAACGGTATTCTTCACTCGAAAGCAAAACCAAGCCTTTCATACTTGGAAAGCAAATTAAAACTGTGTTATAATAACGTATTTTGAAAGAACAGGTGTTTAAAGGTAGCTATTCTCCCCCCTTGTATTGCCAGATTAATCATCTTTGCAAAAAGTGCTTATGTAAGCAAGAATTTAACATTCAGAATTTTTTCTTTTCTTGGGCTATAATGGGCTTAAAGGCTATAATGTGTAGTCCATTTTCATGTTTATAAGGCAGGGATTTGAATTATATCCTATAAGGTTTATCCCAGAGAGCAAGAATCTTCATTTCAATGTAGCTTTATTCTGATTTAATGAACTCAGCGATGTGGGTGTTCTCTGGAATCTAGTCTGTCCTTTGCAAAATCAGGGTCCTGCCCTCGTGCCTTTGAGCCCACATGTGTCCAGGGATGATCTAAGTGACAAAGTACTTCGTCCCTAGGCTGTGCAAGTAATAATGTGATTAAATAGTTGTTGGAGGTCACTTCTTCCAAGTTGAGTATGGACTATTGGCAGATTTTATTTTTTGCTTGTCACTTAAAACTGGCTAAGGTAGATAAGCTTTGCACGAATGTAATTCAAAATACACTGTATACATATGTGTGTATCTATGTGTGTGTGTGTGTGTGTATATATATGAAACAACTGCCATTTAGTCATTCCTTAGACAAATATGTGAATATTTACCTTATACACCAGGCCCTGTTTTAGATTCTGGCAATATAGCAATGAATAAAACCCACAAAAATCCTTGCCCCTGGGCCGGGTGCGGTGGCTCACGCCTGTAATCCCAGCACTTTGGGAGGCCAAGGCGGGTGGATCACAAGGTCAGGAGATTGAGACCATGCTGGCTAACACGGTGAAACCCCATCTCTACTAAAAAATACCAAAAAAGGGCCAGGCGTGGTGGCTCATGCCTGTAATCCCAGCGCTTTGGGAGGCCGATGCAGGCAGATCACGAGGTCAGGAGATCGAGACCATCCTGGCTAACACAATGAAACCCCGTCTCTACTAAAAATACAAAAAAAAAGGCCGGGCATGGTGGCTCATGCCTGTAATCCCAGCACTTTGGGAGGCCAAAGCAGGCAGATCACCTGAGGTCAGGAGTTCGAGACAAGCCTGGCGAACACAGTGAAACCCCGTCTCTACTGAAAATACAAAAAATTAGCCGGGCGTGGTGGCAGGCGCCTGTGGTCCCAGCTACTCAGAGTCTGAGGCAGGAGAATGGTGTGAACCTGGGAGGCGGAGCTTGCAGTGAGCTGAGCTCACACCACTGCACTCCAGCCTGGGAGACAGAGAGAGACTCCGTCTCAAAAAAAAAAAAAATACAAAAAAAAATCAGCCGGGTGTGGTGGCGGGTGCCTGTAGTCCCAGCTACTCGGGCTGAGGCAGGAGGATGGCGTGAACCTGGAGGCGGAGCTTGCAGTGAGCCAAGATCACGCCACTGCACTCCAGCCTGGGCGACAGAGCGAGACTCCGTCTCAAAAAAAAAATCCTTGCCCTTTTGGGGTTTATATTCTGGGTAGTGTGGGGAAATAAAAGAACACAAAATACACCTAAGTGAACTATAGAGCATGAGAGATGACAAGTCAGTCAGGAAAGGGCCGGGGAGACAGACCAGCCATTCCTCTAGAGCTGCCAGCTGCATGGTCTGTTCTCATCTCAGCTCTCAGTGCAGTTCGCAGGTAGGAAGCATGCAAGCAGCAGGGCCTTCTGATGGCAGATCCTCCTCTCGTGGAATCCCACAGCTTTCCCAACAGGACCTTAAAGGTTGTGTAGTACATTTTCTGGGTTGAAAAACTTGGATCCTGGCCGGGCGCAGTGGCTCACACCTGTAATCCCAGCACTTTGGGAGGTTATGGCTGGTGGATCATTTGAGGTCAGGAGTTCGAGACCAGCCTGGCCAATATTGTGAAACCCCATCTCTACTAAAAGTACGAAAATTAGCCGGGCGGTAGTAGCACGCACCTGTAATCCCAGCTACTCGGGAGGTTGAGGCAGGAGAATTGCTTGAGCTCGGGAGGTGGAGGTTGCAGTGAGCCAAGATCCTGCTACTGCACTCCAGTCTGGGCGACAGAGTGAGGCCCTGTCTCAAAAAAAAAAAAAAACTTGGATCTGAGTTAAGCGATTGAAAGTCATGTGACTCGCAGTGGAGTCAGTCAACAACCCAGGTCTCCTGGCTCTTAAGACGTTTCCTTTTTAATATTATAGGAATGGGAATGCTGGCTCCTTTTACAGTACTGGTCCCTTTACACTGTACTGCATACTCGTTTTTTCAGTGGATATATGAGCTTCTTGTCAAAATTATGTGGGTCCCATGAAGAAACATCTAACCAGGGGAAGGGGGAAGGATTGAGACATAAGACGTACTTATATAAGATTTCTTTTAAGAATTCCAATCTTGGACATGTTAAATTTTTTTATATTTTCTCATGTTTAAATCTCAGTTCGTTTTTCATGCTGTGCTCAGCACGTAAGTGTGGGGAAATGGAGCAGGGGGGCTGCGGGAGGAGCCGCTGGCTGGGCTCAACATGCCTGTGCCTTTTCCCCTTCAGTGTGTTCTTGTGTCTGATGCATCTCTAACACAGATGACATTTTACTGTTTTTCAGAGAGAAGCTAAAAATGAAAGAACGGGAAGAAGCATGGGTTAAAATAGAAAATCTAGCCAAAGCCAATCCCCAGGTACTAAAAAAGAGAATAACATGAAAACGCCCAGGGTTACTTGAATGTTTTTATAAGATAGGAATATATGTCTTCACCATGGGGGGGGTCTCGATTTCACTAACGTTGTATATGAAAATGTCTGCAATAAAAAGTACTTTTAAACTTTGTAACCCTCCTTTTGTACAAGTACTTATTTTGCCCCATATCGTTTTACCACAGAATTGACTTTTTTCCTCTGCTTTTTAAATAAGATCTGAATCTTATGCATATACTGTGGTAAAAAGAAAACTTGAATACAGCCTGAGACTGTGCCTCCTCTCTCAGATATCATAGATGCTGTCACTCAAACAGCATTTCCCTTTCTTTTTCATATGAAATTAGTTCTAAAAGAAAGGAAATTAGATTGGAAATAGATTAAGTATGACGTTTTGATGTCCTCTTTCTTTGTATGAGGTTTCTGTAAGCCCAGCCTTTTATCATTAAAAATCAGCTGAATTCTGCCACATTAGCAGCCAACCCTCCTTCCCACCCCAGCAGCGGGTGCCAGTGTGCTCTGGTGAGTCTGCGCCGATGGCCGGACGTCCCGGAGCTGCCGGCAGTTCCAGCTGCCGGGGCTGCCAGGGTCCGGGAGGGTTTCCTGGTGTCATGGTCTTTGGGTTTGATGTACGCTGCTGTAAATGACTAGAGCGTTATGACAGTTTCTTCACGTTCTGTGTGCCTGATTATAACAGTGCCTCTTAAAAAGAAAATCTTTTTCAGAAAATCTTTTGTCTGAATCTTTGCCACTCTTAAGAATTCTCAAGCTTTCCTTCAACTCTCCAGAAAAGATTTTACCGAACAATGTATTTCTTTTAGTGAGAGATATGCATAGTTACCTAAGTTGGTTTTTAGATTTCTCTGACACTTAATAAAAAGTTATACATGAATATAAAGTTAAAAGTATATCTTTACCTATATAACAACATACTGGTTTGTATACTCTGATAAAACTGCAATCAGGAAACTCAAATCAGGAAAACGGAATGACATTTCTAATTGTGAGCCCTTGAGTCCACCTAAAACAGGTAGCCAGCATTTTTCTAGCAGTTATTTACTCATGCTGACAGAAATGCTGTTTTAAGATTACTGTCTAAAACTGTATAATCCTTAATTGAGGTAGGTAGCTATAGGCGTCTCCTTTTAACGAATTGAATTTATGTTGAAAGTGTGGTTAAAATACTGATATTTGTTTTAAAACATGGTAACACTATAAACCTGGGCAAGTTTATAAGGCCCAGCCCTGCCTGACGCTGCCCTGCGTGTCTTGCTTTGTTCTGAAGAGCCTCAGGCAAAGTGGGTGCTGATAGCCCTCAGGATTGTCAAGGACCCCAGTACACATGCAGTTGAAATCAGTAGCCTCGAAAACATGTGAGAAATGAATACACACACACACACAAACACACACACACGAATCAGAAGGTCTGATTTTATGTACCTAGAATATAGAGATAACTTATTGAAAAATTGCATAAAATTGTTACATTACAAATCAAGAGCTGGTTGTTTGTGTTGACAAACATGGCCCAGTTTCACTACTGCACATACTGTACGTAACCAATGTTTCTTCTGAAATACGTATTGTTCTCTTTTTTCTTTTTCTCAACTTTTCCTGAATGTTCTCAAGTAACTTTCTGTATTCTTTTTGGTTGCTCTCTTTGCAAACGTCTGTGGTGGTGGCAGGCATGCCGTGGTTCTGCATAGGAGCTTTGACGAACTGTGATGCTGGGAGCTTAGCCCTGCCTTGTCCTCATGTCTGTGTTGACGCCATCTGTGACGCAGTCCCCATGAGTCTCGTCCACATGCTCTAGTCGCATGGCACATGGTCTCCTAAACAGAAAATACTTCATGGGTCAATACCTCAGAGCTGGAAACTCTGGCCTCGTACTTGCTTCTCATTCTCAGGAGAAAATATCTAAATTCTGATCACTGCTTCCCATTACAACAGCAACAAAAAGTCAATAATTTTGTGGATAATACAGTCTGGTTATTTCTGTAGTGAAAATAGTTGGGTTTTCAAAGTTTGGTTTTCCATCTCAGATCTGCCTGTGGAGAATTGGTTTGCGGGCTTTGTTTTTAAGGTGGGTTCCCAGGGACTCGCTGTGTGTTCCCTGATGCCCCCCGTCCTTGCAGACCGAGCCTTCGTCCACTCAAACGTGTGACAGCACGTACCCAGCAGGCGTTGGGGACCCGGGAAGGCTGCGGTGCCCTCAGGAGTGTGTCTTATTTGAGCAGTTATGGCAACTTTATTGGGGTTTTTAATGTCACAGATGATTTAATTTTCTAAAATCATGAAACATTGGCAGTTTCTAACATAAATGTGTTTCTCCTAATCCATCAAAAGGGGCCATATAATATTTTACTACTCACTTCCCCCAGCTTTTGTGGGAATCATATGAAATGAAGACAGGCACTTCTGTGAGACTCAGAGTAGCTGTGGCTCAGTGTTTGCAACGACCAAAACTGCCATGAGCAACCCAGGGCAGGGTCTGGGACGGATGCCTGCCTTTCCTTCGAGAGAGGAGCTCATGTGCGGAATGCACCTCAGTGAAGGTTTTTGTTTTGGTTTGGTTTGGTTTGGTTTGATTTGGTTTGGTTTGTTTGAGATGGAGTCTTGCTCTGTTACCCAGGCTGGAGTGCAGTGGCGTGATCTCGGCTCACCACAACCTCCGCCTCCCAGGTTCAAGCAGTCCTCCGGAGTGCCTCAGCCTCCCAAGTATGCTGGGACTACAGGTGCACGCCACCATGCCTGGCTAATTTTTGTATTTTTAGTAGAGACGGGGTTTCACTATGTTGGCCAGGCTGGTCTCGAACTCCTGACCTTGTGATCTACCTGCCTCGGCCTCCCAGAGTGCTGGGATTACAGGTGTGAGCCACCGCACCTGGCCTTCAGTGAAGGTTTTTATTCCTAGTCAGAACCCTCTCCTGCCAGTGCCCGCTGTGTGAGGTTTATTTTGCTGTGAACATCTGGTAGCATTCTTGTGTAGGGACACTCTCCTTTGCCCCGAGGGCCAGAGAGCCGTGCTCCAAGCGGAGGCTGTTGGTGGGTCCCATGAAGAGCACTGCTTGTTGCCTGGAGTAGTCAAAAGCAGAAGAAGCGTTGGTGTGAAACAGTCCCCGCAAGTCTCAGGAGTCTTGCAGCCACTTAGGTTTCTGTATCTCCCACCTGACTGTGAGCCCCCTCGAGGAAAGGTGCTGTGTCCTGAATTGTGGAAATTTCTAGGGATACAAAGATGAGAACAAGACATAGCCCCCAGCCTCAGGGAGCTTACAGTCCATTAGGAGAGGCAGATGAATTCAGCTCAGATGATCAGATTGTATTAATAACATACCTGGGGGAGTGTGCTGGAGATGGCAGGACCAGCTTATTCGTTCCCATCTCTAAAGAAAGACACACACAGTACGGGGGCCTGGCCTCTTGGTTTGACTGAAGGGGCCTCACCCAGTCAGACTTGAGGGAAGGTGCCCGCGGCAGAGGTAGAGAAAAGCAGGGACACAGTGGGTGACAGGTGTCGGTCCTGGTGGGGTGTCAGTTATGGGGTGGGCCGGTGCGATCTGCTGAGAGGTGAGGGTGGAGAGGGAGCAGAATTCCCCCAAAATGTCAGCAGATATTAAAGAGCCATAAAGGGCAAAATGGCCCAGCCCGACTTGCATTTTTGCAAGCTCTTTGGCGCAGCATGGATGGAGTGCTGGGGCTGTCGGGGTAGGGTGTGGAGATGTGTGGAGATCGTGGTGCTGGGCGGAGCTGTGGGAGTGAAGGCACAGGGCGCTGAGGACCTGGTCTGACTGGCCTTCAAGGAAGGAACCCAGCTGAGGGTGTGTGCCCCGTCTGTTTTTGGGGGACGTGGAAGCCAGGTGGGCTGAGTTGAGCAGCAGGGCCTGGGCCTGGAGGCATGGAAGCCAGGGTGAATAAGGAGGGACAGAGGGTGTGGGAAAAGGCCGAAGACAGCCCACAGAGGAAGGAGCCCAAGGCACCTGGAGGAGAGGCTGGGGTCACAGAGACCGAGGGAGGGTGCAGGTTCAGGGCTGAATGATGGCGTCCATGGTCATCATTCCTCAGAGAGGCCCAGTGAGGCAAGGCCGGGAAGGGCTTAGCAGCCAGAGGGCACCCATAGGCCTCATGCCAGAGGTGGCTCCGTCAGAGGATGAGGGCCAACACCAGACGGTGGCTGAGAACGGAGCTGCTCTGGGCTGGCAGGGTGTGAGGGGCAGGGGTGAGGGGGCAGGGGGTGAGAGGCAGGGGTGAAGCAGGTCAGCAGGAGGGCGCTGCTGTGACAGGAGCTCAGCCTGAAAGAGGCCGAAGCTGTGGGACTCACTGGGCAGAGAATGGAGGGGTGTGGATGAGAGCAGCCTGGGCAGGAACCCCCGCTCCCCTCTCCTGAACTCAGAGGCCCTGAGCAAGTTCCCCAGCCCCTCCATGTCCCAGTTCCCCCATCAGCCAGGTGAGGGTGGCAGTACACACACACGACCACGCAGGACAAACAGGCGCCCCACACAGTTCCCAGCTCACAGCAGACACAGATGCCACTTCCTTCGCCTGTGCCCTCAGAGCCAGCAGACGCTCGTCACAGTCATACTGTCCTGTGCACCCTGTCTCATGGAACCCTCACAGCCACCCTCCGGGGTGACCTTACCCCCGCACTACACTCATGGAAATGGAGTCAACCAGGCCCAGTGACTGAGGGCTGAGCCATCTGTGTTTCAATCCAGAGCACAGGGAGAGTGGAGAAGTCCCAGGGCCGCCCGTAGGGAATGGAGAGGGAGCGTCAGGCTCACCCAGGCTGCGTTTGTTTTGGTGGAGAGCAAGTCACCCGGGATGTGATGAGAGGGTTTCATAAGCAAGCCGGGAAAATGGGATAAAGGGGAGAGAGAACCGTGCCAGCTGTCTCGATGAGAGGACATGATCGTGAGAGGAAAGGGAAAAGAATCATGAGGTTGGAGGTCGCTGGCAAAGAATGGGCGGCCAGAGGTGAGGGTTCCAGTGGTGAGACAGCTCCCACCACCGAGCCCAGGGTGCGACCTCGCACTTGGCTGCTCACGTGGAGTCAGAACTGCAGAGGCCATGGGGTGTGGGCCAGGGTATGGGCGGGCCACTGTCCATCAGATGCAGAGGGGTCAGGAGGGGACCAGCTGCTTTACTGTCTCCACTGAGTGCTTTCTGGTTTCAGAAGTCAGCAGCCGCATCATGTTGCAGGTGTAGGCGAGTCTCCCACTGAGTGGGCTTCCTGCGGGAGAGGGCCCTGGGGGGCGGCAGGGGAGATGAGTCCCTAGCCAGGATGAGAAGCTTGGAGTTCAGAGCCTGGGCACCTAACAGAGCGACTCCACGCTTTGCATTGCAGTACACAGTGTATAGTCAAGCCAGCACCATGAGCATTCCGGTTGCAATGGAGACAGATGGGCCTTTATTTGAAGATGTGCAGATGCTGAGAAAGACAGTGAAGGACGAGGCTCATCAGGTAAAAGTGCACCGAGCTCAGCTGGGCACCCATGACTGATTTGCTTAAGAAATGCACATTTTTGTAGGCGATGTGATTTGCATCAGTGCCTTCTGTTTAAGCTGAAATTAAAACTTAAATTTTGCTAGTCTTATAGGAAACATTGTATCGATAGATCTTAGTGATCAAATTACTAGAAACAGTTTTTAAGGATTAAGTATGTGCCTGAGATGTGTATCTCCATTTACTAACAGCAGTAGTAATCCCAACTCTTAACTGTTCTTTAAATGTTCACTCCAGCAAAATCGAAAGCTTCACAGCCATATCCACCCCTCGCTGTTTTCTTCACAGCCCTCTGGCTTCTGCTTCGACCCAGAGAGGCTCCCTTAGCTCTTCACAGCGGGTGCTAACAACCCCTCTCCCTAGGACACCTCACCCTCCTTGCCCCTCCCCCTGTCCCCTCACCCCCTTGCCCCTCCCCCCTTGCCCCCTCACCCCCCTCGCCCCGTCCCCTTCCCCCCTCACCCCCTTCATCCCCCTCGCTCCTCTGGCCCCCCACCCCTCCCCCCACCCCTCAGCCTTCTCCCCTCGCCCCCCTCATCCCCCTCGCTCCTCTCGCCCCCCCACCCCTCCCCCCACCCCTCAGCCTTCTCCCCTTGCCCCCCTCATCCCCCTCACTCCTCTCGCCCCCCCACCCCTCCCCCTCTCCCCCCTGACCCCCCTCGCCCCCCTCGCCCCCTCCCGGGCACTGTCTTTCAGTGCTTTGGTCACAGGCCACCTCCAAAGAGAGCCTCCGACCACTGTTACTCCTCAGCTGGGCCTGTAGACACTTAGGACAACTGACTCAGTTCCTGCCTGGGTTCAAGGAGCGTTTCAGCTGCCGTGTTTCCCTGAGCGTCCCTCCCTGTTTCAAATGCCTGTAAACTAAAACAGTAGTCCCAAATGGCCTGGGGACATTGGCCTTTCTCACTGAGAAACTTTAACCTCTTTTTGACCAGCGAAAGAATTCCAAAAGACATCCCCTTCTAAAATTCTGAGGTAAGAAGTGAAAGTAGGCGCCCCGCCTGTGGAGTAGCCATTGTTTTACTCCTTTACTGCATTAAATAAAATATGTTGTTTGAATGAATGCCCCCCATTTCTTTTTTACTTCTTGAATGTGACTGCTAGAAGATTCGGAATTAGCACATGGCTGACGCCATATCCCCGGCTCCTTTCCGGAGTTGCACAGGAAAGGGCTCACGGCACCAAGTCCCCACGGCAGCCACGGTCATCGGCCTCTTCTGCCCCTCTAATTCCTCAACTCAGGTTAAGAGCAAAATAGATGACTGAATGCTTTTCTTAGCTCATCAAAGCCTGAAAATACTAGAAATACAGTGGAAAAGCTCACTGAAGACTTGGAATATCAGTAACTAATTTTCTATCTAATCCAGTTGGTTCCATATTCTCCTCACCATGAATGTTCTTAGCAATGAATAGATGTCATCAAAAATATGAAAATCTGTATATATTTCTCTCTTTGTGGGAGTGTTAATGTTCTTCTTGATATTTTTTTTTAACTCAGGAATTTAAGGTTGCCTTTTTATACCATTTTGATTTTGTGGCTTCAAATTTGCTCAAGACTTGTTAAGTTGACCTTGTTACTGCACACAGAAGGAAATCACAGTCGGTGTCTCTTCTGTGAGGGAACCTGCCTGGGAGTTTGTGGCCACGTGTTCATTTTTAAGACACGAGGCTATACACAGTTAAAAAGCCAATTCTTGGCCGGGTGTGGTGGCTCACGCCTGTAATCCCAGCACTTTGGGAGGCCGAGGCAGGCAGATCACCTGTGCTCAGGAGTTTGAAACAAGCCTGGCCAACATGGGGAAACCCCATCTCTACTAAAAAATACAAAAATTAGCCAGGCTTGGTGGCAGGTTCCTGTAATCCCAACTACTTGGGAGGCTGAGGCAGGAGAATCGCTTGAACCTGGGAGGTGGAGGTTGCAGTGAGCCAAGATGGTGCCACTGCACTCCAGCCTGGGCAAGAAAAGCAAAACTCCGTCTCAAAAAAAAAAAAAAAAAAAAAAACCAATTCTTACACATTAAATAGCTTAGGGTTGGGGAATTTTTATTTTTGGTATAGCCTTTGACTTAGGTCAGAATTAAAGCTAGACAAAGAATAAACTAGGTCCAAAATGTGATGTACCTGAAAGGTGTGTGCATATTTGCAATTTAGGTCCTGCTCTGTAGTAGATCAAGAACTTGATCAAGAATGCAAACCAAAATAGCATTCTCTCCTGAGTAAAGCTGCCTTTGAAAGTCAGGCCTAGTATCTGTGTGATATTCGGGGCCCCAGAACGTCCAACTGCTTGGTCTGTCCACTGCCCTTAGAAAGGGGCACGTCCCCTCCTGGGAGGGTTACCTTATACAGTGACAGGAAGGAACCAGTCCTATGGCCATCCACGTGTCTACTTGTAAATACACACACAGGCAGGACAGTTCTTGGAGAACTCCTGTAGCATGTCTGCTTCCTTGTTTTCACAACTCTTGAAATTGTATTCTGTCACCGGGTTTCCTGTGTGACTGATATTCTTACAACAGTGATTCCCTCACCTCATCCTTAGATCTCTATGAATTATGTTCCTGAGTCAGAAGACTCAGAAGAGTCATTGGGATGTCTGTTTTCCCCAGATTAACGTGCTCTCCATTAGAATCTCAGCAGGCTTTTTATCCTCAAGAAGTTGAGAAAGCTAATTCTAAAATTCACATGGAAATGCAAAGGATCTAGAGTAGCCAAAACAACTGTGAAAAAGAACAAAGTTGGAAGACTAATAATACTATGCAATTCCAAGACTTCTTATAGTTTTTGTTTGTGTTTGGAGACAGGGTCTCACTGTGTCACCCAGGCTGGAGTGCAGTGGTGTGATCACAGCACACTGCAGCCTCAACCTCCTGGGCTCAGGCGATCCTTCTACCTCAGCCTCCTGCAGTGCTGAGATTACAGGTGTGAGGACCTGTGCCTGGCCTGACTCCTTGTAGATTTCTGTGGATCAGTTGAATCAATTGAATTCAGTTGAATTCAACCTATCCAGATGAAGGTATTTATGAAGTGCAGTCTCTAGGTGTAATATTTGAAATGATAAATTCTGCTTTTTTTTTTTTTTTTTTTTTTTTTTTTTTTGAGACAGGGTCTTGCTCTGATACCCAGGCTGGAATGCAGTGGCACAATCTTGGCTCACTGCAGCCTCGGCCTCCTGGACTCAAGCAATCCGCCCACTTCAGCCTCCCAAGCAGCAGTGACTACCGGCACCACCACACTCAGCTGATTTTTGTATTTTTAGCAGAGATGGAGTTTTAACATGTTGGCTAGGCTGGTCTCAAACTCCTGGTCTCAAGTGATCTGCCTGCCTTGGCCTCCCAAAGTGCTGGGATTATGGGCATGAGCCACCGCGCCCAGCCAATAAACTTTTCTTAAGTTGAAAAATGTTTGGAGTCGTTTTCTGGAAATTCTGAAAGCACTATGGTTAAAGCAAAAAGAAGGTACCAATTCAAGTCTGCAGTGAGCTATGATCGCACCACTGCCCTCCAGCCTGGGTGACAGAGCCAGACTCGGACTCTGAAAATTAAAAAAAAAAAGGTACCGGGATGCAGGAAAAACGTGCACAATTTGGTGACCAAATTGACGTAAGAAATGATAGCTGAAAATTAAGCTTTTTTGGTTTTTATATATAGTCATTTGATTATATTCAGTGCCCTTTTAATTTTATTTTCAGCTAACTTTATTTTTCCAAAATAATTTCACATTTCTTTGAGATGATGTGAGTGTTGGGTAGGGAGAGGTGTGAGAGGTAGTTGAAGGAATAGCTGGAGAGTGGGAAGCAGGCTCTGATGCTGATGGATGGAGTAGGCTGGATTTTTGTGGAGAAATTCAACCATGTATCTACCTATCCTTTATTTACATTTCCTTCAAGAAACTAGTATAACCCTATACAGAACATTCAAAGAAAACTAGCAAATATCATGTGAATAACATTTATATTATAGACATTTTAAATGTTTGCAATTCTCATTTTTAACAGTTGGTCGGGAGAAAAGCAGTGTCAACCACGCAAGTAAGGAAGGTGTAGAGAGACGGAAGGTGGGCAGTGCAGGCTCTCATTACTCAACGTGTAGAGCACATTGAAGGCCTGTTCTCCAGGAGAAGAATTGACGAGTTAACGTGGACATGAAGTATTTTCCCTTTTGTCCATGTCATTCCAGATTGTGATGGTCAAAACAAAGAAAGAAATTTGGCAGCTGGGAGGCCGGGCACAATGGCAGATGCCTGTAATCCCAGCACTTTGGGAGGCCGAGGCGGGCAGATCACCTGAGGTCAGGAGTTCGAGACCAGCCTGACCAACATGGTGAAACCCCATCTCTACTAAATAACAAAAAATTAGCCGGACGTGGTGGCAGGCACCTGTAATCCCAGCTACTTGGGAGGCTGAGGCAGGAGAATCGCTTGAACCCAGGAGGTGGAGGTTGCAGTGAGCCGAGGTTGCACCATTGCACTCCAGCCTGGGTGACAGAGCGAGACTCTGTGTCAAAAATAAATATAAAATAATTTTTAAAAAGAAAGAAATTTGGTGGCTGGGCACCATGGCTCACACCTGTAATCCCAACACTTTGGGAGGCTGAGGCAGGAGAATTGCTCGAAGCCAGGAGTTTGAGACCAGCCTGGGCAACACAGCAAGACCTCATCTCTAGAAAAAGAAAAAAAAAAAAAATAGCCAGGCATGTGGTGCGTGCCTGTAGTCCTAGCTACTCAGGAGACTGAGGCAGGAGGATCCCTGAAGCCCAGGAGTTGGAGTCTGCAGTGAGCTGTAATCATGCCACTGCATTCCAGCCTGGGTGACAGAGACCCTGTCTCTAATAAAAATAAAAAAAAAATTTTAAAGAAATTTGGTCCCTTAAGAAATGTTGATTATTTCTATCTGAAATTAAGTAGTAAAGTTTGAAGTTACACCTTTATAAGAGGAAGGAAACTTGCATAGCCATGTATGCCCAATGCCTGGTGTGCTTTCAGCATTTACGGTTTACATTGAGCCTTCCGGGTCTGCCCGTGGGCTGCAGAAGAGAGGCCACCTCTCTCTGACTTGTGTCTCCTGTGGTCCGCTCCGCCCCTGCCAGCATGTTCACCTGCACATCCCCTCTGCCAGGCCGTTCATCAGCCTGCCATCTGCATGCTGTCTTATTCTCCCTGCCTGCTGCTGCTCTCATTTTTTTGCCTTGTGGATGGTAAAATTATTCTCTGCTTTACACATCAATTTAAAATGTCTAAGCAGAAAGGCCCAGATATATCCACCGGTTTTCTGTCCTTTCAGAAGCTCTGGGGTCATGTTTGTGTTCTCAGTTTGCATTCACTGGTTCCAGCTCCAAGCTTTTTACTGTTGCCTTTTTCTATGAATATGTTTCTTCTCTTTGGAGTGCCTATTTCAGCTGTAATTACATATTTCAAGTATATAAAAATCTTGGTTTTGTTTTGCTTCACTTTGTTTTACAGATCAACATAGAATGGGCATAAAATTCAGGGTAGAATTTCACCTCTGGGTTGAAGGTAGACATGCTTTACATCCTCACACGTTAACACGCTCTTACAAGTACCGTGATGGGTGAGGGGACCGTGACCTTCACCATCTCCAGAGATGGATGATTCTCCTAAAACCCTCACGCTGGTTTCCAGGGAAACAAGAAACCAAAAGTCCTGCCCCTACCATGAGTGAATGTTAATATTCAAATAACATTTCTAGAAATAATCCTAAAGTGATGTGACAAAATTCTTTTTAAACCTTGACATTATTGCTGTTTTCATCGGTAAATTTGCAAAGAACCCTGCTGAGAAACACTTAGCAAAAATTTGAACTTTACATTCAGGACTTCTGCAGGTCCTTGAATTTTTCATTAAAGCGAAGGAAAATGTATTTTACATCCATGTCAAAATCAGACATCTGGAATTTGTAAGGCGTTTTTACGCTTACGTTCTTTTTGTTGTCAAAAGACTGACTTAAATTTTGTCTGCTAGACATACCACAAAAGTAACTTAGTCTTTTTCAATACACTGAACAAAAAGGAAGACTTAATTTTGGTGAAGAAACTTTATCCAGAAAAGTTTCTAACTAATTGGCAGTCAGTCTTCTGGCATATACATCATGTTTGGGTGATTTAGATGGTTTATTGTTTTGTTTCAGAATATTGGTATTAACACAGTGTCTCTACTTTTAAACTGAATTATGTGTTTATTCATGGAAATGGATGCTTTTGATATGTAAACTCTCCAAATTAAGTTTCCCTTTTATTGCAGATACAGTTATCCAAATCCTCATGCAAAAATGGGATTCACTTAATTTTTTTTTAAGTGAAACCAAAATTTCCTAGACTTTAGAAAGACAATGGATTGGAGAAGAGAGTATATATTTTTTTCAATTTGATAGAAGTTTGAAATCCAATTTAAATATGTTTTTTATTCATTCTTTTTCTTTACCTCCAAGGAAATTTCTACATCTTTTTTTTTTTTGAGATGGAGTCTGGAGGCCCTGTCACCCAGGCTGGACTGCAGTGGTGCAATCTCGGCTCACTGCAACCTCCACCTCACGGGTTCAAGCGATTCTCCTGCCCCAGCCTTTCAAGTAGCTGGGATTACAGGCGCGCGCCACTACACCCATCTGATTTTTGTATTTTTAGTAGAGACGGGGTTTCACTATGTTGGTCAGGCTGATCTTGACCTCTTGACCTCGTGATCCGTCCGCCTCGGCCTCCCAAAGTGCTGGGATTACAGGCATGAGCCACCGCACCCAGCCAGAAATTTCTGCTTCTTGAAATGCTTCTGTAGGGGACATGCCCATGAAATGGCTTTAATGACATTTATGAAATAGGAGGTTACTTAGGAAATTTACTAAAATGCATGAATTCTGCAAATTAGAGGTACTGAGTCCTTTGTACAAGCACTGCACATTTCAGAAGACCAGAATGCCAGTATTGAACACACAGGTCCTCAAACGAGTCACGATTTTTAGTAGCAAGACATTTTTGGCAAATTTCCATGATAAGACCTACGCCGTTTCCCTGTGGCCAGGGTGCCGCCAGCGAGTGGGTGAGGCACACGTGCCTCGCGGTTATCCTTTGACTTCCACCTCAGAAGTAAGCTTGCTTTTCAGATAGCTTAGTTTGTAGCCAACGCCATTGCATTTCTAATTCCAGGCACAGAAAGATCCGAAGAAGGACCGTCCTCTTGCACGCCGCAAGTCCGAGCTGCCTCAGGACCCCCACACCAAGAAAGCCTTGGAAGCTCACTGCAGGGCCGATGAGCTGGCCTCCCAGGACGGCCGCTAGCCTCCGGGGCGCCGCGTCGGGGCCGGGCCCGCCAGTTCTTTTCCGGATTCTGTAGAAAATACATACTTCCTGTGCCATACCAATCAGTTACACTCAAAGCTTTCTTGGACCCCGTTCCGTAGGCAATAACGTGCGTCCGCCTCAGCGCGAGATTAGGAGTTCAAACAATGGTGACTTCCCAGAGCCCGCTGGCAGAGCCGCGGGTTGACGACGGTGTCCTCGCAGTGTCGCCGCCACCCCAGCGTAGTCCAAGTCAGACTATTTCACAAAGTCAGAGCGATAGGAAAGCACCCTGCCCTTCATCTTCATGTTCTCCCAAATGGAACTTAGGATCTTTTAACATAGGTGGTTCTGTGATAACATCAGTGTTTTCCAAATCAAAGGAACGCTTTAAAAAATAGGACCTATTTTTTAAGACTTTACAGCCTTTGAAATGGTTTCCACGTGATTGTTACGCCAGCAGTTCTCGTTTTGTTTGTTTTTCAATCTCAGTGAAATGGCTCTTTGCTTTCGAGTTCTCACGCAACGTACTGGGCAAATGACAATCCTCAGCCGCTGGTATTTTCTAAGGGGTCTCTTCACTTTGATGAGTGACATGAACACCGTGTCTCCTTCTCTTGTGTGTACCTAAAGCCATATTTCCAAGTCTGTGGTACTCCAGGATTCCAGGAGTAAGCCTGTAGAAGAGATTTATTTTAAAAGAGATTGCTCTGAAATTTATCTTAAAAGAGCTTGCTCTGTCTACCTTGACAGAAATTGGAGTTTTAAAATTATGTGTTAATATTTTTATTTGCAGATTTCGTTTCCGTCAACTTAAACATTGTT
The DNA here is from genome assembly GCF_000001405.40 of Homo sapiens. Classification (NCBI taxonomy): domain Eukaryota; kingdom Metazoa; phylum Chordata; class Mammalia; order Primates; family Hominidae; genus Homo; species Homo sapiens. The sequence goes on from NC_000014.9 coordinate 101,926,098, forward strand.
GCCCTTCAACAAGGCTCTTGAATTAATAAAATTATAGTCTCTAAGAATTCCACATTTTATGGAAAGTTAGAGCAAAATCATTTTGAGTTAAGCCAGTTCTTAGCCTAATGCAAACTGCAGCGCCTTTAAGCATAAAGTAACACAACAGCATTGCACGGGGCCGGCACTGCCGCTGCCTTCACTGAAGGCTGCAGTGCTGTTCTGAGAGCTTGGAGGAGGCACCAGCGAGGATGACGTTTAGTGGAGCTCTTTCTGTTGAAAAGAGCTCACGTTATCAACACCTTGTAAGGAAAATACAGTGTCTGAGTTTTCATCGGTCTTCACATGCTGCTATATATTCCACAGAGTTCCTTGCATGTACTGAGCTTTTGTTTTAGATGGAATAGCACAAGGAGAAAAATCTTTAAACTTAGTGCTTTGTCTATTCTTTATTTCTCTCAGGGTGGCCAGTATTTTGACTTATTTATCCTGCTTGAAAGCTACTTGAGATGTGTACTGCTATTCTAAACACGTGATCTAGTTTCTTTCATCTCTGGCATAAGATTATATAACTTAATGTTAAGTGTCTTGAGGCATAAAAGACAAAATGTGGCTTATTTTAGGATCTGTTTTTTCATCGAGGTCTCGGGTATCCTTTCAAAGATAGTGAGAAGCAGACACTGCTCCTTGTGCAGCTCTGGTACCTCCTGCCCACTGCTGTCACTTCAAGCCACTGGCAATGCTTCTGTCCTCGTGTCTTGGAGGAAAATCACCTGGGGGGAGGGGACTTCTTGTGGTAAGAGCAAGTGCAGGTATGAAATGCGAAGATTGCCCCAGCTAAAAGTGGACAAGTCCGCTTTGTGAGATGAATACTTCCTGAGAAACTTGACAAGTATCTCTCCATTTTACCATTATGAAAACTATCATTAAAAAAAACAGTTTAGATGCCTTCTCCTTTTGAGGGAAAAAGGGTGCTTTTTATTGTATAAAGCAGCGTCTTATGTATTTTGATATACCATTGTTTGAACTTCCGTCTTTAGCTGATAGATTCTCAAATATCCTTGATTTTGGATGTTCAGTATGTTTGTGAGAGAGGTTTCTGGGAAGACTCTCTTTTTGCCCTCGGGAAAAAGCAAAATATCAATGTTTGGGTGACTGTGTAAAGCTCAGTGTGTAAGAACATCTTTTTGTCTAGGTTTTCTTTCTGCTCTTTATTGAAGACAAACACTCACCAAAAAGAAAAATAAAAGTTTTCAGAGAAACTAATTTTCTTTGGCAAGAGTATTACTTAATATTTTGGCCTCCTAAAGTTTCCCTAGTTAGTACTCGGACTCCTGTGCTAATTGTCAGCTTACATATCATTGTATAGAGACTGTTTATTCTGTACCAAACTGATTTCAAAAGTACTACATTGAAAATAAACCGGTGACTGTTTTTCTTCATAAAGTTCTGCGTTTGGCATCTTCACTCTTTCCAAAATGTATCTGTACATCAGAAATGTCACTATTCCAAGTGTCTTTTTAGTGTGGCTTTAGTATGGCTTCCTTTTAATATTGTACATACATTGTATCTTTGTTTTATGGTAATAAGTAATAAAAATGTAGACTTCATATTTTGTACAAAATGTCCTATGTACAGAATAAAAAAGTTCATAGAAACAGCAAATATAGGTAAGTGGCACAATTATTTTTCTTTAGAAAATATCTGTAACTTTATGCATTAGTGAAATGTTAAGTACCGACATATTTTTTAACATTTTGTAATTCAAAACTTTTTGTTTTGACATTGTTTATGAAGAGAAACTTCATACACTTGCCATTTAATATGCTCTTTTATCTAATTTTCAAAAACTCTAAAAAACGGTGTATCATATGGACTAAATAAAGAACATGTGAATTTTATTGCTCATCATGAAACTAAATTTAGCCATGGTGTTGAGCAAGCTGGCTCTGACGTTATCGGGTTCCCGTTAGGTCAGGGCCGCCCACACACAGGGACGCTGACTGCAGAGGGGCTGGCCATCTCCATCCAGCCCGCCTGGAGCGCTGGCTGCGCCAGATGCTAGCCACAGCTGTTCAAAGCTAAGTCTATCCACTGATTTTTTTACTTACTTAGTGGAAAAGGCAGTGTGACTTTTTATAGACCGCCTCTTGGTTTGGTTTGGGTTTTGGGGCTTTTTTTGAGTAAGAAAAGGTGAATCAATACAATTTATAGAAATGAAAGTCTTGAAAATAGGGAATTGCTGAAAGTATGAATTTAGGATCCTAGTTCGCCCACCTCCTCCTCAGTGGAGAGATCATTATCCTCGCTGATGCTCTTGCGAGAAGCCCATGGAAACAGGACTAAAGTGTTATCTGCTCGTGTCGTGGTTATAACCTCACCTCTCCATAGCTGCGTGTGGTCAGCACGCCGGCTGGCGTGGGAGGGCAAGCTCTGTGCTTAGCTTCCTTCTCTACCCAGTGGCGTCTGTGCTCCCTTCGCACTGACAGAGGTGCAGACGCCGTCACTCTGCAGCTGGGGGCACGTGGACGAGGCTGAGACCCAGGCAGAGTGTGGCCTTCGCCCAAGGGTCCGGTAACTTTGCTGGCTGTTTCGAAGAACCGCACATGCCCCACTTCCACCTAAAAGTGGACTCGCCAGCCAGAAGACTTCACATCCTGCACCGCTACTCACGTCGATGTTTCCGCAGACTAGATGCTCGCCCGCTGCGGTCCTTATCCCTCATCTTAAAATTGGAGGAAACCTGGTGTTTAGTAACTTCCTACAGCACGAGAGTTCGAGAGGACTCACTCACAGAGGCATGCTGCGATTTCAGCCCAGCTGCATGCTGCTGCTATTTTGGGGTAGCAAGAAGCATAAAGGCAAAACTGTACTGGCTTCGTGTCTCCTTCCGTGAGGGTTGGCAGCACCCATCAGCAGTAATGACAAGGAGAACTCATATTTCTTAGCACTGCCTTTATGCCAGGAGCTGTGGTGGGTGCCTCATTTCCCTGGGTTAATTTACTTAGTTCTCACAACCCACCAAATAATTTACTACTATTATCCTCATTCACAAATGAGGAAACTGAGGCACACAAAGGTGAAGTCACTTGACCGAGGTCACACAAATATTGAGTGGAGCCAGGTTTCGACCCAAGCAGTGTGGCCTGGGGTCCAAGCCCCGACCGTCATGTTACATGGTGGAAATGCCTTCTAGATGGGCAGCATCATGGGTGACGGTGAACACAGGTGAGGGCCTGGGGACATGCCCGCAGCACCACGCCAGGCCATAAGGAACACACCCAGGTGGACAGTGTGAAGTTACGGTATTGTCAACCTAAAGGAAGAAACTGAGACAAATTAATATAGGGAGAGGCCAGGCCCCACGGCTCATGTCGGCAATCCCAGCTACTCAGGAGGCTGAGGTGGGAGGATCACTTGAGCCCAACAGGTTGAGACTGCAGTGAGCCGTCATCTCACTACTGCATGCCAGCCTGGGCGACAGAGCAACACCTTGTCTCAAAAAGAAAATACAGGGAGAGAGCTTATTTGGGCCAAGGTTGAGAGCTGCGGCCTAGGAAACACTTCCAAGTTGCCTTGAGAAATGCTCTGGGGGAGAAAAAGAGAGGCTTCTGCATTTAAAGGAAAAAGGACGGATCAGGAAAGGGGCAATTACTCAAGTTGTTTTTCAGGAGTTCTCATTGGTTGACAGAAACACTTGGTTAGTTCTCATAGGTTGACAGAAACACTTGGTGAATGATTGGCTATACATTGTTGAACTACAGGCCACGAGTTACCGTGTCCAACGTGGCATTTTTAGCTACATGGCGTAGCTATTGGTACCAGTCTGGAACCCACACAGCAGGTTTCAGGAGACGATCTCCCAAGGCAGGAGGGGGAGTGGGGCGTGGCTGCTGTCTCATTCCAGTGCCTCTGGGCCTGATCGCTGAAAGGGGGCTCACCTTCCTCAGGTAAAAAGTGTTTCCTTCTTATCCTGAACTCCAGGTGAAACCCTTGCATCTGCATTCACCACCACTTGACACAGGAGAACCCCGGGCCCTGCAAGGTCGAGGGGTGACCACGGTCATGGGCCCCAGGGTCTGTCCTTCATGACCATTGCCCCATGGAGACACCCAGGGCCGCCCGGAGCCCATGCTCAGCCCCGATGTTGCATTGGGGAAGCAGCCCCTATAGAGACAGTGTCAAGGGATAGCTGTGACAGCTGTGGGCTCTGATGGTGCACTTGACCCCAGAACCAGAAGAGCTTGATTCCAGTCCAGTGGCTCCCGTTCCTCGGAGGCTATTGTTTTTTTGTTTTGTTTCGTCTTGTTTTGTTTTTGAGACAGAGTCTCACTGTGTCGCCCAGGCTGGAGTGCAATGGCGCGACCTCAGCTCATTGCAACCTCTGCCTCCTGGGTTTAAGCAGTTCTCCTGCCTCGGCCTCCGGACTAGCTGGGATTACGGGCGCCCACCACCACACTCAGCTAATTTTATATTTTTAGTAGAGACGGGGTTTCACCATGTTGGCCAGGCTGGTCTCAAACTCCTGACCTCAGGTGATCTGCCCGCCTTGGCCTCCCAAAGTGCTGGGATTACAGGCGTGAGCCACCACGCCCAGCCTGAGGCTTTTGTTTTTATGTAAGTTTAGATTTTATAAAACTTTTTTTTTTTTTTTGAAACGGAGTCTCACTCGGTTTCCCAGGCTGGAGTGCAGTGGCGCGATCTTGACTCCTCACAACCTCCGCCTCCCAGGTTCAAGTGATTCTCCTGTCTCAGCGTACCAGGGAGCTGAGATTACAGGCCTGTGCCACCACACCCAGCTGATTTTTGTACATTTAGTAGAGGTGGGGTTTCGCCATGTTGGCCAGGCTGGTCTCCAACTTATGACCCCGTGATCCTCGTGCCTCAGCCTCCCAAAGTGCTGGGATTACAGGTGTGAGCCACCACGTCCAGCCTGAGGCTTTTGTTTTTAGGTAAGTTTAGATTTTATAAAACGTCAGCATTTTTTTAAACAAACGTGCTAAATTTCAGCATATTTGGAGACCACCAACACATTAGCCTCTGTTCTCATTATATTACTAATGTGAACCTATAAAATTATCAAAAATTCAGCTCTTATTTAACATGTAGTTTTATATAAGATTTCATTTGGAGGAAAAAAAATGGATTCTACTGTCAAAAAGTTTGAAATGTACTAAGCTTAATTCAGTTCCTTTTTTAGAGACAGGAATAGACCTAGAGGTGCAGAGATGGGCCCAAACTGACTGGAAGCCAAGTGCCCCCTACTCTCATAAGACTTTCTGCTTCGTATGAAAAGCATGATGTAAATTCCACAGAACTTGGGGGTGGGGGTGGGGGCAGGGGCCACATAAAAACTCCATAATCTCTAGAATTCCTATTTTCCTACTTACAGGTCTTACTGGTCATGTCTGGTGTAGGGTGGTTGCTCTTGAGGGGCTTTTAGAAATACACAGCTAAGGGCACAGCAGGGGAGCCCTGATTTTTAACAAATCCAGAATTGTATTTAAAAAAAAATACACAGGTAAATAAACAAGCTGGGGCTGGCCCAGGTGTACTGATTTGTGTACTTTTATAGGATAATATATAACAAATTGATTACTGGCCAATCCAAGAGGGGTTTTTGTTTATGTTTTGGGGCCTTTGTTTTTAGAGATGGCTTCTTGTTGCCCAGGCTAGCCTCAGACTCCTGGACTCAAGCGATCCTCCTCCCAAGTAGCTGGGACCACAGGCCTGTGCCACCACACCTGGCAATCCAAGAGTTTTTTGACCTATCTTCTTAATTTCTGTAAAAGCAATCAGTAACAGATACTGTTGGTGAACGAATACGCAGCACAGCTGTGATGGAAAAAGAATAGTGGAGGGGGAATGAGGAGAACCAGTGCTCAGGAGCCCCAGAGATGCTAAATGGGCACTTTACAGCCAACAGCGCTGCTCAGGTGCTTCTGCCTCCCAGAAGTGTCTCTCTCACACACACACACACACACCTGGCCACCCCCAAATCAGAATATGGATCAGAGGGGGTGCCAAGCAAGGGGAGGATTAGGCTGGATCCTGGCGCTGAAGCATAACATTGAGAAGCCAAAGGCTGCCATTCTCCCCTGCTCCTCTCTCCCTCCCTTTCTCAGGTGTGGTGGCCTCATCCATCTTCATTTCTGCCTCCAAAACAAGGCTCCCTTCCTGCTGGCGAGCCCCCTGCTGACTCTCCCTTGGGTTCCCCTCTGTGCGCTGCCCTGAGCCGGAGCTTCCATGTCTAATGCAACGCAGGTGAGCCCGTCCGCCAGGTACTTCTTGGGTGTTTAGGTGCCTGTTGAAAATGGGTCCTCAATTGGCCGGGCGCGGTGGCTCACGCCTGTAATCCCAGCACTTTGGGAGGCCAAGGCGGGCAGATCACGAGGTCAGGAGATCGAGACCATCCTGGCTAACACGGTGAAACCCCGTCTCTACTAAAAATACAAAAAATTAGCCGGGCGTGGTGGCGGGCGCCTGTAGTCCCAGCTACTCTGGAGGCTGAGGCAGGAGAACGGCGTGAACCCGGGAGGCGGAGCTTGCAGTGAGCCGAGATGGCACCACTACACTCCAGCCTGGGCGACAGAGTGAGACTCCGTCTCAAAAAAAAAAAAAAGAAAAAAGAAAATGGGTCCTCAATCAAAGAGTGACCCCCAGAGTGAGCGCCATGCCTGAGGCTTAGAGCAGGGTCACCTCCTCCTTTCAAACAGGAATCCATGCTGAGGCTGGAGCCTCTTTAGACCCACGTGGCCCCACAGCCCACAGAACCAAGGCTGACCCCAAGGCTTGAGCTAAAGCAAACAGTCACGTATATCACGTGTTGCTATCAGATGACTTGTGAGAAGCTGCCTTGTTTCCAGTGCTATCAGAGCCCAGGTGATTCTCTAGCAAATGCTTTGCCGGGAAACCTGGAGGTTTCTTCTTTCGGGATTGCTTCTTTGTGAGTTTCAAACAGAGTAAAATAAAAAGTCTGCCACAGAAAATTGACATCATAATTAAAGGCCCAGAGGTCGGCGTGAGACTGGCATGAGGGGCAGAGGAAGGACATGGGGCCCACCCGGAGTCTCCGACCACCCCCAGGCTCAAGAGTTCCCTCTAAGGACTCACGGAAGTGAGTAAAGCTGTCGGACACACGGCTACAATTATGAGAGTGAACGGACACTGATGAAAATCAGCAACAGGACAAGATGCACAAGGCAGGGCCATCCAGGAGATAGCGGGCTCTGCTCAGAGCTGCCAGCCGTCCTCTCCCCGTGGAGCCCTGCGGCGCGCTGGCTTCTCCTGGTGACGGTGTGCACCAGCTCGCATGGAGTATCGCCAACCAGGGAAGCTCGCCCGAGCCTTGGCGTCCACGGTTTTACTGGTTAATCATGTGTACATGGTGGCCTCAGTGTCCAGCCCCTCCAGAGGTGGGGCCATCCTGTGTGGCCCAAGACCCCCAGCATAAATCACGTTTGCCTAGACTGTCCAGCAGGGCCCAAGGCCCCCAGCTAAACAAAGCCACTCTCACCAGGCACAGCATGCCAAGGGCCTCTCGGCTACTGCAAAGCTGGAGAAAAGGCCAGACTTCTCTTTGGACAAGGTTGAACCTTTACTGAACAGCTGTCCTCCCCACAAGAGGAACTAGAGCACAGAGGGGCTCATCTGCTGGGCCAAGGTAGCTAAGGGCAATGTGAGGGTCTCACAGTCAACCCAGGACCTCCCTAACTCAAAGCTCTTCCCTAACTCAAAGCTCTTCCCGCTACACAGCAAGAAGAAGGGACTTCCCAGCTAAATGGTGACATCTGCTTTCCACTGAATCTGAGAAAGGAGAAGCTTCCAGAATGAGACTAAATAATTTGCAGAGGAGAAGGAACAGAACTTGCCTTCAGAATGTGGACCACTCCCCGTAACTCAGAGACAAAACAATCCCATACCTTGAAGTAGCTTGGAGATGAGCTTTATTTTATATCAACATTAATACATATGGGTATACCTAGCTTTATTTCCCCCCTCAACTTAGAGTCTGAATGTGTGGTAAGCATGTTCATCGCTGGATAAGCATCTGGTATGGTCTAATCGGCAATAAGTAGGGGAGTGGGGGCCGGGCGCCATGGCTCACACCTGTAATCCCAGCACTTCAGGAAGCCGAGGTGGGCGGATCACTTCAGGTTAAGAGTTTGAGACCATCCTGGCCAACACGGTGGTGAAACCCGGTCTCTACTAAAAATACAAAAAAATTAGCCAGGTGTGGTGGCAGGAGCCTGTAATCCCAGCTACTCGGGAGGCTGAGGCAGGAGAATCGCTTGAACCCGGGAGGCAGAGGTTCAGAGGTTGCGGTGAGGTGAGATTGCACCATTGCACTCCAGCCTGGCAACAGAGCAAGAGTCCGTCTCAAAAAAAAAAAAAAAAAAATAGGTGTGGTGGTGCACGCCTGTAATACCAGCTACTCGGGAGGCTGAGGCAGGAGAATCACTTGAACTCGGGAGGTGGAGGTTGTAGTGAGCCAAGATCGCGCCACTTCACTCCAGCCTGGGTGATAGAGTGAGACTTCATCTCAAAAAAAAAAAAAAATGTAGGGGAGTGGAAAGTTTTCAGGGAACCCAAGAGCCTGAGTCTTCCTGAATGAGCTCTCCAGCAAGGTGAAAGCCCAGCAGAGTCTCCGGTGGGCAAAAATCTCAGGCAGAAGAAACTTCTGTGACTGCATTCACTTATTCATAAGAGAACACCCACGGCCCCACTGCCCCAGCTGAGGATGAGGAAAGCAACCACAGCTGCCGCTCTCACTAGCTTCTTTCTCCAGCCTAGAGACTGGCGTGACTCCATCTCGCCGTGAGGTGCCCAGGGTGGGAGAAGACCTCATGGCCATGGTGGGCAGCCCGTGGCTTTATGAGTGAGGACAGCCAGGAGCACCGAACCCCAATACCCGGAACACTAGCACAGCAACAGTGCCAGGCAGACCCCAATCTCTCAATTCCTGGCCCCGCACTTGCGTCAATATGGTACCGCAGTGAGACCCTACATCTGCTCCACCGAGGCTGACCCTGGAACCAGTGCTGGATCTCTGATGACTAGGAGGACCCGGTGGTTACCAGGGTCCCACAGCCAGTCTGCAGACCTGCCCAGGCATGACAGTGTTTCCATGTCCTCATCAAAACGAGAGAAAAGACGGCTGGGTGAGGTGGCTCATACCTGTAATCCCAGCATTCTGGGAGGCTTAGGTGGGAAGACAGCTGGAGCCTAGGGGTTCAAGACCAGCCTGGGCAACACAGTGACACTGACCCTGTCACTACCAAAAAAATAAATTAGCTGGGTGTGGTGGCGCGTTCCCACAGTCCCAGCTACATGAGAGGCTTGAGGTGGGAGGATCAATTGAGCCCAGGAAATTGAGGCTTCAGTGAGCCGTGCACTTCAGCCTGGATGACACAGCAAGACCCTGACTCAAAAACAAGAGAGAAGAGCAATGGAATGGGTTCCTCTGGAAACTCAATTTGAAGAAGGACCCTTTTTCTGACATGCTCTTCCTCTGCTTTTAGCATTGAAATATACCTTTGGAAATGGCAAGTGTAAATACGAGTTTCTTTTATAATTCTCCGCTTGAAAAAAGTCGGCAATACCGTTTTAAAATTTGAACAGTATGATAATGCTGATCGGCCTCCAGACCAATGAAATCTCAAATTCTAGGAACCCCTGGTCTAGTTCAAACCCTGGTTTTACAGAAAATGAAATAGAGAAATAGGAAAGCCCCATAACTGGCGAGCCAGCCCCTGTTGTGTATCTAATAAGATCTCACAGAGTTAGCCGGGCGCAGTGGCTCATGCCTGTTATCCCAGCACTTTGGGAGGCCAAGGCAGGTGGATCACTTGAGATAAGGAGTTCGAGACCACCTTGGCCAACATGGTGAAACCCCATCTCTACTAAAAAACAATACAAAAAATAAGCTGGGCATGGTGGTGCACCCCAGTAGTCCCAGCTACTCGGGAGGCTGAGGCAGGACAATCGCTGGAGACAGAGGTTGCAGTGAGCTGAGATTGCGCCACTGCACTCCAGCCTAGGTGACAGAGTAAGACTGCGTCTCAAAAAAAAAAAAAAAAAAAATTCACAAAGTTGTGCATTCGTGGGTAGTACTGTATCTTGACTACCATTTGGTTTCTTTCTAGATTGTGAATTTCTTTAAAGTCTCTAGGAAAATGAGGCCGGGCGCGGTGGCTCACGCCTGTAATCCCAGCACTTTGGGAGGTCGAGGTGGGTGGATCACAAGGTCAGGAGTTCGAGACCAGCCTGGCCAATATGGTGAACCCTCGTCTCTACTAAAAGTACAAAAAAATTAGGCGGGCATGGTGGCACGTGCCTGTAATCCCAGCTACTTGGGAGGCTGAGGCAGAAGAATCGCTTGAATCCGGGAGGCAGAGGTTGCAGTGAGCCGAGATCATGCCACTGCACTCCAGCCTGGGCGACAGAACGAGATTCTGTCTCAAAAAAAAAAAAAAAGTCTCTAGGAAAATGCACAATTGAAAGATTTATTTGAGACAGGCAATGGACCTCCTGTAGAAATGCTTTACTTTACCAAGTAAAAATTCAGATATTTCTTACATAGAAAACATTTCCCATATTAAAAAGCTAAATTTTGGTCAGGTGCAGTGCCTCATGCCTCTAATCCCAGCATTTTGGGAGGCCGAGGCAGGAGGATCACAAGTTCAGGAGTTTGAGACCAGCCTGGCCAATATGGTGAAACCCTGTCTCTACTAAAAAAAATACAAAAATTAGGTCGGGCGCTGTGGCTCACACCTGTAATCCCAGCACTCTGGGAGGTTAAGGCGGGCGGATCACAAAGTCAAGAGATCGAGACCATCCTGGCCAACATGGTGAAACCCCATCTCTACTAAAAATACAAAAATTAGACGGGCGTGGTGGCGGGCACCTGTAGTCCCAGCTACTCGGGAGGCTGAGGTGGGAGAATCACTTGAACCCGGGAGGCGGGGGTTTCAGTGAGCTGAGATTGTGCCACTGCACTCCAGCCTGGGCAACAGGGCAAGACTCCATCTCAAAAAACAAACAAACAAACAAAAATTAACCAGACATGGTGGTGTGCACCTGTAATCCCAGCTACTTGGGAGGCTGAGGCAGGAGAATCACTTGAACCCGGGAGGCGGAGGTTGCAGTAAGCCAAGATCGTGCCACTGCACTCCAGCATGGGCAACAGAGCAAGACTCTGTCTCAAGAAAAAAAAAAAAAAAAAAAAAAAAAAAAAAGCTAAATTTCTCAAGATACTTGAGAAAAGATCTTTGGAATCATCTTCAGTCTGCCATACACGATGTACCAGAAATGCTCAGTCATTTATAGCCACACGTTTTCTATTTTTCACAAAGTGCCCTAGAATAAATAAATAAGAAGTGGCCAAGCTTGGTGGCTCACGCTTGTAATCCTAACACTTTAGGAGGCCGAGGTGGGTCGATTGCTTGAGGCCAGGAGTTCAAGACCAACCTGGCCAACATGGCAAGGCCCTGTCTCTTTAAATAAAAAAATATATATATATATATTTTTTTTTAAAAAAGAAGTACCCATGTTTTCCACAAGTTGACCTTGAAAAACTAGGGTGTAAAAAGTCAAATCTGGCTGGACACGGTGGCCCATGCCTGTAATCCCAGCACTTTGGGAGGCCAAGATGGGCAGATCCCCTTGAGCCCAGGAATTCAAGACCAGCCTGGGCAACATGGTGAAACCCTGTATCTACAAAAAAAATAAAAATTAGCCAAATATGGTGGCACACACCTGTAGTCCCAGCTACTCAGGAGGCTGAGGTGGGAGGATCACCTGAGCCTGGGAATTCAAGGCTGCAGTGAGCCAAGATTGCGCCACTGCACTCCAGCCTAGGCAACAGAGTGAGAACTTGTCTCAAAAAAATAAAAAATAAAATCCAACCCCCTTGGGTGAGGATTTGACCCAAATGAAGACAGTGAAAAGAATTTCGATCAACAGGTATCTGTGGGGTGGCACATGCGGGCACTGGGGCCTCAGTATGCCCTGGACAGCATCACCCTCTGGGTAGACAGAGTGGACGCCCACAGCATAGAGGGGTCAGTGCTGGCAGCATGGGCCACACTTGCCCACCCCCTCCCAGCCCAGTCCCTGAGATCTTCTTCACCCAGGAACTGACACCACCACCCAGCAGACTCATCAAGCCAGAAACCCGGAGGTTGGCCATGATTCCTCCCTTCCTAGGATTCTTAGATCCTAGAGATTGCACCTTAGCCCAGCCTTGCTCTCCCACCCCAGCCCTGCCCCTTCCCTAGTCTGCAGTGACAGCTTTCTCTCCAGAACGTGTTAAAATAGAGATCACGTCGCCCTCTTGCTTAAAACCCTCGAGTGGCTTCACATGGCACTTAAATAAAGCCTGAGCCCTCCCCATGCTGACCTCTGCAGCCATGGCCAGCTGTGCTCCCACTGGTCCATCACTGGTTTCTGCTTCTCACCCACCAACCTCCTTCCCGCCCCAGTGCCTTTGCACACGCTGTCACTGTCACTTCCTACTTCTAGCCCCCGAAGTGGCGGGGCTGACTGTTTTCAACCTGCAGGTCTAAAATGCAATGGTTTCTCTCGAAAGGGGCCTTCTCTGACCACTGTCCTGAAATTGGGAACCCCCCATCCCCTTACTCTCTGTCAGGGCACCCCATTTTCATCAGAGCCCTGGTACAATTTGTCATTTCATTTATTTCTTAGTAAAGTGCCTCCACTACAAGGCAAGGAGCTCATCTGCTTTTTCTTGGAGGTGTCTCCAGTGCCCAGCTCCATCCCCAGTGCAGACGGGACAGCTTGCTCAGCTTGTGAAGTGAATGAGGTGTGAAGAGCAGGATGCACATACGCAGTGACTGTGCCTGAAGAGGGCAGAGCCGTGGGAGAACACTCGCTCATCCCAATGTCTGTGGACCGTGCCAATAACGGCGGTGAACCCAATGCAGATGCCCCTGCTTCCATGTCCTGAGACAGTCCAGCAAGTCAGGTTCCATGGCAGGAAGCCAGCACCGCAGTGGGGAGAGGTTAGGGCACTGCAGGGAGGCTTCCCACTGGGCTTCCCCCAATGAAAGTGGAGAATGTCCCAAGCAAGAGGACCCGTGCAAAGACCCGAAGATGAGGGGGGCTGGAAGATTTGCCAGGGTTTGGCTCACAGAGTAGCAAAGAAAAACAAGGAAAAACTACTTATGACAATTATATACATACAGAAGGCTTCACAGGTAAATCAAATCTATCCATCCAACCTTTTTTTTTTTTTTTAAGATGGAGTCTCGCCCTGTCGCCCAGGCTGGAGTGCAGTGGCGCAATCTGGGCTCACTGCAACCTCCGCCTCCCGGGTTCACACCATTCTCTTGCCTCAGCCTCCCGAGTAGCTGGGGCTGCAGGCACCTGCCACCACGCCCGGCTAATTTTTTTTGTATTTTTAGTAGAGATGGGGTTTCACTGTGTTAGCCAGGATGGTCTCGATCTCCTGACCTCGTGATCTGCCCGCCTCAGCCTCCCAAAGTGCTGGGATTACAGGTGTGAGCCACCGCGCCCGGCCAATTTTTTGTATTTTTAGTAGAGACAGGGTTTCACCATGTTGGCCAGGCTGATCTTGAAATCCTGACCTCAGGTGATCTGCCTGCCTCAGCAGGCAGATAGAAAAAATATTTTTTTACAAAAGTAAAATAAAAAAAGAAACGTAATCCCCAGTGCAACAGTGCTGGGAAGTGTAGCCTTTGGGAGGTGACTGAGTCATAAGGGCTCTGCTCTCATGAGTGGGATTTGATGACCTTATAAAAGGGCTTGATGGAGACAGTCTGACTCTTTTCACCCCTTTGCCACGTGAGCACACAGAGTTCATCCCTTCAGGAGTGCACAGCAGTCAAGACACCATCTTGGAAGGTGGGGCCAGGCCCTCACCAGACAACAAATCTGCTGGTGCCCTGATCTTGCACTTCCAGCCTCCAGAACTGGGAGCAATAAAGGTCTGTTCTTTTTTTTTTTTTTTTTTCTGGAGACAGAGTCCCACTCTGTCGCCCAGGCTGGAGTGCAGTGGCGCATCTCTCTGCTCACCACAACCTCCGCCTCCCAGGTTCAAGTGATTCTCCTGCCTCAGCCTCCCAAGTAGCTGGGATTACAGGCATGCGCCACCATGCCCGGCCAATTTTTGTATTTTTAGTAGAGACGAAGTTTCACCAGGTTGGCCAGGATGGTCTCGATCTCTTGACCTCGTGATCTGCCCATCTCAGCCTCCCAAAGTGCTGGGATTACAGGCGTGAGCCACCACACCTGGCCAAAGTTCTCTTCTTTATAAATGACCCTATCTGTGGTATTTTGTTATAGCAGCACAAATGGACTAAGACAGACTGTCAAGGACACTAGAGACAATGTGAGGCTGAGGGGCTGTTCCTGACAGGAGGCTGACGAGTCATGGCAAGGAAGTGCCATGCACATTCTGGATAGAGAATAGGACAGAAGGGAAAGAAGACTTTGCGGGTATCTGGTGAAATGGAATGGAGTCTGATGTTGATTCACTTTTGTTTTGTTTTGTCTTAAGGCAGAGTCTCGCTCTGTCACCAAGCTGGAGTGCAGTGGCACAATCTCGGCTCACTGTAACCTCCGCCTCCTGGGTTCAAGTGATCCTCCCACCTCAGCCTCCTGAGTAGCTGGGATTACAGGTGCATGCCACCATGCCTGGCTAATTTTTGTATTTTTAGTAGAGACAGGGTTTCACCATGTTGGCCAGGCTGGTCTCAAACTCCTGGCCTCAGGCAACCTGTCCACCTCGGCCTCCCAAAGTGCTGGGATTACAGGCGTGAGCCACCGCGCCCAGCCAGATTCACATTGTTTTTAACAGTGTTGATTTCCTGACACAAGGTCCATAAGAAGGTCAAGTAGGAGAGGGTTCCTGTTTGTGGAGGTATACTCGGGGAATCAGGGCTGCTGGGGCATCAGACCAGATAAAGACAATATATGCATATGTCTATAAGAGAGAAGGTGGGCCTGGCGAGGTGGCTCACCCCTGTAATCCCAACACTTTGGGAGGTCAAGGCAGGCGGATCACGAGGTCAAGAGATCGAGACCATCCTGGCCAACATGGTGAAACCCCGTCTCTACTAAAAATACAAAAAAAAAAAAAAATTTGCTGGGCGTGGTGGTGCACGCCTGTAGCCCCAGCTACTCCGGAGGCTGAGGCAGAAGGATCACTTGAACCTGGGAGGTGCCACTGCACTCCAGCCTGGGTGACAGAGCAAGACCCTGTCTCAAAAAAAAAGGATAATCACATAAGAGACATTTTGGTGATTAGGGAACAGAAACAGAGCCCTGCTGTAGAGGACTGGTCAGAAGAGGAGATTTTATTTTTATTTTTATTTATTTTTATTTATTATACTTTAAGTTCTAGGGTACATGTGCACAACATGCAGGTTTGTTACACGTGTATACATGTGCCATGTTGGTGTGCTGCACCCATTAACTCGTCATTTACATTAGGTATATCTCCTAATGCTATCCCTCTCCCCTCCCCCCATCCCACGACAGGCCCCGGTGTGTGATGTTCCCCACCCTGTGTCCAGTTGTTCTCATTGTCCAATTCCCACCTATAAGTGAGAATATGTGGTGTTTGGTTTTCTGTCCTTGTGACAGTTTGCTCAGAATGATGGTTTCCAGCTTCATCCATGTCCCCACAAAGGACATGAACTCATCCTTTGTTATGGCTGCATAGTATTCCATGGTGTATATGTGCCACATTTTCTTAATCCAGTCTATCATTGATGGATATTTGGGTTGGTTCCCAGTCTTTGCTATTGTGAATAGTGCCGCAATAAACATATGTGTGCAAGACTAATAAAGAAGAAAAGAGAGAAGAATCAAATAGATGCAATAAAAAATGATAAAGGGGATATCACCACCGATCCCACAGAAATACAAACTACCATCAGAGAATACTATAAACACCTCTACGCAAATAAACTAGAAAATCTAGAAGAAATGGATAAATTCCTGGACACATACACCCTCCCAAGACTAAACCAGGAAGAAGTTGAATCCCTGAATAGACCAATAACAGGCTCTGAAATTGAGGCAATAATTAATAGCCTACCAATCAAAAAAAGTCCAGGACCAGACGGATTCACAGCCAAATTCTACCAGAGGTACAAAGACGAGCTGGTACCATTCCTTCAGAAACTATTCCAATCAATAGAAAAAGAGGGAATCCTCCCTAACTCATTTTATGAGGCCAGCATCATCCTGATACCAAAGCCTGGCAGAGACACAACAAAAAAGAGAATTTTAGAAGAGGATATCTTAAAAGAAAGCAAACACTGGAACATATCTGTGTGTGATGGGGACAAGCCCATGCAGTGTTTATGAAGGGGACGGGCAACTCGAAGCCAGAGCTCAAGGGAGGGTTGGTCTTAAACAGGAGCAGAGAATCCATTTTAACAGAAGGCAAAAAAAAAAAAAAAAAGATTTAAGGAGCAAATGCAGGTAAATATATAGATTTGGGGTGGGTTGGATTAAGGAGTTGCCCTCTGATACCCTCGAGTTTCTCCGCAAAGTATGAATGTTCAAGTGAAGATTTGATCAAGAATTTAAAGTGAAACCAGTGGCATGCTTCTCTGTGGCCACACTGGGGTAGGGAGGCTGGGGGAATGGAAGACCCAGAACTGCTGCCCACCTGTGTGTGCCCCCTTCCCCAGGACTGAGGTTTTCCTCAGTGACTGGCACCATTTGCCCTGTACATGTCCTTTCAAGGGAGACTATGGGTGATGACCCAGAATTGACAAGAGGTAACTGGCATTTCTCCTTCTAAAGGGATGCTGGGGGAACTTTGTTTCCTCCTACAGCACCTCCCCGGGAAAGCATCCCTCTAAACTGTGACGAGGCATGAAACAGGTAATTACCATAATATTCAACAGAGCTGTGACAACGAAAAGTCCCAAACTCTGGGGGGACCCACATCTGTACAACTTTCTAGCTCAGGCGGGCTCTAGGGAGGAGTTTCTTTTCTTTCTTTTTAATTTTTTTTTTTTTTTTTGAGATGGAGTCTCACTCTGTCACCCAGGCTGGAGTGCAGTGGCGTGATCTCTGCTCACTGCATTCTTCTGCCTCAGCCTCCCGAGTAGCTGGGACTACAGGTGCCCACCACCACGCCCGGCTAATTTTTTGTGTTTTTAGTAGAGACGGGGTTTCACAGTGTCAGCCAGGATGGTCTCAATCTCCTGACCTCATGATTTGCCTGCCTTGGCCTTCCAAAGTGCTGGGATTACAGGCGTGAGCCAACGCGCCCAGCCAAGTTTCTTTTCTTTTTATGAGACGGGTCTCACTCTGTCACCCAGGCTGGAGTGCAGTGGCACGATCCTGGCTCCATGCAACCTCCGCCTCCCTGGTCCAAGCGATCCTCCCACCTCAGCCTCTTGTGTGGAGGGACTACAGGCACACACCACCAGGCACAGCTAATTTTTATATTTGTTGTAAAGACATGGTCTTTGCCATGTTGCCCAGGCTGGTCTCAAACTCCTCAGCTCAATCGATCCGCCCTCTTTGGCCTCCCAAAGTGCTGGGATTACAGGTGTGAGCCACTGCACCCAGCCAAGAAGAGTTTCTTGATGTCAGAGTGGAGTTGCAATTTCAGCTCCATTTGCCTCTCAGTGGTCTCATCCGTGGAAAGGAGATAATAATTCCCAAGACTAAACCAGGAAGAAGTTGAATCCCTGAATAGACCAATAACAGGCTCTGAACTTGAGGCAATAATTAATAGCCTACCAACCAAAAAAAGTATGTCTTCAGGAGGATCATGTAAAGCAGGCAGAGGAAGCTCAGCAGATGACACCTGCTGTCATTAATATCATTGTCCTATCCCCATTTCACACTGAGAAAAAGGCTCTGAGAGGGAAAGGGGTCCACTGAAATTAGCAGCCCTGGCTGGGCACCGTGGTTCATGCCTGTAATCCCAGCACTTTGGGAGGCCGAGGAGGGCAGATCACCGGAGGTCAGGAGTTCGAGACCACCCTGACCAACATGGAGAAACCCTGTCTCTACTAAAAATACAAAAAATTAGCCAGGCATGGTGGCACATGCCTGTAATCCCAGCTACTTGGGAGGCTGAGGCAGGAGAATCACTTGAACCTGGGAAGCGGAGGTTGCAGTGAGCCGAGATCACGCCATTGCACTCCAGCCTGGGCAACCAGAGCCAAAAAAAAAAAGAGGCTGAGCGCGGTGGCTCACACCTATAACCCCAGCTCTTAGGGAGGCAGAGGCGGGAGAATAGCTTGAGCCTAGGAGTTCGAGACCTGCCTGGGCAATATAGCAAGACCCCGTTCTCCACAAAAAGGAAAAAAAAAAGACAAAATAAAAAAAGAAATTAGCAGCCCTGGTGGGACAAGAGATTCCAATGGTAGTGGGGAAGATGGGAGGAAAGAGCATTTTAGTTTATTGTTGATGGCTACGCAGATTTGTACAACTCTTTGGAAGGGTAATTAGGTAATGTTTAAAATGTTTAAAATGCTAAACATTTAAAATGTCTAAAATGTCATACCTTTTGACTCTGCAATTCTGCTTCTAGGAATTTAGCCACCAGCACTTGCACAAAAGAATGACAGCTACAAGCCCAAGAATGCTCATGACAGCATCATTCTCCATAATGAAAAAGACATAGAAGCCGTGAAGAAATTACTAAATGAATAAAAGTGCATCCTGGCCAGGCATGGTGGCTCACACCTGTAATCACGGCACTTTGGGAGGCCGAGGCAGGCGGATCACTTGAGGTCAGGAGTTCAAGATCAGCTTGGCCAACATGGTGAAACCCCATCTCTACCAAAAAAAAAAAAAAATACAAAAATTAGCCGGGTGTGGTGTCATGAACCTGTAGTCCCAGCTACTCGGGAGGCTGAGGCAGGAGAACTCCCTGAACCTGGGAGGTGGAGGGTGCAGTGAGCCAAGACTGTGCCATGGCACTCCAGCCTAGGCAACAGAGGGAGACTCCATCTCAAAAAAGGAAAAAAAAAAAAAGTGCACCCTGAGAACTGCAGACCTCTCAGCACATGACAACTCCATTCTAACCTCTGCACTAAGAGATGACCAAAGAGTAGCATGCTTCTAGAAGCACAAGTTCCTAGGATGATCCCAGCACCCCCGTTACAATGCCTGCCAGAGAAGCTCAATGATGCCAGAAGAATTTACTATTTGTTTTAGCCAACACCTAATGAAAGACTCCTGGGCCCTCCCTTTGAGCATTTACTAAAAATGGCTTGCAAATACGAATCCCGCCTCTATCCCTTTGAGATGTATATCTATCTCCTTCAGCTCAGGAGTGTCTTTCTTTAGGACCTGAAAGCCGTCCTTTTGAAATGTAATCATGAGGAAGGTTAGACTCCTCCAGTCTCTGTGGGAAGACAGAATCCTAACTTCTATAATTGACAGCTGGGCTAATCACATGACATTGACCAAGCCTTTGTGATTTTTCACTGGAGTCCCTTCTTTCGCAGGTATCCCCTTTGTTTCCTCCATCCCTCCTGCCTTCTTTCTTTCCCATTATCTTTCTCCCCTGTTTTAACCACTTGTAAATTCTCACCTACCTGAAGTGTTGCTAAGTTTTCTTTTTTTTTTTTTTTTGAGACGGAGTCTTGCTCTGTCGCTTAGGCTGGAGTGCAGTGGCGCGATCTCGGCTCACTGCAGCCTCCACCTCCTGGGTTCAAGCCATTCTCCTGCCTCAGCCTCCCGAGTAGCTGGGACTACAGGTGCCCGCCACCACGCCCGGCTAATTTTTTTGTATTTTAGTAGAGACGGGGTTTCACCGTGTTGCCCAGGCTGGTCTCCAACACCTGAGCTCAGGCAATCCGCCCACCTCGGCCTCCCAAAGTGCTGGGATTACAGGAGTGAGCCACCGCGCCCGGCTGACTGTTGCTAAATTTTAATCAGAGGTGGGAGGACCGTAAAGATTGAGTCTACCTCCCAATTTACAGATGGACAAATTGAGGCCCAGAAAGGTTCCCACACATGTTCAGAATTCTACATCCAGCCTCTGTTCTGGCTGTTCTCTTTCCGCCTCTGGCTGCCCAACTCCCTCCTGCCCTTGCACCCCTAACATTAACAGCCAGAGGGATCTTACAAAAACACCCATCTGATCCATTCCGAACACTGCCTAGCAACCACCATTCCGGAAATCAAATCGCTGCCCCGGCTACCTTCTCTCCTCTTGTGACAGGTCAAATCTTACCCAGGAGCCTTCCAACGTGCTATTTCACATCTTGCCCTGACTTGGCTTTTTTTTTTTTTTTTTTTTTTCCCCCGAGACAGAGTTGCGTCTTGCTCTGTCGCCCACGCTGGAGTACAGTGGCTCCATCTCGGTTCACTGCAACCTCCGCCTCTCGGGTTCAAGCGATTCTTCTCCCTCAGCCTCCCAAGTAGCTGGGATTACAGGCACCCGACACCACGCCCGACTAATTTTTGTGTTTTTAGTAGAAATGGGGTTTCACCATGTTGGCCAGGCTGGTTTTGAACTCCAGACCTCGTGACCCACCTGCCTCGGCCGCCCAAAGTGCTGGGATTACAGGCGTGAGCCACCGCGCCCAGCCCTGACCTAGCTATTGACTGCTTATCCTGGAGTCTAGGATCTCTCTGGTGCCAGATCTGAGACGCCCGCAGCCTCTCCCCTATCTCCAACCTGTCTCCCCCGCTAGATCGTGAGCTCTGTGGGAACATTGCCCAGGCTTGTCTTGTTCACCAACGTGCTTCCAGTGCCTGGCACTGTGCTCAACCCCTCCACGCCCTCGCTCAAACTCAATCGATGTTTGATAGAAAGATGAAGAGAGATTTGTTCGGTCAGAGAGAACAGCATGATGACAGAAGGAAGGCGTACAATCAAAAGCTGTGTGCAGGGCCAGGAGCGGTGGCTCACGTACTCCCAGCACTTTGGAAGGCCTAGGCGGGAGGATCACTTGAGCTCAGGAATTCAAGACCACCCTGGGCAACATGGCGAAACCCCGTCTCTACAAAAAATACAAAAACTAGGCCGGGCGCAGTGGCTCGCGCCTGTAATCCCAGCACTTTTAGGAGGCCGAGGCAGTCAGGAGTTCGAGACCAGCCTGGCCAACATGGTGAAACCCCGTTTCTACTAAAAATACAAAAATTAGCCGGGTGTGGTGGCGAGCGCCTATAATCCCAGCTACTCGGGAGGCTGAGGCAGGAAAATCGCTTGAACCTGGGAGGCGGAGGTTGCAGTAAGCCGAGATGGCGCCACTGCACTCCAGCCTGGGCGACAGAGCAAGACTCCGTCTCAAGAAAAAAAAAAAAAGAAAAAAACCACTAGCCGGGCGTGGTGACGCAGGCCTGTAGTCCCAGCTGTTCGGGAGGCTGAGGCAGGAGGGTCGCTTGAGCCCGTGAGCCGAGATCGCGCCACTGCACTCCAGCCTGGGCGACAGAGCGAGACCCTGTCTCAAAAATTAAATAAATAAATAAATAAATAAATAAAGGTGTGTGCAGGTAACAGCAAGTAGTCTTAAAAGAGTAGACCGAGGTGTGTGCAGAGGGCAACAGTTGGGATATTTGCCTCTGTCTAATTAGCACCTTTGGACATTTGCGTCAGGCTCTGTGCTGACAAAGAGCGCACTGACGACCACAGTAGGGCCCTGCCAGTCCTGTGATGGCACCCAGCATTTAAGTGTGACAGAAGCCACCCACAACAAGCTACATACTGCATATAATTTAAGGGGGTCACGGCCCCGGAAGCCCAGCCATGGACCACGGTTTAAGTACCCCTAGTCCAGCTGGAACAATAAACATGAAATGAGTGCCTGGCTTGGAATGCAAGCCAGGCCGTGACAGAAATGAGGAAGGAGCCGATGGTTTCAGAGGCTGTCGCGAGGAGAGGGCCTTAGAGGCAGGCGGGGGACGACAGCGGACCTAAACTTCTGGGCCCAGGAGAAGTTCGTTCTTTCCTCCAGGATACCTGGAGCCGAGTGCAGGATCTCAGCGAGAAATGCCCCAATCTCAAGGGCGGCACCGAGAGGTGACGCAAGCGGCGCGCGAGGTTGCGTCAATGCAGGACCGCCCCGCCTCCGGCCTGTGCATTGTGGGACCTAAGGGCACCTGTCAGACGCCCAATCTCGCGAGTGAGCGAGATTCACGCGGAACGCAGAGGTGAGAACGGGGAAGGCCCTCCTCAGCAGGAGTCCCGCCCCCTGAAGGGCATGGGCCAATCACAATGCCTCTCCTTCCTGGCCGCTGGGATTGGTCCGAGGGTGCACATGACCGGACTGCGGGACATGTGACCGTGCCGATCTAGGTCGTGTGACCCGTCTGGTGTAGTCCTGGAACAAGGGTTTTGCTGCGGAGGGAAACGGCCAGAGACCTCGATCTAAGACCGGGGTTTGGAGACTGGCGGGCCTCGGAACAGCAGAGCTAGCGGACTTCCGGTCTGGCCCTCTGCTCACGGCCGAGGGCAAGGCGGGTTAGGTCACTTGCTGAGGAAAGAGCTCAATATGTCACGTGTTCCTCTCCCAATGACGTGGACCTCAGTTCCCTCTCCAGTGAAGTGGGCACAGTGTTGCCCGAAAAAGGGTGCTCTGGGGCTTGCCTGAGACGGGACGCGTGGAAATGCCCTGCCGAATATGAATGGGGCGATGGCCTCGCGGGACGGAGCAGCCCAGGAAAGCTGACCGTGGGCTGGGTTGTGGAGCGGAGCCCCAGGGCCTCGGCTGACTTAGCGGCCAGTCGTACATAGTGGGTATGCGGCGGGCCCGACGCCAGTCGTTGTGGACCACTGACTTGTAATCTTTACGACCTCAGTGAGGGTCAGAAGTGTCCGCGAGCCCTGTAGGCGAGGAGAGGCCTGGCTGAGGGCGCACAGCCTGGAAGGGGAGAAACTAGAGCTGGACTCTGCTTGACCCACAGACCCTCCGCCAGGTTGCCTTTGCGAGGCAAGAAGCGAAGGTTGGCGAGCCAGCTGGGAGTACCCACCCCCTCCATGCCTGGTGGAGTCACCCAAGCCCCAGCGACACCCCGGCCTGCCCAAGGTACTGGTGACCCTGGAGGCCGGGGCCCTGGCTTCTCAGTCAGGGTCTCCTCCCCATGGCGGCAGAGCTGTCTGGCGTTTTGAGCCCTTTACACCAGGGGCAAGAGGGCTGCAGGCCAGAGCCAGCAAAAGAGAAGAAGCAGAGGGAATGAGAAACCTAGAAGGTGGAACGGGAAGGAGGGAGTGAAATGGGCAAAGGCCTCCAAAAAAAACAACTTCCGCCTCCTAAGTTTAGTGCATTTAACTCTATAAATATCTATTGAACACCTACTGGATGCCAGGCACTTTTCTAGGCACTGGGCAGCTAGCATTAAACAGAAGGCAGAAACCCCTGCCTTCAACAAAATCTATGCTGTGTTGAATAAGTGATACAGGGAAAAGCTAAAGATGGGGAGAGAGGTGGGAAGGGTATAGAGGATGGGAAGAAATTTACAAAAGAGGCAGGGAGGGCTTTACTGAGAAGGTGACGATGAAGGAAGTGAAGGAAGGGCATTGCAGGCCAGGGGCTCATCGTGTGCAAGGGCCCTGGGGTGGAAGGGATCATGCAGTGGCGTGAGTGTGGGTTTGAGCAGCAGGTGATGGTCAGAGGTAATACGTGGCCACCAAAAGGACTCTGGCGGCCGGGCGCAGTGGCTCACGCCTGTAATCCCAGCACTTTGGGAGGCCGAGGCGGGCGGATCACGAGGTCAGGAGATCGAGACCATCCTGGCTAACATGGTGAAACCCCGCCTCTACTAAAAACACAAAAAATTAGCCGGGCATGGCGGGCGCCTGTGATCCCAGCTACTCTGGAGGCTGAGGCAGGAGAATGGCGTGAACCCGGGAGGCGGAGCTTGCAGTGAACCGACGTCGTGCCACTGCACTCCAGCCTGGGCGACATAGACTCCATCTCAAAAAAAAAAAAAAATTATCAGCGCATGGTGGTACGCACCTGTAATCCCAGCTACTCAGGAGGCTGAGGCAGGAGAATCATTTGAACCCAGGAGGCGGAGGTTACAGTGAGCCGAGATCGTGCCATTGCACTCCAGACTGGGGGACAAGAGCAAGACTTCGTCTCAAAAAAAAAAAAAAAAAAGGACTCAGTGGCATAAAGCCATGGCAGGATTCTAAGGACTGACATGGTCTCTGCATTGTAGCGGGTGCACTCTGCTGGTCTGTTGAGAATTAACTCTTTGAGACCAGAGTAGGGTCAGAGAGCCCTTGGAGGGTGGAGGGCTACAGAGATAACCCAGAGATGAGGGTGGCTTGGACCACAGTGGCAGCAGTGCAGAGAGGGAAAAGGAGTTTGGGTTTTGAAGGTATTCCAAAGGTAGAATTGGATGGGTGCCAGTTCCAGATCACCATCCGTAGGCTCGCTGTCCTGGAAACCTTTCTTCCTCTTCATGAAGGCACCTTCCCTTCACTTTTGCTTCAAGTTTCCATTCCACAGAGGGACAGAAACTCAATCTCAGTCCATCCAGGATCCCATCCTTCAGTTCTGGGGGTTGTGGCAGCCAAGTCATGGGTGGTGTGGGTGGGGAATCTGGTCCCCTGTCACCTTGTCCATCTCCACTGGCATCTGCAGAGGCCATCTCACTCCAGGATGGTCCACATGGGGCACAGCGTGTCCCACTCCACATCTAGCTTCCCTTCAGCTGCCTCCACACCCTGCTGCCTTGTAACTGCCAGGTGGTCTCAGGCCTCCTTCCCAAGCAGCCCCCAGCAGCTTTCTTGCTGTTCTCACTGAGCTGGACACCTCTCAGGAGCAAGAAGGAGCTATGCCCTTTGCTCCCAGAACCCCAAACCACCCTCAGTGTCTCTATCATCTTTGTCCAGTCCAGGGCAGCAGTCCCTGTTCAAGCACCTCACCTTCCTGCCTGTCCTCTGATTTCTCCCATCCCTGACCCCACCCTGGTCTGTGGAATATTCCCAGAGAAACTCTGGCTCTGATGTGTGCACTTCCCTCCACACCATCCCCGGCTCAGCTCTCAGCTCCGAGGCTGCCCCACAAGGTTATGCAGGTGTTTAGTGAGCCAGTGGGGGTGAAATTGGCACATTGCTTGTCCAGGCTTGGGCCTGCATACAAAGAGGTGGAGAGGCGCCTTTTCCTCATTTCCACAAAGGCATCTCTGAGCCACCATGGGCCTTGTGTGCTCACAAGCCTCTGGAAGGTCAAAAGCAAGGAGTTGGCTCTTGCTCTTCTGTGTCCTGTTGTAATAGTCCCCACTAAGAGCAATGGCAAGCTCCGGCCTAGCTGCCTGAATGAGGGGAGGTTTAGAGGGGAAATTACACTGGTTCATAAAGAAAATAGTAACCCCTTGCTTTGCTGGGAAGTCCCTCTGAAAGGGAAGGAATGATGGACCTTACCCCAGCACCCATGACCTGGGCCCCAAGAAGCTCACCAGTGACAATTTTGACTTTCTTTGTTAAATAGACATTACTACATAATTTTTTTTTTTTTTTTTTTTTTTTTTTTTTTGAGACGGAGTCTCGCTCTGTCACCCAGGCTGGAGTGCAGTGGTGCGATCTCGGCTCACTGCAAGCTCCGCCTCCCGGGTTCACGCCATTCTCCTGCCTCAGCCTCCCGAGTAGCTGAGATTACAGGTGCGTGCCACCACACCTGGCTAATTTTTGTATTTTTATTAGAGACGGGGTTTTGCCGTGTTGGCCAGGCTGGTCTCGAACTCCTGACCTCAGGTGATCCACCCGCCTCGGCCTTCCAAAGTGCTGGGATTACAGGCGTGAGCCACCACGCCCGGCCTATAGTCATGATTTTATTTATTTATTTATTTTGAGACACAGTCTCCCTCTGTTGCCCAGGCTGGAGTGCAGTGGTGTGACCTCAGCTCATCGCAGTGCCCCCTGGGTTCAAGCGATTCTTGTGCCTCAGCCTCCCAAGTAGCTGGGATTACAGGCATGCACCACCACACTCAGCTAATTTTTGTGTTTTTAGTAGAGATGGGGTTTCGCTATGTTGGCTAGACTGGTCTTGAACTCCTGTCATCAAGTGATCCGCCTGCCTATAATTTTTTTTAAGTGATGGGGTCCTGTTCTCTCACCCAGGCTTGAGTACAGTGGCATGAATATGGCTCACTGCATCCTTGACCTCCTGGGCTCAAGCGATCCTCCTGCCTTGGCCCAGGAGTTGCTCGCATGAGCCACCACGCCCAGTGTATTCAGATTTTCTTCGTGTTTCTTTTCTCTTCCGGGATCCCATGCAGGACACCACGTCGCATTTAGTTGTCCACCACGGTTTTTTTGTTTGTTTGTTTTTTTCCGAGACGGAGTCTCGCTCTGTCACCCAGGCTGGAGTGCAGTGGTGTGATCTCAGCTCACTGCAGCCTCCGCCTACCGGGTTCACGCCATTCTCCTGCCTCAGCCTCCCGAGTAGCTGGGACTACAGGCGCCTGCCCCCACGCCCGGCTAATTTTTTGTATTTTTAGTAGAGACGGGGTTTCACCGCGTTAGCCAGGATGGTCCCGATCTCCTGACATTGTGATCCACCCGCCTCGGCCTCCCAAAGTGCTGGGATTACGGGCATGAGCCACCGCGCCTGGCCCACCACAGTTTTAATTCTGAAGATGCAGTATTAAGAGAGGAGGCTAAAGAAGCACACACTTGCTTAATTTTTCCTTCGTTATATGCTGGGGATGGCAGCAGCAGCTTGTGGCTGAGTTTCGGTGTTCTGCCTGACGGGTGACAGCTGAGCAGGCACTAGGTCCTTGCAAAACGCAGGATGCTGGGGAGGGTCTTCACCTTGCATGGTGTCCTGTCCCACACTGCTCCTCAGGTTGGGAGTGGTGGGGAGTTACTGTTTAATGTGTACAGAATTTCTCTTTGGGATGACAAAAATGTCTGGAAATGGATGGTGGTGATGGTCGTAGAGCTTTACAGATTTACTTAATGCCACTGAATTATACACTTCAAATGATTAAAATGGTAAATTTTATTTATCTTTTGCCACAATTTTTTTTAAAACCTCAGTAAATAAAATGCAACTTAAGGCTTCTGCTTTTTGCTTTTCAGTAAAGGAAACTATTTTTTTTTTTAAGTCTGTCCCTTTTAAGCCTTTTACATTCCTCAAGTAAGGCTTACCCCCAGAATGGGGGTCAGGGATCGGTGCCGATGGGGCTAGAGCACCACCATCATTGCTACTGCTAATGACAATGGTGATAGCAACAACAGCCGTGATTGACTGCTCACTGTGCTAGCAGCTGTACCACATGGTCCCATCTGTTCTTCACACAGCCCCAGGGGCAGGTACGCTCATGGGAACATAGCACAGGGTAGTTAACGGACTCATCCAAGGTCATGCAGCTGGGAGTGGCAGCACCAGGATCCCTCCAGAACCAGAGCTCTTTCTCACCACCCACGTCAGTGCCAGCAAAGCCTCCCAAACTCCTCCAAAGCCACCTCGATAACAGGAGAGAGGTGTCCTTCACCAAGCCCGAGAGGGAGACTGCCAGGTGCCTGTGGAATAAGCCCTCTGGTCCAGATGAGGACTAGCAAGAGGAAGGGCTGTTTGCCTTCTTTAAAAAGATTACAATAATGACCGGTGTTTATTAAACACATACTATGTTCTACAATAGCGTTCTCCAGGCTGACGTCACCTATAGATCTCTAGCCCCACAGATGCTCCACTGAAAAATAGTTTCATAGCTGGGCACAGTTGTGTGCACCTGCAGTCCCAGTTACTTGGGAGGCTGAGGTGGGAGGATCACCTGAGCCTGAGAAGTCAAGGCTGCAGTGAGCTGTGATCACACCACTGCACTCCAGCCTGGGTGGCAAGAGTGAGACCCTGCCTCGTAAATAAATAAATAAATAAATAAATAAATAAGAAAAATAGTCTCACAGCCAAGTAAGTTTGGGAAGGGCCTCCTAGAGGATTTGAAAGGAGCTGCAGTGATGACACCCCTTCAGCTTTGTCTAACTCAGTGATTCCCAAATCTCTTTGGCCCCAGCAGCCCATTTTCATTGCAAGATCCATCAACAGGCCTCAGGTCTCCAAGTTGGTATTCACAGGCTGTCTGAGCAGTGCTCCTTTTTTTTTTTTTAATTTCTTTTTGAGATAGGGTCTCACTCTGTCACCCAAGCTGCAGTGCAGTGGCACAATCTCAGCTCACTGCAACCCCCACCTCCCAGGCTCAAGCAATCCTCCCACCTCAGTCCCCCATCACCACCCAGTAGTTGGGACCACAGGTATGTGCTACCACGGCCAGCGAATTTTTACGTACTTTTTGTAGAGACAGGATTTTGCCAAGTTGTCCAGGCTGGTCTTGAACTCCTGGACTCAAGCCATCTACCGGCCTCGGCCTCCCAAAGTGCTGGGATTACAGGCGTGAGCCACCGCACCCAGCCTGAGCAGTGCTTCTAAACATGGTCTCGCCATGTCTTCCCCTCATGCTCGAGGAATGGAAGTCAAGTGTAGAGAGGTCAGTGGCTGATCCACAGCCCCCTACTCACTCTACTTAGAAAATAAATGCTAAAGAGTTTTAATATACACAAAAAGTAGTTACAGGCTGGGCACAGTGGCTCACGTGTGTAATCCTAGCATTTGGGGAGGCTGAGGCAGGAGGATCGCTTGAGTCCAGGAGTTCAAGACCAGCGGGGGCAACTTGGCAAAATCCTGTCTCTACAAAAAATACGTAAAAATTAGCTGGCCGTGGTGGCACATACCTGTGGTCCCAGCTACTGGGTGGTGATGGGGGACTGAGGTAGGAGATCAAGGCTGCAGTGAGCTATGATAATGCCACTGCACTCCAGCCTGGATGACAGAAAGAGACCTTGTCTCAAATACGAGAGAGAGAGAGAGAGAGAGAAATAACAGTTACAATAAGGCTGTCTGGCAGCACTAGTGGATTCTGCAGTGATAAGGGAAAGAGTAACACTATTTTCTGATAAATCCTTTTATGTTCCATCACCTTTAAGGGTGAAATAGGGTTTTGTTTTGTCAATAAAAATGTCGACATGTCCCCCCACTGCCACGGTGAGAAGGGACCACGTCCTGAGGCCCAGCAAAGTCCC
Source organism: Homo sapiens (assembly GCF_000001405.40). Classification (NCBI taxonomy): domain Eukaryota; kingdom Metazoa; phylum Chordata; class Mammalia; order Primates; family Hominidae; genus Homo; species Homo sapiens. The sequence continues at coordinate 101,955,079 of NC_000014.9, forward strand.
AGTCTTGCAGACATGGGCAAGCCTCTGGGAACTTTGGGTTGCCTGTGAAATGTGCATGTCCTTTGGAGTAAAGTGGGGAGTTCTTTCTTCAAAGTGAGGCTGGGTGTGGTGGCTCACGCCTGTAATCCCAGCACTTTGGGAGGCCAAAGTGGGCAGATTACCTGAGGTCAGGAGTTCGAGACCAGCTTGGGCAACACAGTGAAACCCCGTCTCTACTAAAAATACAAAAATTAGCTGGGCGTGGTGGCAGGTGCCTGTAATTCCAGCTACTCAGGAGGCTGAGGCAGGAGAATTGCTTGAAGCCGAGGGGGTTGTAGTGAGCCAAGATTGCGCCACTGCACTCCAGTCTAAGCAACAAGACCAAGACTTGGCCGGACCTGACGGTTGTTCTAGGTTGTTCTAGGCGAGTGACCTAGGTCATTCTAGGGTGTCCAGTCTTTTGGCCTCCCTGGGCCACGTGGGAAGAATAAGAATCGTCTTGGGGCACATAAAATACACTAAAGACAGCTAATGAGCGGGGAAACACAAAATCACAAAAAATAAAATTAAATAAAAGCTTTAAGAAAGTTTACAATTTGTGTTGGGCCGCATGCGAGCCGCGAGTTAGACAAGCTTGCTCTAGGTGGTTCCAGGCCTTCCTGCGTGCCCAGCTGGCGAGGCGGATGGAGGAGATTCTGCTGCTGCCTCTCCAGCAGTCCTGGGAGGAAAGGTCTCATGGAATTAAAGGAAACAGCTACGTTAATATCTGCCAGCGCCCGCTCGGAGCCGGGCCCAGCCCCACGTGCCAGGACAGCGGGCAGCTGCGGGCGCTGTGCGCTGGTGGGGACCTGAAAGCGTCCGGATGCGCTGGCCCCGCTGCTGCTGCGCGGGCGTCCCGGGCGGGCCCTTGGCAACCGGCTTTCTGCACTGGACGCTGCCGCCCAGAGAGCTGCTCATCGACGTTTGGGAGAGAGGGAGGGAATGTTTTAGGATTCCCAGCCCTTCGGCACGGGGAAAATGGAAGGAGAGGACCCGGCCCATGCCCCTTGGTGGCTCAAAGGCTCTAGACACGGTCGGCCTCCGGGTTTGAACCCCTCCTCCGCCTCCTGTTATCTCTGAGACTTCAGCAAGCTACTGCCCTTTCCAAACCTGTTCCTGACCTTCGCATTGCAGAGTTAATCCATCTGGTGGATCTGGGGATGCTGGAGGAAGCCGTTAGAAGCCCCCGGCGCGTGGTGAGGACGCAGCCGGAGACGCAGGCCTCTCCCTCCAGCAGTGGGGCGTGCCCACAAGTCCCCCCTCTCCAGTGTATGCAACAGCCTAGTGTCTGACCAGGCTCCCATTCCACGACTCCGCAATTCCACGGCCAGCACATCCCAGGATTCAGTTTCAGGGTTCTACCCCTTCCTGAGTCAGCTAAAGCGCAGCAGGGACATGCTCTGTCCGGGGAGAACGTGCTGGCCCAGGTCATCTGTCATCTGTCACACCAGTATCGACGCAAGAAAAGCATCAAGACTTTTTTTTGTCTTTCTTTTTTTGAGACAGCGTCTCACTCTGTCGCCTGGGCTGGTGTGGTGTGATCAGGGTTCACTGCAGCCTCGACCTCCCGGTGCCCAAGCGATCCTCCCAGCTCAGCCTCCCAAGTGGCTGGGACCACAGGCCCATACCACCATGCCCAGCTTATTTTTCGTAGAGATGGGGTTTCACTTTGTTGCTCCGGCTGGTCTCCAGCTCCTGGTCTCAAGGGACCTTCCCTCCTCAGCCTCCCTAAGTGCTAGGATTACAGGCATGAGCCACCGTGCCTGGTCCCTGCCCAAGCATTTAAGCAAATTTAATTTTATTCAGAAGCCTTACTGAAGCCTGGAGGCTGAAGAATACAGGCCAGAAGTCTTTGAGAGAGGTACTGTCAGAGTGCTCCAGAACAGCATTTCAGATCGCTTATATCCAGGTAGTGGAGGTTTAGTGCATGCAAAATCACATCAAAGTCTGGGTACAAGAGTACATCTGGTTGTAGGCCAGGCATGGTGGCTCATGCCTGTAATCCCAGCACTTTGAGAGGTTGAGGTGGGCAGATCACAAGGTCAGGAGTTTGAGACCAGCCTGGCCAACATGGTGAAACCCTGTCTCTACTAAACATACAAAAAGTAGGCTGGGCGCTGTGGCTCACGCCTGTAATCCCAGCACTTTGGGAGGCCGAGGTAGGCAGATCATAAGGTCAGGAGTTTGAGACCAGCCTGGCCAACATGGTAAAACCCCGTCTCCACTAAAAATATAAAAGTTAGCCGGGAGTGGTGGCGGGTGCCTGTAATCCCAGCTACTTGGGAGGCTGAGGCAGGAGAATCACTTGAAACCCAGAAGGTGGAGGCAGCAGTGAGCTGAGATCGCACCACTGCACTCTAGCCTGGGCAAAAGAGCGAAACTCCGTCTAAAAAAAAAATACAAAAATTAGCTGGGTGTGGTGGCTCATGCCTATAGTCCTAGCTACTCGGGAGGCTGAGGCAGGAGGATCGCTTGAACCCGGAGGTGAAAGTTGCAGTGAGCTGAGATTGTGCCACTGCACTCCAGCCTGAGTGACAGAGTGAGACTCCATCTCAAAAAAAAAAAAAAAAGAGAGAGAGTACATCTGGTTATAGATTGTAGATTTATAACCACATCAGGTTATAATCAGCACTAACCCCGTCATATGTTATCTTATGTACAGGAAAAGGCAAGGCTACGGCCATTTATCTTTTAAGGAACATATTGACTCCAGCAAGACACGTGGGCTGTGTGCTCTGTCCTGTTTTGTCTTCAGAGCATCTTTCCAGAGAGCTACACGTGGTCACAGAGGCAGGGCTTTGTGAAATTACATTGACAAGCAGAACTGAGCACACATGGCTTCTTACGCTTGCTACTTTGCCTCACACCGGTTACCCTGGCCCTCTGGTCCCACACTTCTCCTGGCCTCAATGGGTAGGAGGGCCTCTTTGGCCAGCCTGCCTGGGGTCTTGTCACCTGGGTGCCAGCTCCCACTTCCCCAGCATTGCTCTCTAGGGGCCGGTGGGCAGCAGGACCCCCTCACCTGCCTCTCCTCACCCCAGCCTGGAGAGTCTTCTTGTGGCTCTGTCACCTCCTGCTTCCCCAGCATGCTTTGCCTACATGGGAGATTCTAACTTTCCCCTTTCTCCCCCATATGCCCTTTTACTCTCAAGGGCTAGGACTTTTGGGAAAAAAAAAAAAAAAAAAAAAAAAAAAAGCCTGAAAGACCAATAGGCACCTTCTGCTTTCAGTCCTAGAACCACAGACCAAGCTAGGCTCCTGCACGAATGGGGAGGCAGAATGTGAAATGGAGGGAGAAAATCAGTCAATATAGGCAGTTCCAGCTTTGCATGGGTCCAATCTATATGGACAAGATTTCCTTACCACGGTTTAGTTCAATAACACCAGTTTCCCAGCCACACGGTTCAAGTACCAGTTACCATCGTAAATTACCTGTGAGTAATTGAATAAAGTACAAGCTTTGCTGCCAGCTCTTCAGTCCACAAATCACTGCATCATAAATGACAGAAGCACGTCATGATCCATGGTCAATTACATCACTGGCCCACAGAGGTGAATGTGTGATAAAGAAATAAAATGTGATAGCCCTGGAGAGGACATTCCAATCAAATATAAGTGAGGTCATAGAGGAAACAGTTGCAGGAGAGAACATGGATGCTGCCACCAACGAGGGGCTCCAGCAGTGCAGCTAGAGGGGTTGAGTGAGGGCAGCCTGTCCACAGAAATAAGGAAACAGTTGAGATGAGAAGGATGATGATATCCTAGGGGGTGTGATACCAGCAAAAAAATCTCACATGAAAGGAACTCTGGGAGATATTTTGAAACTCTGGAAGTGCAAAGGATAAAATGTTGGAAGCTACTCCAACTAGAAAGCAGCGTGGCAACTCACCAGGGCCTGGAAGAAGATGCTCAGCCCAGGCCGGGCGTGGTGGCTCTTGCCTGTAATCCCAGCACTTTAGGAGGCCAAGGCAGGCAGATCACTTGAGGTCAGGAGTTCGAGACCAGCTTGGCCAACACGGCAAAACCCCGTCTCTACTAAAAATACAAAAAAAAAAAAAAATTAGCCAGGCATGGTGGCATGCATCTGTAATCCCAGCTACTCAGGGGGCTGAGGCAGGAGAATCGCTTGAACCTGGGAGGCGGAGGTTGCAGTGAGCCGAGATTGTGCCACTGCACTCCAGCCTGGGTGACAGAGTGAGGCCCTGTCTCAAAAAAAAAAAAAAAAAAATTCTCAGCGTTTCTAATGTTTTAAGTTAGAATGTACTAAATGAATATTTATTTTAGTATTTTTTTAAAAAATAGAGACAGGGTCTCTGTCACCCAGACTGGAGTGCAGTGGTGCAATCATAACTCACTGCAACCTCAAACTCCTAGTCTGAAGCAATCCTCCTGCCTCAGCCTCCCAAAGTGCTGGGGCTACTGGCATGAGCCACCATGCTCAGCCAATAAAGATAAGAACACTTGAACACTGTCAACCAACATGGCCTAATTGACATTTCTTAGAACATTCCACCCAACAACAGCAGAACACCGCCTTCTAAGGTTGGGATTCAAGGCATGGCTGTATTGAAAATCCAAGGAAGGCTTGGGTGGGGATAGTGGCTCATGCCTGTAATCCCAGAACTCTGGGAGGCTGAGGCAGGAGGCTCCTTGAGCCCAGGAATTTGAGACCAGACTGAGAAACTTGGCAAAACCTCATCTCTACAAAAAATAACAAGCAAACAAAAATTACCTAGGTGTGGTGGCATGTGCCTGTAGTCCCAGCTACTCAGGAGGCTGAGGTGGGAGGATTATTTGAGGCTGGGAGGGAGGTCGAGGCTGCAGTGAGCCACGATTGTGCCACTGCACTCCAGCTAGGTTGACAGAGTGAGATCCTGTCTCAAAAAAAAAAAAAGAAAAGGGCCGGGTGCGGTGGCTCACACCTGTTATCCCAGCACTTTGGGAGACTGAGGCGGGCGGATCACCTGAGGTCGGGAGCTCGAGACCAGCCTGACCAACATGGAGAAACCCCGTTTCTACTAAAAATACAAAATTAGCCACGTGTGGTGGCACATGCCTATAATTCCAGCTACTTGGGAGGCTGAGGCAGGAGAATCGCTTGAACTCGGGAGGCAGAGGTTGCGATGAGCGGAGATCGAGCCATTGCACTCCAGCCTGGGCAACAAGAGCGAAACTCCATCTCAAAAAAAAAAAAAAGAAAGAAAAGAAAGAAAGAAAAAAGAAAATCCAAGGCTAGAGGGCGCTGGAGAGGGCGTGCTGATAGAACACAAACCAGCCTGAGGGCCAAGCCTTGGGCCCCTCCAACCTTCAGAGGTCGCGAAGAGCAGGATCCAGCAGAGGAGACTGAGAAGGAACCTTGGTGACGAGGAGGATCTGGAGAGTGCGGCCACCAAAAGCCAGGTGAAGGTGGTGTTCAGAGAAGGAGGGAGTGCCGGCTGCATCAGTGTGTCCACGGGTCAAGCAAGATGAGGACTGAGAACTAGTCACTGGATTTGGCCACGCGGAAGTCACTGGTGACCTTGCCAAGAGTGCCTGCCCATGAATGTGGGGATGGGGTGGGAAAGGCAGTGCCCACATATGCTTATTCTCAAGGAGTTTTGCTGGAAAGGGCAGCAAAGCAGTGGAGAGGTGCTGGCAGTGGGCTACGGTAGGGCTTCCTTCTTTTCCTTTAAAGAAGGGATAGAATAGCTCAGACATCGGTGGAAAAAATCTAGGAGAGAGAGAGAACATCTGGGAGCGAGGGGAGAATTTCAGAGGTGATAACCCTGAGAGGAGATGGAGGCAGCACACCCAGGGAGTAGTGGTCCTGGCTGGGGACACCGACAGCCTTTGGTAAGAGAAGGGGCCACACACTACCAGAGGGAAGGGCCAGGGCGGTGTCAGAGGTTTTGAGGGTCTGCAGGCAGCCTGGGTTAATCCAGGGGTCAGGAGAGCCAGGTGGGAATTGTCTGCCCAGGTAGAGACAAGATTCACTAACATCTTCCCCATGGGCAGTGGGGTGCATGCTGGCATTTTCATTGTCATTACTTGTTCTGTGACCCTGGACAAGCAAGCCAGGTGACCTTGGGCAGGTGAGCCTGCTGTCACCAGGATGGATGGGCAGCAGGCTGGGGAGGTGGGTCCCCTACAAGCAGAAGAAAATTCCATGCGACACATCCTTTGCTGCCACTAGACGGCGCCAAGAGACCGTTCCGTTCTCACCACGCGCTTCAAACTCCAACCTGCTGGGGTCGAAGCCTCCAGGAACCAGATCTGGTTCAAGCCTCACCCTGAGGCTCATTTGACAAGGAATCAAGACAGAAAGGGGGTGGATCCTGGAATGAGCTTCCTCAGAAAGCGTCCTGCAGCCCTGCGAACCTGTGAAGTCCCAGCCTTGCCCTCCAGCAGCACCCTGACAGCCCCAGAGATGTGGCCAGGAAGGTCTTGATCCACAGTGCACCCCGTGTCCCCACGGCCACCGCCAGCGCCCCTTCCTCGGGGTAAGGCATTAGTTTCACACCCACCAACCAAGTGCACGCTTTGGTCCAGGCCCCGCTGGTGCTGAGAATCCCGAGAAGCTTAGACCTCCCTGCTCTCACAAGTGGGGATGAATGAATGAACGAATGAGCCCAAGATGGAAATTCTTTTTCTTTAAATTTATTATTATTATTATTATTATTATTATTATTATTATTTAGAGACGGGGTCTCACTCTCTTGCACAGGCTGGAGTGCAGTAGTGAGATCACAGCTCACTGCAGCCTCGACCTCCACCTCAACCTTTTGAGTAGCTGGGAACAAGGGTGTGCACCACCACACCTGGCCAAATGTGGAATTTCCAGGGAGTGGAGGGGAGATCCTGGGCACAGAGCCTGAAAGGGCTGGGGCAGCAGGGGTTCCTCTGAGGGGGTTGGTCCTGCCCGAAGGTTGTGAGAGGGAGAGGAAGGATGGTATGAAACTGGGCACCCGACTTGAGACTTGGACTTAAGGAGACATTGTTAAGAGAAGGGTGGGAATGAATGGGATCTCATCATGGATTTCCAATAGGATACAAGCGCCCTACCAGCCACTATCATCCCACATCAACCTAGAACGAATTCTCTCTCCAGCTTGCCCTGCCCCCTGCCCTGCCCAGAGTCTGTCCAAGCAGACTCTACCACAGACAGGAGAAAGCTGAGGCAGCAGAACAAGAGACGGGAGAGGCCAGGTTTGGGTGAGGGGCCCTACCCCCACCAGGGTCAGCTTGGGGTGTGCTGGAGCCAGAGTCCTGTGCCAGGAGGCAGAAGGGGCACCTTGAAAGAAGCTCCCCACACCCTTCAACCCTGGCACAGCCCAGCCAGCCACCCAGGTAATGCACTTAAAGTGCTCAGCACCCAGTCAGCGTTGACCACTCTTCTCGTTATATATTAAATACAACAAACATCTTTCAAGAACAAAAAGCAAGCATGTTTGGTCCATTCATGAATCCTTGTACACTGATTGTTCGGGTTCTTTCAGTTCCCATCCACTTAGAAATAACAAACATGTTTCATTTTGAGCCTATCCTACAGGGCCGCAAATCCGGAGCCTGCAGTTTGTTCTCTTGGCCTGGGGCCAGGTTGCAGATGTTTGAGTCCCTTGGATCCCTGAGTGGCTGCGTCTCCCAGTCTGGTGCTGACTCATGGTGCAGCCAGCATGCAGCCTGCCCATCGGCCAGGTCCCTGCAGGTTTCTGAGTCTCAGATGGTGGATGGCCTATTCAGAGTTCACAGATCTGCACCTAATAGACTTTCCTCTTTGTCCCTCTTTCTACCCCTAAAGTACATGTGAGGGGAAACCCTCTGCATGGTGCCTAGCACGCAGTGAACACTCAGCGTTCGCTGTCAGTGGTGTGTTATTATTATTCATTACCATTAGGATCCTTGCACAAACTCATCGCAGTTGCCTATTTATTTTTTCCAGGAAGATTACTCGGAACTGCTTAGGCACATCACACCAGGGCGGACTGATGGAGAGCAGGAAGATGGGGTATTCATCTGTCCCCTCTTCCACATGCTCCTTAAAGACAAGAATCATCTGATTAGTCTCCGTGTTCCAGCAACCCCCTGGGACCCAGCAACCGGTAATTAGGCAAGGAATAAGCTTATTGTATGTTTCACAGTTTTTCAAAGATGATTTGGGAGAATCAAATCATACCATCATCATTCCACCAATCAGGACTCGGCACTCTGACAGTGCACTTTGATGTTTAAAAAAAACAAAAAAACCAAAAAAAAAAAAAACGCCATTGGCTTCCCTCTCTCCACCCAACTTAAGAAAGAAGTTATGAATGTGAACTTTCAAAGGCCAATTACTACCCCTTAGAAGAACCTACCATCTCTAAACTACAAAGATGGGCAGCCTGGATTCTATTATTTTTATTATTTTACAAAATTCTTAATTTTTAAATACACATAGATATAGGGTCTCGCTAGGTTGACCAGGCTGGTCTTGGAACTTCTGGCCTCAAGCAATCCTCCCATCTCAGCCTCTCAAAATGCTAGGATTACAGGTGTGAGCCACCGCACCCAGCTGGGCAGCCTGGATTCTGGCTCTTATGTAGTCATGGTGTAGGGGAGGAGGTCGTGGTGGGTCCGAACTAGGGGGAAACTTGGTGGGCAGGCAACCCAGCCCCTGCCTTGTACGGACCCAGATACTGAGGCCCACAGAATGACAGTGCCAGCTCTAGGGGGCTGGAGGAGAGCCATTGCTGGAGGTAGCTGTTCTCAGTAGGTCTCCCTCTTGGTCCTCACAGCGTCCTCGGGGACAATGATTTTTGTCATTAGGAACCAGATCCCATCACAGCTTGGCTTTACGTACAGTGAAGGTGTCATTCCTGGCTTAACCTTACACTGCCCCGAAGGCCCCCTCCCCAGCTGTCCGTTTCCAGCCTGGCAATGGGACTCTCTGAGCACGCCCCTCATCTCCTCCCCCTCTGAAAAGTATCCTCAATCTCCCGGTCTATATCTAATAACACATCTGTCGTGCCTATATTTTGGTACCTGATACGTAGTCATTCATTCATTCAATGAGAGAACATTTAATGAGAGGTTAAGGGGCTTAGAACAACGCCGGGCACAGGCTAAGCGCTCACTAAACGTTAGCTCTCGCCAATAACATCACTGATTCACTATAAAGTTTCTCTGGCTGTGTGCTATTCGCTGCGTCCACAGCAGTGAAGAAGACAGACGCAGCCCCTGACCAACCTCGCCAAGCCCGGGCGCCGAGCCAGGACGTTGAGCCAAGTCCCCATCTCCTAGGACTCGCAGTGCGGAGGCTGCGGGCCCCGACCAGCGCCGAGACTACAAGTCCCAGAAGGGCGCGCGGCGACATCGCCGGGCCCGCCCCCCGCGCACGCGCGGCGCCGTGACGCTAAGGCCGCGAGCGAGCGCGGGTGGCTGCGGCGGCTGCGGCCGGCGGGGCGGGGCGGGGCCACCTGGCAGTGGCTGCCTTTAGGGCGGAGCCGGCTCCCGCTCTCCTCAGTCTGCGGTGGGCTAGCGGACGGTCCGGCTTCCGGCGGCCGTTTCTGTCTCTTGCTGGCTGTCTCGCTGAGTCGCGGCCGCCTTCTCATCGCTCCTGGAAGGTCCCGAGCGCGACACCATGTCGGAGCCCGGGGGCGGCGGCGGCGAGGACGGCTCGGCCGGATTGGAAGTGTCGGCCGTGCAGAATGTGGCGGACGTGTCGGTGCTGCAGAAGCACCTGCGCAAGCTGGTGCCGCTGCTGCTGGAGGACGGCGGCGAGGCGCCGGCCGCGCTGGAGGCGGCGCTGGAGGAGAAGAGCGCCCTGGAGCAGATGCGCAAGTTCCTTTCGGACCCGCAGGTCCACACGGTGCTGGTGGAGCGCTCCACGCTCAAAGGTGCGGGGCCGCGGAGGGCAGGGTCGCCAGAGCCAGGCCTCGCGGAATGCAGGGCCTGCCAGGTCCTCCGGGGTCGCAGATGTCCCCGGGATGGGAGGAGCCCGGCAGCTGCAGATGACCCCTGGATGGGCAGAGCCCGGCGGCCGCAGACGTCCCGCCGGCCGGGTCCCCAGGGCCGCAGACGCCCCGCAGAGGCCGGCGCGGCGCCCGGGGCTCGCCCTCGCCACACCCACTGCCCGGCCCGGAGCCCCCAGGGCGCCCCGCTCCTGGTCGCGGGGAGGGGAAAGGGGTCCCCGTCTGCCGTCACCCAAAACAATGGGGTCGCTTTGTCTGCTCGGGCCTCTCAAGATGGCCGAGTTGGGTGGAGACAGCGTCTCCCTGGGCTGAGAGCGGGCGAGGCCGCATCCCTGCCTCCAGTGTCACATGAGCTTTTCGGTTTCGATTTGTGTCCAAGCCAAGTGGCCTTCGGGAGGGATGTGTCGGGGGCAGACCCGCGGAGCTGGGGGCAGCCGGGGTTCTGGTTCGGGAGGAGGTCGGGCGGGTGTCCCAGCCCTGCCTTGTGGGGACCCAGAGGCCGAGGCCCACAGAGCGACGGTGCCAGCCCCGGGCCTGCGAGCATCACTGTTGTAGGTGGATGCTCTCACAGCATCCTTGCTGAACGGGTGTATCCTGATTTTACACCTGAGGAAACTGAGGCTCAGGTTAAGTGATTTCACCCAAGGTCACCAGCTAATCTTAGTCCTGAGACTAGACTCAGTGTCTCAGCTCCCCATCCACTGCTTGTTTTCACTGATCATACCTCATATTTGTTTAATGCTTCGATGATGTTAATGATAACCCTGTAATATTTGAGTCTAATTTTACAGATTAAAAAAAAAAAAAAAGATTCAGGTTAGGCACCTAGTAGGGGGAAGAGGCTAGAGTTAGCGTGTTCCAGCTGTCTCCTCAAATAATGATCGCCCACCAGCAAGGTTACATTCATCTAAGTCTGGGGCTTGCCTGCAGGCAGGCTTTCTCATGGATTCATTACAACCACTTTGTAGCCCATTACAACCACTTTGGGTGTGGCGTGTCCATCTAAGAACCTAAGGATGATGTCCAAGGTTAGCCTCTAGGGATTGGAGATTGTCTAAAAATATTTGCCAACAAGCTTCTTAAAATTTCAAAAAACTGTATGGTTCTCTCAGTGAGAGACCCTGTACTGTCTGCCCCATCCTTAACACACACTGTGTTTCTGATGGTTTGTTTCTTTCAAAGGCTATTCTTACTCAGAAGATGCTTCCCTGTAGCCTTGGTTTCCTGCCAGAGATTAGCAGGGTGTAAAAGAATATTTTTTTCTTATATCCACGTGGAATGTTCAAGGCAAATAAACCATTTGAGCATATTTAGAGTATTAATGTTTTTGAGGGTTGTTTACTGTGATGTTTGGGATTATGTATTCCTAAGTGGAAGCCACAAAAGTTAAAAAAAAAAAATTTATCTACTCTTTTTTTTTTCCAAAAAACATATAGTCATTGTAGAAAATGTACTATACAGCTAAAGTAAAAATCACTGGGAATTGTTTGACCCAGATATAATCACTGTCAGCATTTTTGGTTTATGTCTTTGTGGTCATTTTTCAATGCATATTCGTCATTTTATTAAAATACATTTTAATCTGCATTTTTAAAGTTAATTGTATTTTGAGTAGCTTGACCATTGCTAATCCTTGATATTTTTATTGCATAGTTTATGTATTAGAATCAGTGATTTTATTTTTTTTACCTTGTGTCACTCTTTTTATGAAAAAAAATTTAAGTTTTATACTTTGCTTCTAGAGTGATCACCAGTAATTCGCTTTTTCCAGGCATCTTAAAATTGGACGTTGCTAAAATTATTGGGGTGGGGGGACTATGTTTATGTAGTACAATATCTACTACAAATTCTCTCTGTTGTCTTATGAGTACCTTTTTTTCTTTCAGCAAAACAAATATGCAGGTATCCAAATCTTGGCTCCATAATGACTTGCACTTTTGAAAGTTGACTAAGGAATGAGACTATCTAAAATTGAAATCCTACCTCATTTCTGTATTTATAACAATCCTTGAAGTATTTCTACCAATTCAACCTGTCTATAATTTATTTTTCACTTACAAAAACCTAAGGAAAGATTTTTAAATTAATCCAGTTTTATGATAGATGGTCTGTTTGTCTTATTAGCAGCCTGGCTACACTAGGACACCTTAGATATAAGTAGAGACCCAGGACTTTTGGTAGGAGGGCTTTCTTCTTGGTGGCTTTTATGAGTTAGCTTTGGCATTTGTACATTTAATCAAATATGTGCATCCAGTAGTTAATTACAGTGAAAAGATAGGCATGCATTAATGTAGACAACAGAGCTGAATTATTTAAACTGAATAAAGATCACCAACAATGAAGTCATGTAATTTAATGAACAGTAGAAATTACTTTTATTTATTTTATTCCTTCCACTTTTTTTGTGGAAGTATCCAAACACTTGTAATTGAATATAGAAACATTTTTATGTGAAACTATATATATTTTTTATTTGTTTGTTTGTTTTAGCTACCCCAGCTAGCCATAAACTTTTGTTGTTAAAGTGCAGCATTGAGCTGGGTGCGGTGGCTCACACCTGTAATCCCAGCACTTTGGGAGACCAAGGCAGGAGGATCACTTGAGGCCAGGAGTTCAAGACCAGCCTGGGCAACATAGCAAGACCCTATCTCTACAGAAAATTAAAAAATAAGCCAGGCATGGTGGTGTATGCCAGTAGTTCCAGCTACTTGAGAAAATTGCTTGAGCCCAGGAGTTTGACGCTGTGGTGAACTAGGATCACACCACTTTGCTCCAGCCTGGGTACAGAGTGAGACCCTATCTCTAAAATAAATCAAGTACAGCATTACTCAAAGTATAGAATAAATGTTGTGAATTTAACAACTCATCTTGATACTGAGGAATTGGAGAGTTTGTGGGAAAAAGGGATTAAGTTATAGCTCCTCATTTTAAAAAGAGAAACCTTTGTATAGTTCCTGGCCTGTAGGAAATTGTCTTCCTCATAGTATGCTTACAGCATGGTGACAAAATAGGTGCTCATTACTTAACTAGCCATTTTATGTTAATGACGTTTTTGTAGCATTTTTTACTTCAAGGACCATTTTTTGGTTGTGTATCTCCGTTCGGTGGGGTATGCTTCAGTTTGCAGCTGATGGAACTGACATTTCCATGACTTGTCTGCTCTGCAGCTTGTTCATGACCTGCCTGGGATTGGCTGCTAGGTTGGTTGGTCTGGATGAGAGCGTGTAGTTTGGGTTTTTTGTTTGTTTTTGGTGGGGAAAGGGTTTTGTTTTGTTTTGTTTTGTTTGAGACAGGGTCTCAACTGTGTCACCCAGGCAGGAGTGCAGTGGCCCAGTCATGGCTCATTGCCACCTCGGCCTCCTGGGCTCCCAGTTCATTTTCTCATTTTTTTAATAGAGAGGAGGTCTCACCATGTTGCCCAGGCTGGTCTGGGACTTCAGGGCTCAAGCAATACTTCCACCTCCGCCTGCCAAAGTGCTGGGATTACAGGTGTGAGCTACCACACCCCACGTGTTTGTTTGTTTAACACTCCAGTGTTTGAGACTTGGAATTTTTTTTTTGAGACAGGGTCTCACTGTTGTCCAGGTTGGAGTGCAGTGGCACAATCTCTGCTCACCGCATCCTCAACCTCCGGTCTCAAGCGATCCACCCATCTCAGCCTCCTGAGTAGCTGGGATTACAGGCACACACCACCACGCCTGGCTCATTGTTGTATTTTTTGTAGAGGCAGGGTCTCCCCATGTTGCCCAGGCTGGTCTTGAACTCTTGGACACAAGTGATCCTGCTACCTCAGCCTCCCAAAGTGCCAGGATTACAGGCGTGCGCCATGACATCCAGCCTGAGGATTTAATTCTAAAGGATGAAGAAATGTAGTTTAATCAATGTAATTAATCTCCAACACAACATATCACCATGATTTCGTGCATTTAGAGGAGAAATGTTTTCTGGTTAAGTGGAAAATTGTACTATTGGCTTCTGCAAGACCTTCTTTCTTTCTTTTTTTCTTTTTTTTTGAGACAGAGTCTCGCCCTGTCTCCCAGGCTGGAGTGCAGTGGCACGATCTCAGCTCACTGAAAGCTCCGCCTCCCGGGTTCACGCCATTCTCCTGCCTGAGCCTCCCAAGTAGCTGGGACTACAGGCGCCTGCCACCACACCTGGTTAATTTTTTTTTTTTTTTTTAGTAGAGACGGGGTTTCACCGTGTTAGCCAGGATGATCTCGATCTCCTGACCTCGTGATCCACCCGCCTTGGCCTCCCAAAGTGCTGCGATTACAGGCGTGAGCCACCGTGCCTGGCCAAGACCTTCTTTCTAAAGCAGCTTTATAGTGAAACATTTTATTTAGAAATCTGGACCTTCTTTCTTCAGTTTACTGTAATCCACATTCACTGAGTAGAATTTGTATTGATCCCTGTGACCTAGTTTCTTCTAGGGCACCCAGTTATTCTTTCTGTCCCTAGTAAAATCTGGATTGAACTGTGCCAGATGCAGGCCGTACAGTGTTGCTCCAGTACCTCCAGCTCCAGCAGACACAAAGAGGGAGATCAGACTCAGATGCTTCTTGGCCTGACGGAAGATCTGGCAGCGCGTGTTTGTACCAGGGGCCTCCAGTTCAAAAGGAGAAAACAAACCTAGCTACCAGGCTCTGCACTCAGTGGTATCCGCACTTCAGCGAGGCTGTTAACTGCCCCATGCTGTCACACTGTGGGACACACCATCTGCAGCAAGATAAATTTGAATGTGCAGTGTAGCATAGTAAACGAAATTTATGTACAGCAAAGGGAAAACAGTTATCACTTCTTTTTAAAAACTAAACATGGATGAAAATTGCGTGTCAGCATCGGAGCATGTCAGATTGGGAGCAGCAAGAGAGATTTAGCCCAGCCCTCATCTTTCATGAATGAGGAAACCAAAACCCTAGGATTTTAAGACCCAGTTGGGAAAAGGATGTTCTAAGGAGGGTTCTGAAACCTAAAAACTCATCTCTGCAGTGCCTTGGTATCTGTTATTTATTTTGAGTTAGTAGTAACTTGAAAAGTACCAAGTCTTAAGTTCCTTTAGTGTTAATAACTTAGTAGATTTTTAAAAATTCTTTCTCTTTTCTTTTCGGGAAATACCAAAATGAGCTCCAGTTTACGTTAAATATAAGTATTATATGGGGTTTCATGCTCTCTTCATATTCCTAATGATGTTACAATGGAAATCTTCAGGTGGAGGAGAATACTCCGACTTTCTCACCGTGTTCTGAGCCTTGTACCAGAGCAGGGAGTGGTTGTGGGAAAGAAGTCATGGCCCCTCAGGAGGATGAAAGGGTGGACATGCAGGTGACAAGAGAAAGCGCCAGAGACAAGAAAGGGGAAAACTAAAGCGGGAAAAAAAGGGAGGCCGTGTATAATAGTGATTGACCACCAGAATAATAATAATGTGGTATTAGTATGTTTGGTTTGTTGTTGTTTTTTTTTTTTTTTTTTTTTTTTTTTGAGATGGCGTCTTGCTCTGTCACCCAGGCTGGAGTGCAGTGGCACGATCTCCGCTCACTGCAACCCCCGCCTCCTGGGTTCAAGTGATTCTCCTGTCTCAGCCTCCTAAGTAGCTGGGATTACAGGCATGTGCCACCACGTCTAGCTAATTTTTGTATTTTTAGTAGAGATGGGGTTTCACCATGTTGGCCAGGCTGGTCTCAAACTCCTGACCTCAGGTGATCCGCCCGCCTCAGCCTCCCAAAGTGCTGGGACTGCAGGCGTGAGCCACTGTGCCCAGCCCATGTTTGGGATTTTAAAAGGGAAAGAAGACAAAAGATAAAGAGAACCCCAGGAACATTTAACACGTAATTTGGTAGTGTATGCGGGCCAAAGGAGATGAATGGCTTTGAGACCAGGAAGAGACTTGCTGTATGGCTGGGAGAAAGTTTGGAAGGAAGAGTACATGAGGGAATGAGCAAGGGTGCAGGAGTTGGGCAGCCTCACCTGGCACTTTACCAGTGTGCTTTGTCCCTTTTCCAACTGCCCGTTCACCAGACTTTGAGAGGGCATGCCCTGTCTACTCAGGAGAGGGCCGTATCATTCTTTTTTTTTTTTTTTTTTTTTTTTTTTTTTGAGGCAGGGTCTTGCTCTGTCGCCCAGGCTGGAGTGCAGCGCTGCAGTCTCAGCTCACTGCAGCCTCGGTCTCCTGGGCTCAAGAGATCCTCCCGCCACAGACATGCACCACCACGCTCTGCTAATTTTTGTATTTTTTGTAGAGATTGGGTTTCACCATCTTGCCCAGACTGGTCTCAAACTCCTGAGCTCGAGTGATCCACCCACCTTGGCCCCTCAAAGTACTGGGATTACAGGCATGAGCCACTGGGCCCAGTCGAGGGTGGTATAGTTTTTAAGGTAATTGAAATTGCATAGTTTTTGTATTCCATTAAACAAGCCATAATGCTGGCTGGGTGCAGTGGCTCACGCCTGTAATCCCAACACTTTGGGAGGCTGAGGCAGGCAGATCACTTGAGCTCAGGAGTTCAAGACCAGCCTGGGCAACATGGAGAAACCTTGTCTCTACAAAAATACAAAAGTTAGCCAGGCATGGTGATGCACAACTGTATCCCAGCTACTCAGGAGGCTGAGGTAGGAGAATCACTTGAGCCCAGAGAGGTCAAGGCTGCAATGAGCTGTGATTGCACCACTGCACTCCAGCCTGGGTGACAGAGTGAGATCCTGTCTCAAAAAAAATAAAACAGATGTAATGCTTACCTAATTCATAGTTTAATGATACAAATTACTAGTAGTTTGAAATACATTAAACTAGTCTTTGAATAAAAGTATACACACGTTAGTGCTAAATGCCATTTTGAACATCTCTAGAAATTCAATAAACTCTCAAAAGTTAACCAAGGAAGTGTTCACAAGTTGTTGTAATGTGTGTCAGTATAGCTTGCAGGGAAGGAACTCATGAAGCAGGCCCAGTACTTTGATTCTTTGAATGCATGGACATATAGTACAGTATTGGTCTGTTACATTTTAACAGTAACTTTGTATTAACTAGTAACTTTGCCAAGCATAAGGAAATGGATTCAAATTTTACTGAAAGTGGTATTACTTAATCAAACGTGCAGATTGTGTTTGTAGTAAGCTTATAAATATAACAGGGCTAATAGCCTCTTTGTTATTAAGAATTAATAATCAAGTGTCCTTCCTCCTCTGGACAACTATTTAAAAAAAAAAAAAAGAAAGAAAAGTAGAATGTCAGATTATTATTTGATGGCAGTTTTTGAAACAGTGTCCTAAATTGTGTGACTGTAAATGGGAGTCAGACATACTCAACTGTGTTTGATCCGTGTCTTTATAGGGAATATGCACAGAAAGACTAGTCCAAGATGTTTTCTGTGACTGGTTCGTAGTGACTTCCATAAGTTATTATCAAGAGAAGTTAGAATTTAGCAAAGCAGCAGGGAATATCTATTTGCATTATCGTTGTTTGAGGATTATGTCATTGGGTGTGCCTTCCTGAGCTGAAGCAGCATTCTACTGCATTGCAGTATTCCCAGGGCAGAGCTGGAGCGCTCACCACACAGCGGTGACTCATCTCTTGGAATGGCACCTAGTTCCCCTAACCCGGTTTGCATTAGGAAGTGTAGGCCACATGCTCATATGCTGTGTCCGGACTGCGCAATTTCTGTGTGATTTTATTTGTATCAATGATGACTCTTTATGGGGGGTAGAAATGATTCAGAGTTAACAAGCCATATTTTTAGTTGCGTCAGTGATTTCCTTTGATCATTATAGAATGTTAATTTTATTTTCTGTATATTGTTTCGGTGTTATTTTGATGGCATATTTTATATAAATGGTAGAACAATATGGAAAATTCAGAAAATTGAGGGAGAAAATCATCGCAGTACTTTGACAGCTGTTTCAGTTTGGAGATAGTTCTTTATTCTCTATGCTTACATTTTACAGGTTGTAATCGTGTGTGGCTGCTTTCAGGCAGTGTGATTTCTCTTGTGGTCTAGCTACATTTGAGTGGTTAGAAAAATTGGTTGCTTTCTTTAGTTTTTTTAATAGTCGTTTTAAAAAATAGCAAGTATCTGGCATACTAGAATGTTCTGCCGCCTACTCCTTCCTCTTCCTAAAATTATATCCAAATATACCCAAAACAATAATTTGGAAGAATTATTGTCTCTCGATAGATACACTAATTTTTTTTTTTTTTTTGAGATCAATCTCAGCTCACTGCAACCTCCACCTCCCAGGTTGAAGCAATTCTCTTACCCCAACCTCCCAAATAACTGAAATTACAGGTGCCAACCACCACACCCAGCTAATTTTTTTAATTTTTAGTAGGTATAGGGTTTCACCATGTTGGCCAGGCTGGTATTGAACTCCTGACTTGAAGTGATCTGCCCGCCTCGGCCTCCCAAAGTGCTGAGATTACAGGCATGAGCCACCGCGCCTGGCCAGATAGACTAATATTTTATACTCTTTAGTGTGAATTTTGTATTTGTCTCATCTTAAAACTAAGGAAGCAGGGGTTGGGCGCAATGACTCATGCCTGTAGTGCCAGGCCGAGGCATGAGGATCTCTTGAGCCCCAGGAGTTTGACACCAGCCTGAGCAACATAGAGAGACCCCATCTCTAAAAAATGTTTTAAAAATCCACTGAAGGTGGTGGCATGAGCGTGGGGTCCCAGCTCTTTGGGAGGCTGAGGCAGGAGGATCTCTTGAACCCAGAAGATCAAGACTACAGTGAGGTGTGATGAAGCCACTGCGTTCCAGCCTGGGCGGCAGAGCAAGACATTGTCTCTAAATAAATAAATTAATTAATTAAAATAAAATGCTTACAGAAGGAGCAAGATTTTTAAAACAATAGCTAAGGAAGCAAATAGCTTTTGCTCAGACCCTGTGTATCCAGGTTTCATAGTTTTTAGTGCTTAATGAAACCTTATAACCACCTAACTCAATATTCTACTGCCTGCTCCACCACCCATTTTACACCTTACAAATTTGAAGCCCAGAGAAAGAAAAATGACTTTCTCAAGGTCACATATCTTCTAAGCAATAGAACTTGAACTGTTGAAACTACTGCCCTTTCCTTTATTTATTTATTTATTTTTTTTGAGATGGAGTTTCACTCTTGTTGCCCAGGCTGGAGTGCAATGGCGTGATCTCAACTCACCACAACCTCCGCCTCCTGGGTTCAAGCGATTCGCCTGCCTCAGCTTCCCGAGTAGCTGGAATTACAGGCATGCGCCACCATGCCTGGCTAATTTTGTATTTTTAGCAGAGACGGGGTTTCTCCTTGTTTGTCAGGCTGGTCTCGAACTCTCTACCTCAGGTGATCCACCTGCCTTGGCCTCCCAAAGTGCTGGGATTGCAGGCATGCGCCATCACGCCCAGCCTTCCCTTTCTATTACATCATGACTTTTAAAAGGTGAACTATGTATAAAATAATCATGTTAAATTAATCCATAGATTGTAATTTTTGCCAACATATATTTCATACAGTACGTTATTGCAAAGATAATTTGACTAGAATGTTTAGGCATTGCATGGATTAGTACTAGATGTAGAGGTTTAGATTATTTTCTATTCTTATACTTTTTTTAGTTCTTCAATCTTGATTTTTAATTTAGAAATTTGGTTCACATGCTTCTTGAGGCTACCTTACTATTAATTTCCAGTAAGCTTTTTTAAACTTAAATTTTATTATTAAAAAATTGAGACATGGTTTCACCATGTTGCCCAGACTAGTCTCATACTCCTGAGCTGAAGTGGTCCACACCTCAGCCTCCCAAAGTGCTGGGATTACTGACGTAAGCCACCAGCCCGGCCTCCGTAAGCTTTTGAAAGTGACTACTGTGTGCATGTTGTATTGCGTGGAATCTAGCGTGGTCTCTGCCTTCCAAGAGCTCACAGCCGGGGAGGAAGATACATTCATAAGTCAAACCCAGAACAGACTCAGATAAGTGGTGTGGCGCAGCAGAGGGCAAGGCTAGACGAATGCTTCTCAGTGACCCTTGGGATGTTTCTTGATACTTTTCTTGATTGGGGTTTGTCTTGGGCCTGGCCTTGATGAAAACTGGCCATGCTACATTGTGGTGAGGAGCCTGGACTTCGGAATCACAAACTTCTGAATTCTCACATTGTTGCTTCCCACCCAAGTATCTGTGGGCAAGTTACTGATATTCTTTATGGAGAAAACAAGGATAATAATAGTCACACCAACCCCATAGGGTTAAATGTATGATAGCTGTAAAGTGCTTAGTAAAATGCCTATCACACAGGTGTTGCTGAGTGAACGGCTGAGCAGAATATTCTTGAGAGCAGGGGTGGAAAGTGACTTCTGTGTTTGAAGCACAATGAATGAGCTTCCTGGGATGGGATGCTGAGAACTTGGCCATAGCCAGCAGCGGCTAGCACTGCCCACCGCCAGGCCCTGTTCCAGTGCTTTCATGCACCAACTCAGTTATCCTTGCAGAAGCCCTGGCATGCTCACGCTACCCCACTTCACAGACAACCGCCTTGCCCAAAGTCACACAGCAAAGTCAGGAGTGAGGAAAAAAACGGATAGGAAGGGAAAAATAGTGCCAAGTCATGTAGGTGTCGATATGTCAGGCTGGGAGTAGGGAGAAAATAGTCATTGTCTAAGCAGTTGATAAATAAGAAATTGGAAATGTTGATATTAATTTGATATATTTATTATGATTTGTAGAGGACGTCGGTGATGAAGGAGAAGAAGAAAAAGAATTCATTTCCTATAACATCAACATAGACATTCATTATGGGGTTAAATCCAATAGGTGAGTAGTACAAATATTACCATTATCTCAGGTTATAAATTTGTGAGAATTAATATGAATCTTTTTTCTTTTCAAACTCAGAAATTCTTACTAAGAGAATTAATATAAATCTTTTTTTTTTTTTTGAGACGGAGTTTCGCTCTTGTTGCCCAGGCTGGAGTACAATGGCGCGATCTCGGCTCACTGCACCCTCTGCCTCCCGGGTTCAAGCAATTCTCCTGCCTCAGCCTTCCAGGTAGCTGGGATTGCAGACATGCACCGCCACGCCTGGCTAATTCTGTATTTTTAGTAGAGACAGGGTTTCTCCGTGTTGGTCAGGCTGGTCTCGAACTCCTGACCTCAGGAGATCCACCCGCCTCAGCCTCCCAAAGTGCTAGGATTACAGACGTGAGCCACCGTGCCCAGCCTAAAATTAATATCAATCTTAATTGACTCAGACAAACACATTAAGAAAACACTCAAGCCCGGCACGGTGGCTCACGCCTGTAATCCCAGCACTTTGGGAGGCTGAGGTGGGCAGATCACGTGAAGTTGGGAGTTTGAGACCACCCTGACCAACATGGAGAAACCCTGTCTCTACTAAAAATACAAAATTAGCCAGGCGTGGTGGTGCATGCCTGTAATCCCAGCTACTTGGGAGGCTGAGGCAGTTGAATAGCTTGAACCCGGGAGGCAGAGGTTGCAGTGAGCCGAGATTGTGCCATTGCACTCCAGCCTTGGCAACAAGAGCGAAACTCTGTCTCAAAAAAGAAAAAAAAAAAAGGAAAAGAAAACGCTCAAAAGATTTCTGGTCTTTAAATTCAGTGTCTTTGATTTCATGTCTTCAAATTAGGAAGTTTTCCAATTCAATATAAATTCTAAAATACTGTCCTTTTAGTTGCCATATCATGGCATCTATCTTCTGTTTGAGCTGTAATATATGTAACATGTCTGATGCTACTCTCAGGTTACAGTCAGCCCTCGATATCTGTGGTTCCACATCTGCAGATTCAACCAACCACAGATAGAAAATATTTGCGGGAAAAAAGCAATACATACAATACAAAAATAACAAAGAAAGCAAGTAAAAAACAGCCAGTATAACAACTATTTATGTATTGTTTATGTTGTGTTAGGGATTATAAGTAATCTGGAGATTATTTAAAGTATGCTGGAGGATGTGCATAGGTTATATGCAAATACTGTGCCATTTTATATAAGCAAGTTAACGTTTGCGGATTTTGGTGTTCCAGGGGAGTCCTGGAATCAATTTCCCACAGATACCAAGGGACAACTGGATATCTGATTTTTCATTATTACAGATAACTAGTAAACATTCTATATGCAGGTTTGATTCTTTTTAGGATAAATTCTAAAGATAGCATTACTAGTTCACATGCAAAACATCATTAAAATTTTTAATGCATGTTACCAGATTTTCCACTTTTCAGAAAGATTGTGCTAATTTATCCTAGTAGACATATCCAAATTTAAATATGTAAATGTCATAATGGATTCCGCATTTTTTTAAGCTTATTTTGAGTAATCTCAGGTTACGGAAGAGTTGCGTGAATAGTATATAGAACTCCCAGATATCAGTTGTTAATGTTTGCCACTTTTGCATTATCATTTTTCCCCTGAATCATTTGACAGTTAGTTATAGACAATATGCTCCTTTATCCCTAAATACTTGTGTGTATTTCCTAAGAACAAGGACATTCTCATTCGTAGCCTCAGTACAATGATCAAATTCAAGAAGTGTAAGATTGCTGCAGTATTGTTCTCTAATTATAGTACATGTTGAAATTGTCTCAATGATGTCCCTTATACTAATTTTCCCCTAATTCAGAGTCCAGTCCAGAATCACACTTTGGTTTCTTGTCACTCTAAATTCCTTTAATCTGGAGTAGTACTTCAGCCTTTGTGTACCTTTTGTGACACTGACTTGTTTGACATTTGCACACCAATAGCTTCATGGAACTGTTGGGTTTGCCTGATGTTTAGATTCAGGTTATACGATTTTGGCAGAAATACTATTGTGACTTCATTCTTTCTCAATGTGTTACATCAGAAAGTTTCATTGACTTTACAGTTATATGAAGTTTTTTGGGTTGTTTGTTTATTTTGAGATGGAGTCTCACTCTGCCGTCCAAGCTGGAGTGCAGTGGGGCAATCTTAGCTCACTGCAGCCTCTGCCTCCCAGGCTCAAGCGATCCTCCTGCCTCAGCCTCCTGAATAGTTGGGATTACAGGCACCTGCCACCACACCTGGCTAATTTTTTTTTCTTTCTTCTTGAGACGAAGTCTCGCTCTGTCGCCCAGTCTGGAGTGCAGTGGTGCGATCTCGGCTCACTGCAACCTCTGCCTCCTGGACTCAAGTGATTCTCCATCAACCTCCCGAGTAGCTGTGATTACAGGCATGTGCCACCATGCCCAGCTAATTCTTGTATTTTTAGTAGAGATGGGGTTTTGAAGTTTTTGAATAACTTTTTGAAGTTATCCGCCTGCCTCGGCCTCCCAAAGTGCTGGGATTGCAGGTGTGAGCTACTGTGCCCGGCCTAATTTTTGTATCTTTAGTAGAGATGTGGTTTCGCCATGTTGGCCAGGCTGGTCTCGAACTCCTGACCTCAAGGGATCTACTCACCTTAGCCTCCCAAAGTACTGGGATTACAGGCGTGAACCACCATGCCTGGCGTATGAAGTATTGTGTATAAAGTACTGGCAAGGGAATTAGAAAATTCAAATTTTATTAATTACCTTGAAGGCATTAATTTAACCAACTTTGAGTGCCTGTTGTGTGCAAGGTGTGGCAGTAGGTATATAGAGTAGTACACAAAGAAATAAAACCTGCTTCCTGTTCCCAAGAAGCTTGTCTTTGGGAGAAAGATTGGCAGATACATAACTAATTGTAATACTTGTCAAAATACAATGGAAACATGAAGACTGGAGAGATTGCTTCTGATTAGGGGAAGCCCACAGAAGAGGTCACACTGGAATTGAGTTATGAGGGTTAGAATTTCAGCAGATCAATATAGATTTCTTAAGCAAAGGCACAAAGCACGTGATGTGTTTAGGGAATGGGACATCTGGTCTAAGTGGTGTCTCAGGGTGGGAAAGAGGATACATAGCAGGAGGTGAAACAGGAAAAGCTGAGTAGGACCAGACTAAGGGGAGCCTGGAATGGCCTCTTATCACCTTAACCAGTGAGCAACTTTTGTTTACTTAGTACAGTAAATAAATGTTACACATTAGTGTAAGATCAGATTTAAGTACTACTTATATTTCTAGGGCAGGTTAGTTTTAGGCCAATATTACGAATTCAACCCATGTATGAGACAAGTTAACTTTGCCTGGTTTCATGTTTGTTCACATTCTGTAACCATAACCTTGATTCAGTAGCTCTCATGTACTAAAGAAAGACAAGCAGTGCATTTCACTATTAGAAAAGCAACACTTCAGTATATTCTTGTATGATTTTTAAATTAATAAGCCTAATTAGGAGTGTAACTTTTCTAATTTCTTGTTTTATTTTTCTTTTTAGCTTGGCATTCATTAAACGTACTCCCGTGATTGATGCAGATAAACCCGTGTCTTCTCAGCTCCGGGTCCTTACACTCAGTGAAGACTCGCCCTACGAAACTTTGCATTCTTTCATTAGCAATGCAGTGGCTCCTTTTTTTAAGTCCTACATTAGAGAGTCTGGCAAGGCAGACAGGTAAAAACTGTGGTTTGAATGTTATATTTCACTTAATGTTCACAAGATAGTATAGAACTCGGTGTAAAACTTGGGAATTGGGAGGGTAACGCTAGTGAGCCGAGGGGATATAAACCCTGTGTATTAATAAATATGTGTGTCATTACTATTTGACAGACCTGAAATGATGGGATCTCTTTGGAGACCAATAGCACACTAAATGTTGAGGTATGAAATCTGTTTTTAGGGATGGTGATAAAATGGCTCCTTCAGTTGAAAAGAAGATTGCAGAACTCGAAATGGGACTCCTTCACTTGCAGCAAAATATTGAAATTCCGGAGATCAGCCTGCCGATTCATCCAATGATCACAAATGTTGCAAAACAGTGTTATGAGCGTGGAGAAAAGCCAAAAGTTACAGACTTTGGTGATAAGGTTGAAGACCCAACATTTCTTAATCAGTTACAATCTGGAGTTAACCGCTGGATCCGAGAAATTCAAAAAGTAAGAGCACAGGATTGAAAGTTATGTAAAATATGTTACTCTTTAATATCTTTGGGAAAACTGATCTGGATTTTGTAAGTGAGGTAAATTATGTGATAACTTGTTAGTGGTGCCGCCTCTTGGTCCTGGGACTGTCCAGTGCAGGACTAGCCTTGGTCTGGGTGGAATGGTCAGGGGACAGTGTGAGATTGCTTGAGTAGTCACCCTGATAGAGCATTAATCTCAGCAGTCGTATACCTTTGATTTCAAATCAAGCCACTTTTGATTTACAGGGAAGGAAATCTACTTGAAATATAAAAATTGAGTTGTAATGCATGTGTTTTGTTAACGATATCTATTCTACCTTGTTTAAATAGTGAATACCCTTGGGTGTTATTTTATTTTCAAAGGTGACCAAACTGGATCGAGATCCTGCATCAGGAACTGCCTTACAGGAAATTAGTTTTTGGCTAAACTTGGAACGTGCGTTATACCGCATCCAGGAGAAACGGGAGAGCCCGGAAGTTCTCCTGACTCTGGATATCTTGAAACATGGCAAGCGCTTCCATGCCACCGTCAGTTTTGACACTGACACAGGTAACAACTAGAACTAATAATCTGATCAGTAAGTTATTGATCTGGCTTTTACGAGATCTTACTTGATAATTTAAATGAAAACTATAGTTTTCACAGATGTACTGTCGTTTTTAACCATTTCCTTTCTTACATCACATCTTATCTTTCCCTCAGTTCCAAGTAATGAAAATTATTCTCCTACACACTTAGCTTTCCCCTTTCCCTTCAGGGGATTTAAGAACATGAAACAGTCTCTAGGTATGAGCACAGATTCCTTCTTGTTTCCCCACTGCTGGGCTCCATGAGTCATCTCCACGAGTCGGCTGTACAATTGGCACAAAGTCAGGTATGCTTTTGACAGGCCAGGCAAGAAGGTGGTTTAAGTGAAGCAGTTCTATTTGCCCAGAGGGTTGTGGAAAAAGAACTGGTCAGTACCACTTTCTCTTCCTCTTTTTACTTGCCCCTTTCTCTTCTTTGTCTTCCTCCCTATTCTGACAAGTGGCCAAAATGAATTTAGTTTTCTGAGTGGAGAACAGTGCCAGTGATGTTGTTTTTTGTTTTGTTTTGTTTTGTTTTTTTCTTTTTAAAATTTTTAAAATTTATTTTTTTTAAGAGATGGGATCTCACTTTGTTTCCCAGGCTGGAATGTGGTGGCATAATCATAGCTCACTGCTGCCTGGAGTTCCCAGGCTCAAGCCATCCTCTCACCTCAGCCACCCAAGTAGCTGGGACTACAGGGATGTACCACCATGTCCAACTAATTTTTGAATTTTTGTAGAAATGGGGACTTGCCACGTTGCCCATGCTGGTATCAAACTCCTAGTCTCAAGCAATCCTCCTGCCTTGGCCTCCCAAAGTGCTAGGATTACAGGTGTGAGCTACCACTCACAGTCATTATTACAATTATTTTTAAATTCTTTTAAAAACTTTGTAACTTGACTGAGCTGCATTAGCACGTACTAGGTCTACAATGTTTGAACACGAGGCATTATTAGGCATTTCTGTTCAACTCTGTGCTCACAAAAGACATGTTAGAACAAGTAATTAAGACAATAGCAGTTGTCATGTTCTCACTTCCCCCAAAAAACGTATGGTACCCACATCTTAAATGTTAGAGAAAATTGTAAGTAGAAACCTTCCGGTTACTTAGATCACATTGCACACATTACATGCGCATTCACTATGCTGAAATGTATACTTTGATTTTTTTAACACCTCTGAAACTTTTGTTTTTTTCCTAATACTTTTTTTGATCTTATGCCAAAGAAAGTCAATAAATAGATTAGGATCCAAGCACTTTCGTGATTCCATGTCCTTAGTTAGTAATATGTTCACCTAAATTAAGCCATGAATGTAAAACTTAAATTTTAATGTTTTCAAGGATAAAATTTTAGTTCTTCTAAACTTAATTGTTACTAATAAACGTTAAAATAATATAGAACAGGGGTCCCCAACCCCCAGACTGGTACTGGTCCGCGGCCTGTTGGGAACCAGGCTGTGCAGAAGGAGGCCAGCAGCGGCGAGTGAGCATTACTGCCTGAGCTCTGCCCCCGTCACATGAGTGGCGGCATTAGATTCTCATAGGGGCGCAAACCCTGTTGTGAACTGCGCACGCGAGGGATGTAGATTGTGCACTCCTTATGAGAATCTAATGCCTGATGATCTGTCCACCATCTCCCATTACATCACCCTCAGATGGGACCTCCTAGTTGCAGGAAAACAAGCTCAGGGCTCCCACAGATTCTACATTATGGTGAGTATGTAATAATAATAATAGAAATAGGCTGGGTGCGGTGGCTCACACCTGTAATCCTAGCACTTTGGGAGGCCTAGGCGGGCAGATCACGAGGTCAGGAGATGGAGACCATCCTGGCTAACATGGTGAAACCCCGTGTTTGTAAAAATACAAAAAATTAGCCGGGCGTGGTGGCAGGCGCCTGTAGTCCCAGCTGCTTGGGAGGCTGAGGCAGGAGAATCGCTTGAACCTGGGAGGTGGAGGTTGCAGTGAGCCGAGATCACCCCACTGCACTCCAGCTTGGGCGACAGAGCAAAACTCCGTCTCAAAAAAATAAAATAATAGAAATAAAGTGCACAATAAATGTAATGTGCTCGAATCACCTAGAAACTACCCACCCCCCCACCACCCCCCAACCATCTGTGGAAAAATCGTCTTCCACGAAACTGGTCCCTGTTGCCAAAAATGTTGAGGGCCACTGATATAGAAAGCAAAGCAAAGCATGGTAAATTCTCTGAGGCTGCCACCTTCAGCCTTTAGAGTATGTAGGAATTGACTCATACTCTTAAATAAGCAAAAATGGAGCGCCACTAGGGTTATCCTGTTAATAACGTGTTGTTTTTTCAAATATGAATAGTTTTTGTCTCGCTAGATATTTTGCAACATCAAAATGTTCCATTGTAATGGCATATTTTAGTTTACTTAGTTTTGTTACTTTATGTGAAAACCATTAACTCTTTCTCTGTTAATATAGGTCTAAAACAGGCTTTGGAAACTGTGAATGACTACAATCCTCTGATGAAAGATTTCCCTCTGAATGATTTGCTGTCTGCCACGGAGCTGGACAAAATAAGACAGGCGCTTGTTGCCATTTTCACACATTTGAGAAAGATCCGAAACACAAAATATCCTATTCAGAGGGCACTGCGTTTGGTGGAGGCAATTTCAAGAGACTTGAGTTCTCAATTACTCAAAGTATTGGGCACTAGGAAATTGATGCATGTTGCTTATGAAGAATTTGAAAAAGTAAGTTTGAATATATAAGACAACCAACCTCAAGACATTGAGATGAAAATATGTCTTAATAATAAGCCTCACTTTTGAAATTATATCCTAGGTTATGGTAGCATGCTTTGAAGTTTTTCAGACTTGGGATGATGAGTATGAGAAACTTCAGGTATTGTTGAGAGACATCGTCAAAAGAAAAAGGGAAGAAAATCTGAAGATGGTGTGGCGTATCAACCCTGCCCACAGGAAGCTGCAGGCCCGCCTTGACCAGATGAGAAAATTTAGACGCCAGCATGAACAGCTAAGAGCTGTTATCGTCAGGGTCCTGAGGCCACAGGTAAGATTTGCATTCTAAAAGTTTGTGTTTTGTTTTTGTTTTTGTTTTGTTTTTTGTTTGGTGTTTTTTTTTTGTTGTTGTTGTTGAGATGAAGTTTCACTCTTGTTGCCCAGGCTGGAGTGCAATGGCATGATCTTGGCTCACTGCAACCTCCGCCTTCTGGGTTCAAGCGATTCTCCTGCCTCAGCCTCTCGAGTAGCTGGGATTACAGGTGCCTGCCACCACGCCCGGCTAATTGTTTATATTTTGAGTAGAGACAGGCTTTTACCATGTTGGCCAGGCTGGTTTTGAACTGGCCTTCAAGTGTTCCACCTGCCTCGGCCTCCCAAAGTGCCGGGATTATAGACGTGAGACAGCATGCCCAGCCTGTTTTTGTTTGAGACAGTCTCATTCTGTTACCTAGGCTGGAGTACAGTGAAGTGATCTTGGCTCACTGCAGCCTTCGCCTCCCGGGCTCAAGCAGTCCTCCTACCTCAGCTTCCTGAGTAGCTGGGACTATAGGCGCACCCCACCATGCCCAGCTAATTTATTTGTGTGTGTGTGTGTTGGCGGGAGGGGGCTGTAGAGGAGGGGTCTCACCATGTTGCCCAGGCTATTCTCGAACTCCTGAGCTCAAATGATCCGCCCACCTCAGCCTCCCAAAGTGCTGGGATTATAGGCATGAGCCACCGCGCCCTGCCCGTATGCATTGTTTTAATGTGTTTTTTGAAAACTTAACTACTTCTTTCTGTTGTCTTTAAGATCTAGTGATTCTGTATTGTGTGTGTGTGTGTATATATATATGCGTATATATGTGTGTGTGTGTGTGTGTGTGTGTGTGTGTATATATATATATATTATATTTTTTTTTTTTTTTTTTTTTTGAGACTGAGTCTCAGTCTGTCACCCAGGCTGGAGTGCAGTGGCATGATCTCAGGTCACTGCAACCTCTGCCTCTGGGGTTCAAGCAATTCTGCCTCAGCCTCCGAGTAGCCGGAATTACAGGCGCCAGCCACCACACCCAGCTAATTTTTGTATTTTTAGTAGAAATAGGGATTCACCGGCCGGGCGCGGTGGCTCACGCCTGTAATCCCAGCACTTTGGGATGCCGAGGCAGGCGGATCACGAGGTCAGAAGATTGAGACTATCCTGGCTAACACGGTGAAACCCCATCTCTACTGAAAATACAAAAAAATTAGCTGGGCGTGGTGGCAGGTGCCTGTAGTCCCAGCTACTCGGGAGGCTGAGGCAGGAGAATGGCGTGAACCCAGGAGACGGAGCTTGCAGTGAGCCGAGATCGCGCCACTGCATTCCAGCCTGGGCAACAGAGGGAGGCTCCGTCTCAAAAAAAAAAAAAAAAAAAAAAAAAGGAAAAGAAATAGGGTTTCACCATGTTGGCCAGGCTGGTCTCGAGCTCCTGACCGCAAGTGATCCACCCGCCCCGGCCTCCCGAAGTGCTGGGATTACCATGCCCAGCCCATCCAAATCTTTAGTGTTTTCCATCCATTTATCCCTTCCTCCATCTTGGAAGGACCCTAGAGCCAGACTTCCTGGGTTTTAAATCCTAATTCCATCGTTTACTAGCTCTGTGACTGGAATGCTTTATTTAGTCTCTTTTTCAGAGAGTCCTTCTCTGTAAAACATGGATAGTAATTACATATGCCTGAGATTTATAAAACAATTAAATGACTAATTTCTTTATATATATTTTTTTCTCTTCTGAATTTATCTTTCATTCTTCTTTTTTGTTTTTTGAGATGGAGTCTTGCTGTGTCGCCCAGGCTGGAGTGCAGTGGCGTGATCTTGGCTCACTGCAACCTCTGCCTCCCGGGTTCAAGCGATTCTCCTGTCTCAACTTCCCAAGTAGCTGGGAATACAGGCATGCACCACCATGCCTGGCAAATTGTTTGTATTTTTAGTAGAGACTGGGTTTCACCATGTTGGCCAGGCTGGTCTCGAACTCCTGACCTCATGATCCGCCTGCCTTGGCCTCCCAAAGTGCTGGGATTACAGGTGTGAGCCACTGCACCCGGCTTAAAATAAATTTTAAAGCCTTCGTTTGGTCAGCATTTCTTGATTACATATCTTTCTCCTTTAGGTCACGGCAGTTGCACAACAGAATCAAGGAGAGGTCCCTGAACCCCAAGATATGAAAGTGGCTGAGGTTCTCTTTGATGCTGCAGATGCAAATGCCATTGAGGAAGTAAACCTTGCTTATGAGAACGTCAAGGAAGTGGATGGACTGGATGTTTCCAAAGAGGGCACGGAAGCCTGGGAGGCTGCTATGAAGAGGTACGATGAGAGGATCGACAGAGTGGAGACCCGGATCACCGCTCGCCTTCGGGATCAGCTTGGCACAGCCAAGAATGCCAACGAGATGTTTAGGATTTTCTCCAGGTTTAATGCACTGTTTGTCAGGCCTCACATCCGTGGGGCCATTCGCGAATACCAGACCCAGCTGATCCAGCGCGTGAAAGATGACATTGAGTCTCTTCACGACAAGTTCAAGGTCCAGTACCCACAGAGTCAGGCTTGTAAGATGAGTCACGTTCGTGACTTGCCCCCTGTGTCAGGGTCTATCATCTGGGCTAAACAGATCGACAGGCAGCTGACGGCCTACATGAAGCGGGTGGAAGATGTCCTTGGCAAGGGCTGGGAGAATCACGTGGAGGGGCAGAAGCTGAAGCAGGATGGAGACAGCTTCCGCATGAAGCTCAACACGCAGGAGATCTTTGATGACTGGGCAAGGAAGGTGCAGCAGCGCAACCTCGGTGTCTCGGGGCGCATTTTCACCATCGAAAGTACTCGGGTTCGGGGCCGAACTGGAAATGTGCTTAAGCTGAAAGTTAACTTTCTTCCTGAGATTATCACACTATCCAAAGAAGTCCGGAACCTCAAATGGCTTGGTTTCCGCGTCCCACTGGCGATTGTGAACAAAGCCCATCAAGCAAACCAGCTTTACCCGTTTGCCATCTCACTGATCGAGAGCGTTCGTACCTATGAACGGACCTGCGAGAAGGTGGAGGAGCGGAACACCATTTCCCTTTTGGTGGCTGGCTTGAAAAAGGAAGTGCAGGCCCTGATCGCAGAAGGCATTGCGTTGGTGTGGGAGTCCTACAAACTTGACCCATATGTACAGCGCTTAGCAGAGACTGTCTTCAACTTCCAAGAAAAGGTATGCTCTCATGTAATCCTCAGGTGTCCTGGTAACGAATGAAGCACAGTAATAGCGAGCTCAGTTAAAACACTAGTTCTCCCGAAGAAGGCATGCATGGTTGATGCAGCATACGGCCATGTGAGCTGCAAGGGAGGAGGACCCTTTGTACTCACCGGGCTATTTAATGGTGCTGGGTTTTAGGGAGGCCATTAAGTAACAACCTGAGTTTAGAAACAGGTGGAGAGCTAAAGGACACAGGAGTCCAACAGAGAGCAGAATGCAGTTTTATTGCTGCTACAGCTGAAAGCAGAGCAGGCTCTAGGTCTCAGCCACGAAGGCCTTACCCAGAGCCTGCGGCTGCCAGCGGACCAGATGCATACGACAGCGAGGCTGGCTCCCCAGGCACAGGAGGAGCTTAACAGAGCACGTTTACTTCCTTCTCCCAGATTTACCCATCAGAGGCCACCTCTCCCATTGAGTGGGAGTAAGGGAAGAGAAGCTGGGGAGGCTCCATGCATTTTCCTTTCCTCTGCAAGGACATGCGAGTGGGGATTAGTGTTCTCACCCCAGCAGCTAGGATTAGCTACTTATGGAAGAACTGTGCCTGGAGCATTTGTCAATGTATAATATTTGAGAAGAATGTTATGTGAGAATAAAGGAACAGAGTGTGAGTGGGTGTTTTAAATATTAAATATTTCTTCCTTCAGGTGGATGATCTGCTGATCATTGAAGAAAAAATAGACCTAGAAGTCCGTTCCTTGGAAACTTGTATGTATGACCATAAGACATTCTCGGAAATCTTGAACAGAGTCCAGAAAGCAGTGGATGACTTAAATCTGCACTCCTATTCCAATTTGCCCATCTGGGTCAACAAGCTTGACATGGAGGTAAGGGATAGAATTTGCTAGCATTTTCCTCCTTTTTCTTCTGCTGACCCTCCAGTAAGCTTATTAGTTTGTCACTAAAAAGCATTTTTCCTTGGAAATTATCTGTGATAGTTCAATTCCCCTCCAAAATCTCATTTAACTAGTGATAGA
This sequence comes from Homo sapiens, assembly GCF_000001405.40. NCBI lineage: Eukaryota > Metazoa > Chordata > Mammalia > Primates > Hominidae > Homo > Homo sapiens. The sequence continues at coordinate 101,987,783 of NC_000014.9, forward strand.
ACTGAATTGTGGCCAGGCACAGTGGCTCATCATGCCTGTAATCCCAGCATTTTGAGAGGCCGAGGCAGGCAGATCGCTTGAGCCCAGAAGTTTGAGACCAGCCTGGGCAACATGGCAAGACCCTGTCTCTACTATAAATACAAAAACTAGCCAGGTGTGCTGATGAGCACCTGTAGTCCCAGCTACTCAGGAAACTGAGGCGGGAGGATCACTTGAGCCCAGGAGGCGGAGGTTGCAATGAGCCAACATCGCACCACTGCACTCTAGCAGAGTGAGACCCTGTCACACACACACACACAAAAAGAACCAAATTATGATACTACATGTCAGTACTCACATCAAGTTTAAGTTGGAAGCAGGGAGATAAGAGGGAGGAGAAAGTGTTGCCTTTATTTGCTGGATATTTGATAACTTCCTATTTGTCCTTCCTTGCTTTCCTTATGATTCGTGTTACCTTTTCTAGCCCTCCAGGTGTCCTCCTCTGATGACCCTGCCACTCCCCAACACCCAATTTAGAAACAGCCACATTCTGCCCCCACCCGTATCCCCGTAGACAAGTGGGGATGGGTAGAAGGTGTGGTATGTGTGCATAAAGCACACTTACCAATCCACGCCTTTTCCCACTGGTGGACTTCAGAGAGCACACCAGTGGAGAGTGTTGGGGAGGAGGATATTTTATAGCAGAGGTTACAGGTTGTGAAGGATTGGTGATTCAGTATCCAAAGATGGAGAAGACAGCCTAACAAGTGATCTGTGGCTGGGAGAAAGTGAGAAAGTGAGATTCTGAGAAGAGAGATATGAAGGCTTCTAGTCCGGAACTGTGTATCTTTTATCTGAAACACCTACCACTTTCTGATTGACTTGCTTTGTGAGCTAACTTTTAGAAGAAACACTGTTCTCTGATATAACGTTGTCTGTAGATTGAAAGAATATTGGGCGTCCGTCTGCAAGCTGGCCTGAGAGCTTGGACGCAGGTTCTTCTTGGACAAGCTGAAGATAAAGCAGAAGTTGACATGGACACAGATGCTCCACAAGTTAGTCACAAGCCTGGTGGAGAGCCAAAGATCAAAGTGAGTGCTTCTGTGGCATTCTATTTACTAATAAGTGAAATAACAAAACTCTCTCGTTAAAAAACACCTATGGAAAGGTCACTTAGTGTGGACACCTGGCAGATGCCACCTTAACCAGGTGATGAAGGTCAGCCTCACCAGTGGCGATGTGCAGGTGTCATGTGCCCTCTGATGTGATGCGATGGGAAGGGCAGGTCACCTCTGCGCTCTTTCTCCAAAATCCCTCACTCTCATGTGAGATGTTAACATTGGAGAAAGCTGGTGGAGGATATGTGGAAACTCCTTGTACTTCCTTTGAAACTCTCCTGTAAATCTAAAATAATTATTTTAAGTCCTAAAAAATGAAAAATTAAATTTTAGGAAAAAAACTACACTGGAAAAAAACTTCTTACCATTCATGCAATAAATTATTTCAAGAACTGCATGTAATCCACCAGAAGTCAGTGTTCAGACCATGACATTGAAACGTACTCCACTGTTTTAACAAAGGTCTCAGTTCACATCCCCGGGAAGAAGGTGGCAACACAGTGGCCACCACACGGAGTAGTAGTCTGTGCCTCCCGAGCCATCTCTTTCGCATTTGTGTGGAGCTTAGCAAGCTTTCTAAACAACTGAATAATTCTGTCAACTAGCACTGTGTAAGTAGGCCCTATCTGCTGCTATTGGTGGTGGTTACAAAGGAATCCACCTTACAGTAAGTGTTTATAGTATTTGTGTTATATTTACCAATAAAAAGGACTCACAAAACAGTAAAAACCTTGATCTGGGAGAAACAGTTGGCTTTTTTCCCCTACCTACACTTTACCTTTTTATTTTTTTCCCTTACACTTGAAAAATGTTTTCACTGTTGAATATTTCTGTTTCCACCTTTGAATATTACTATTATTGGATATTCATCCCCAGAGCATACTTTTTAAAATACCAAGTCCCAGAGAAGCAAATGAGTGTTTCTAAATTGATACAATTACAGTCATGCACTGCAAAATGACATTTCAGTCAACGACAAGACCACATATACAATTGTGGTCCCGACGATTACAATACCATATTTTTACTGTACCTTTTCTATGCCGACATATGTTTAAATACACAAATACTTACCATTGTGTTCCAGTTGCCTACAGTATTCAGTACAGTAACATGCTGTACAGATTTGTAGCCTGGGAGCAATCGGCCATGCCACATAGCCTAGGTGGGCAGCGGGCTGTCATCTAGACTTGTGTAGGTACATGCTGTGGAGTTTGCACAGTGATAGAATCGCCTCACCGTGATTCTCAGAACGTATCCCTGTTGTTAAGCAACACATGACTATCTAGTGGAGACGAAGTTGGAATTCTTGTTGAGTGTAAAGCACTGGCAGGTGGCACAGACTTACCTGACCTTGGTCAACCTAAATCATTGCCTGACAACTGATAACCTGAGTGGTATCACTGCTTCAGTGGTGCTAGTTTCTCGGGTCTCAAGGTCGTTATATTGAGACATCGTCATATACTTAGGCCAAACCAGATGAAAGTTCATTGAGTACCTGTTGTGTGTTCAATCCCTGGGCACCAGGGACCCAGGAGAAGGTGAAGCAGCACCTGCTGTCTGACTTATGTTCTTTTGGGGAAGGCACAAATGACAAACATGACATTATACAAGACCATGTCTGATAATCAAGTGACAGACATTGTAGTTCAGACTGAAGTAGTTTAGTAATTTAGAGAGAGAAAGTGTTGAGTATCAAAACTATTTTATTGAGGCCAGACGCAGTGGCTTACCCCTGTAATCCCAGCACTTTGGGAGGCCAAGGTGGGCAGATCGCTTGAGCTCTGAAGTTTGAGACCAGCCTGGGCAACATGACGAAACCCCATCTCTATAAAAAGTACAAAAATTAGGCCGGGCGCGGTGGCTCATGCCTGTAATCCCAGCACTTTGAGAGGCCGAGGCAGGCAGATCACGAGGTCAAGAGATAGAGACCATCCTGTCCAACATGGTGAAACCCCATCTCTACTAAAAATACAAAAATTAGCTGGGCGTGGTGATACATGCCTGTAGTCCCAGCTACTCGGGAGGCTGAGACAGGAGAATCGCTTGAACTCGGGAGGTGGAGATTGCAGTGAGCGGAGATGGCATCACTGCACTCCAGCCTGGCGACAGAGTGAGACTCCGTCTCAAAAAAAAAAAAAAAAAATACAAAAATTAACTGGGCATGATGGTGCACGCCTGTGGTCCCGGCTACTTGAGGGGCTGAGGCGGGAGGATTGCCTGAGCCCAGAATGTCAAGTGAGCCATGTCGCCATCGCACTCCAGCCTGGGTGACAGAGTGAGACCCTATCTCAAAAAAACAAAAAGCAAAGGACTTGGCATGGTGGCTCACACCTGTAATCCCAGCACTTTGGGAGGCTGAAGCGGGTGGATCACCTGAGGTCAGGAGTTTGAGACCAACCTGACCAACATGCTGAAACCCGTCTCTACTAAAAATATATAATTAGCTGGGCTTGCTGGCGCATGCCCGTAATCCCAGCTACTTGGGAGGCTTAGAATTGCTTGAACCCGGGAGGCGGAGGTTACAGTGAGCCAAGGTTGTGCCATTACACTGCAGCCTGGGCAGTAAGAGTGAAACTCTGTCTTAAAAAAATTTTTTTTATTGAAAAATAGATTGCTGAGTAGAAATGAAACCTTTCTTTCACAGAATGTCGTTCATGAGCTAAGAATAACCAATCAGGTAATCTACTTGAATCCACCAATTGAAGAGTGCAGATACAAGCTGTATCAGGAAATGTTTGCCTGGAAGATGGTTGTACTGTCTCTCCCCAGGATCCAGAGTCAGAGGTACCAGGTAAGCCTTTGGTGACTCGAGGCACACGCCTCTGACCAGGACTCTCATGGGCTCTGTGATACCACTTCTTCATGGTGCTTCTTTAGATAAGCTCTTGATGTTGTTTACAAACTCCAGACATCCCAGGGGAAAGTTAGGGAGGCTTTTTGTGCCCTGACCTTTTTTTCCAACTAGTTACTTGGCATTTGTAGCTTGGTCTCAGTAGTTTCTTCGAACTCCTGTCCATGAGCATCTTTGGGAATCTCAATTCCTGCTTCTCCCTCTCCTCCCCACCCCCCACTTTTTATTAGGGGAATTTTAAAACATACACAAAAGTTGAGGGAATCAAGAGCCCCCCACCACACAGCTTTATCAATATGTGGACAATGTTATTTATATTTTCTTTCCTACCTCTCCACCCCCACCAGATTATCTTGAAGCAAATCTCAGATATAATATACTCTTAGTATATTTTTAGAACAAAAGGAAATCTCAAAAGACCATTTAGTCCCCAGTGTCACTTCTGAACAGAACCAGTGGCTTCATAAAAAAAGATGGCACAACTTCTGCTATTGCAGACTCTTCCAGAATTTAGTGATAAGACATTAACCGTTTTCTTAACTTTGAATATAAACTCAGATCTTTAAGGATTTTTTTTGAGGTAGTTAATTGCCTATGGCTAAAATCGTGGTGATGTTTCACCTAATGCTGGGCACTGTCCAGCTAATCAGAACCAAGCTATGGATATTGGCTTCTGCCCTTCAAGGAGTCTACGTACAATCCTTAGCATCATTCTCATCATGTTACTCCTGTTTTTAACCAGCCGTGTTTCTATTTGCATTGTTCTCTTGCTTATCTCCAAATTTAACAAACTAAAGCCAGCAGTCTCCTTTTTCCCTAGAGCCCATCCCCTCACTCTCGTTTAGCTGTTCTGCCCTCTCTTCTGGGTCTTCTTTCAGCACCTAAACGGGACCCCATGTCCCCTGCAATCTTCATAAGGAAGCTCCCTTCTCAGGCACTCATCCAGCCTCCTCCAGCACTGCTCTGTGTGATCGCCCATAGCCCCACCCTGCTGACTAGGGGGCTTCTCTGTCCTTGTCTCACCTCTTAACTGCAAGACTTGATGGAGGCTCCCTCCTGCGTGATGCTCTGGACTCTTCAGAACACCGTGCCTCCTGGTTCTCCTCCCACCTCAGTGGCTGGTCTCCTTTCTCGGTTCCTCTTTTGCCTTCCCCTTAAACTCCCTCTAAATGTTCTGTTCCCTCTCCACTCCTGTGCACTCTCATTGTGGTCTCATCTAGTCTTGTTGACTTTAAATGCCACCTGCAGGCTGACAGCTCTGTGTTCGTATCTCCAGCTGACCTTTCTCCCTACTCCAGGCTTGTCTGGGCAGCTACTAGCATGGCATCTCCACTTGGCTATCTCGGAGTCGCGTCACACTGAGCACCTCTTGAGCCCTGCCTCCCCAAGTTTGATCTTCCCTCAGTCTTTCACTTCTCATCCTTCAGCTCATTCAGGCCAAAAATCATGGTATTGTCCTTGATTCCCATTGTGTGTCTCTTGAAAATGAATGCTGAGCTGTTTCACTGGCACCACTCCGTACAAGGTACCATCACCTCTCACTTGGATTATTAATATTCCCTCCTATCTGTTCTCTCTGCCTTTGCCTCCCTAAAATCTGTTTTCAACACAGCAGCCAAAGCAAGTTTTAGATTCTAAGTCAATCCTGACACTCTTTTCGGAGCCCTTGAATGACTTCCTATCTCACTCATCATGAAAGTCAAAGCCCCAGTGGCTTGCTGGGCCCGTGTAATGTGTTGCTTATTATTTCTCTGACTTCAGCTCCTGCTGCTTCTCCCTTCACTGGCTCTGCCCCATCACACTGGAGTCTTGCTGGTCCTCAAACATGCCGGTAGACTCTTGCCCCTGCGCCTTCACATTTGTTGATCTCAACTCAGAATCCTTGATGGCAAATAATCACAACTTACCCCTCTCCTCCTGGTTTCTCGCAATTCTCCCCTTCTCAGCAAGGCCTTTCCTGACGTCATTACTGAAAATGCAGCCTTCCCCATGCTGTGCCCACACTCCCTCTCCTTCTCACTCTTGCTCCGTAGTTCTCTCTCACCACCTGACATTCTGTGTGTTTTGCTTATTCCCTAATCGCGTCTCTCCTCCCATAGAGTGTAAGTCCCTGTGAGCAGGGATTTTTATCTGCTTGTTGTACCTAGAACAGTGCCTGGCACATAACAGGCACTCAGATAGTTAAAATGAGCAAATGGCTTCGTGCACTTTTCAGCTGTTTTTGCATTGCCAAATTTCTCTGTTGTCATTAATGTTCTTGTATTGGTTTGATGAGTTAAATATAAGTAGGCTTTCTGGTTACTTGTGGCCAGGGTAAGTGGATGTTATCCCTTAAATGCCATTTTGGTCATGAGCTTTTCTTTCAGTTCATTTTAATTAAGTAAAAGGTGACACTTAGATTACCATTTTCATATACACTGCTTGCATTCATTTCGGCTTTGGTTGGCTAGGTGGGTGTACATTACGAATTGACTGAGGAAGAGAAATTCTATCGGAATGCTTTAACACGGATGCCTGATGGCCCTGTTGCCCTGGAAGAGTCGTATTCTGCTGTCATGGGCATTGTATCTGAAGTTGAACAGTATGTCAAGGTAAGAAACTCCTAATTTCATTCAAATGTGCATATGGTCTATTCTAGACACTTAAGAGTACAAGATATAAAGAACATGGAGCTAAAAGGTCTTGACTGTATGTATGGTTCACTAGATACTATTTGCTGTTTCAAAGCAGAGAGTAAATGATAGGATACATCTTTTTGAGTTTTAACCATGACGTTCAAGAATCTTTTTTGATATGAAAATTCTGAGAGTCTGAAGTGAGAATTTCTCTAATAGTGGTGAAAGACATGAACCTTCTTAATGGAATGTGAACATAAGAGGTGCCAGTATTCTACAAAATGAAAACTCAAACTATTATTTAACTGTGTTCTTCATTTGCAGGTTTGGCTTCAGTATCAGTGTTTATGGGATATGCAAGCTGAAAACATCTATAACAGACTTGGAGAAGATCTCAACAAATGGCAGGCTCTCCTGGTCCAAATAAGGAAGGCCAGAGGAACCTTTGACAATGCAGAAACCAAGAAAGAGTTTGGACCAGTAGTTATAGATTATGGCAAGGTGAGCCCTGCTGTCTGGTTGAAAGGTGTCACGGGTAGTGTAAAAGCAACATTTCTGTTAGACTGATATTCATTTGAAGGATAAACACGCCAGCAGGAAAGAGCTGATGATGTGTTGTGTGCTATTTCACCCTCAGGTACAATCTAAGGTGAACTTGAAATATGACTCTTGGCATAAGGAGGTTCTTAGCAAATTTGGGCAGATGCTAGGATCAAACATGACGGAATTCCATTCCCAGATCTCAAAGGTGAGGACATAGGATTCTGCCTCTGTAACCGGTCTACTGGTGAACCCCAGCTCTGTGATGAAATACTCCCCTCTCTCTGAACAGTCCCGCCAAGAGTTGGAGCAGCACTCAGTAGACACGGCCAGCACCTCCGATGCAGTGACCTTCATCACCTATGTGCAGTCTTTGAAACGGAAGATCAAGCAGTTTGAGAAGCAAGTTGAGGTGAGCTCTGTGCATATTTAAAAATTTTTGGCTGGGCGTGGTGGCTCACGCCTGTAATCCCAGCACTTTGGGAGGCCGAGGCGGGCGGATCACGAGGTCAGGAGATCGAGACCATCCTGGCTAACACGGTGAAATGCTGTCTCTACTAAAAATACAAAAAATTAGCCGGGTGTGGTGGCGGGTACCTGTGGTCCCAGCTACTCAGGAGGCTGAGGCAGGAGAATGGCATGAACCCGGGAGGCAGAGCTTGCAGTGAGCCGAAATTGTGCCACTGCATTCCAGCCTGGGCAACAGAGTGAGACTCCGTCTCAAAAAAAAAAAAAAAAATTACACTAGATCTCTAGTTTAATTTGGCTTCTATAGTATTTTGCATTCTAAGAGAATGACCTGACTCAACCCTTAAGGCACTCTTTTCTTAGTATGGCCCACAGATCATCTCTGTTACAACAGCCTGATGTGCTTGTTAAAACTTAGTGTAGGCCAGGCACGGTGGCTCATGCCTGTAATCCCAGAACTTTGGGAGGCCAAGGTGGGCAGATCACCTGAAGTCAGGAGTTTGAGACCAGCCTGGCCAACATAGTGAAACCCCATCTCTACAAAAAATATACAAAAAATTACCTGAGTGTGGTGGCATGTGCCTGTAGTCCCAGCTACTCGGGAGGCTGAGGCAGGAGAATCGCTTGAAGCTGGGAGGCGGAGGTTGCAGTGAGCTGAGATTGTGCCACTGCACTCCAGCCTGGGTGACAGAGCAAGACTCTATCTCAAAAAACTAAATAAATAATGAAAAACTCAGTGCAGATACTGGGCATCTAGGTTTTTCTTTTCTTTTCTTTTCTTTTTTTTTTTTGAGATGGAGTCTCGCTCTGTCACCCAGGTTGGGGTACAGTGGTGTGATCTCGGCTCACTGCAGCCTCTGCCTCCTAGGTTCAAGCGATTCTCCTGCCTCAGCCTCCCGAGTAGCTGGAATTACAGGCGCCCACCACCATGCCCGGCTAATTTTTGTATTTTTAGCAGAGACGGGGTTTCTCCTTGTTGGCCAGGGTGGTCTCGAACTCCTGGCCTCAAGTGATCTGCCCGCCTTGACCTCCCAAAGTGCTGGGATTACAGGCATGAGCCACCATGCCCGGCCAAGTATCCTTTTAATAACTTGGAATAAAGGGTGAAGCCCAGCTCCACCTTGCTTTGTATCCTGTCCGGGGCCATCCGGATGCAGTGCAGTGCAACACCCAGACCAGCTGCGGTGGGCTCTCAGAGGATGTTGCCCTCTGGCCACGATGTCTTAGGATGGATGGTTTTAGGAGAAGAGCACATGTGTTGATCTTCTGTGTTTTGTTTTGTTTGAGGCAGCATCTCACCTGTCACCCAGGCTGGAGTGCAGTGGCAGGATCCTAGCTCACTGCAGCCTCAATCTCCCGGGCTCAAACAATCCTCCCACCTCAGTCTCTTGAGTAGCTGGGACTACAGATACATGCCACCATGCCTGGCTAATTTTTTTCTTTTTAAGTAGAGATGAAGTCCTGCCATGTTGCCCAGGCTGGTCTTAAACTCCTGGACTCAAGTAATCCACCTGCCTCAGCCTCCCAAAGTGCTGGGATTACAGGCAAGAACCACTGTGTCTGGCCAGTCTTACGTGTTTTATAACTATAAAGTGCCTTCTCTTTCATGGGGCTCTAATTAATAATTTCTATCATTGTTATAGAAGAAAAAACTTGATTTATTTTTTAACTCTCAAAGCTCTACCGCAATGGCCAGCGCTTACTGGAAAAGCAAAGGTTCCAGTTCCCACCTTCCTGGCTTTATATTGACAACATCGAGGGAGAGTGGGGAGCCTTCAATGACATCATGCGGCGAAAGGACTCTGCCATTCAGCAGCAGGTGGCAAACCTGCAAATGAAGATTGTCCAGGAGGATCGGGCCGTGGAAAGCCGCACCACCGACCTGCTGACTGACTGGGAGAAGACCAAGCCTGTCACGGTGAGTCCCGCCAGGTGGGGACGCAGGAGACTCCTCACCCAGCAGTGTGATTTGGTGACTTTCTTTCAAGCCTAAAAGGCCTTGCTGTGACTGAGCTTTCTAGTATTGAAGACTCTTTTCCTTTTTGTAGTTAAAAAAGCAGATGGAGATAGCAAATGTGAAAATATGAAGCCCAGCTTAGACCTCTTTTTACTCAGAATGGCATTCAGTAGCTGGTTTTAAGGATTAAAGTTTTTCTGTTCTTAGATCATTCTCTTACGTAGATATGCGCAGAAATTAGAGTTTAATTTCCTGTAGACAAAGGCCAAGCTTTCCACTGCTGCTGCTAGTTAATTTAATTTTGGTTGGATGGTCTCTGTTTTTGCCAGTGCTGCCAGTGGATTGTGGGGAGGCAGGTTCTGTTGTCTTCGTCATTGTAGCCATTTAAACCTTCCACCACCCAGAAACTGCCACATCCACTTTTCTTCATGCATTGAAGTATTTATTGAGCACCGACTGTGTTCCAGGCCTTGTTCTAGGTCATTGAGATATAGCAGTGAGTGAAAAGGACAAGAGCCTCCTACCTTCATGGAATCACGCTCCGTGGGAGAGAGAAAAAAAATGAGCAAGAAGAGACAGGAAAGGCAGGTGGTGGTGCTGCTGCGACAGAAGCAGATGAGAGGGCGCTGGCTCAGTGGCTACTGCTGTGCCTGGGAGGGTGGTGTGGAAGGGGGCTGGCAACTCATGCTGATAGCAGAGGTGATGTAGATAACAGTGTGTGTGGTTACTGGAAGTGGAATTCAAAATTTTATTTATTTTATTTTTTGCTCCCTTTGTTATTTTTATTTGTTATTTTCTAAGAGTGCATGAAATTATCTGGAGAGCATATAAATACAAATGCCTGGACCCCTCTCCCCTCTATAAACGCTGATCCGATAACACAAACGCCTGGACCCCTCTCCCCTCTATAGGCGCTGATCCGATAATACAAACGCCTGGACCCCTCTCCCCTCTATAAACGCTGATCCGATAACACAAACGCCTGGACCCCTCTCCCCTCTATAAGAGCTGATCCGATAATACAAACGCCTGGACCCCTCTCCCCTCTATAAACGCTGATCTGATAATACAAACGCCTGGACCCCTCTCCCCTTTATAAATGCTGATCCAATTGGGTTATGGTGGGTCCCAGGCGATTGGTTTGTTTTCTTTTTAATTTTCAAATTTTTATTTATTTAGGGAATATAAGCATAGAAAAGACAAATGGAAAAGATGTGAACATATTTTGAATATTAATCTGTTTTTCTCATTTGGGGATGTAAGTTTCCCACAGTAGGCCTAATGACAATGACAGATTTAGCCTTCCACAAAGATCTGCTGGTTAATTGTCCCATCCTGCCTGTAACCGTTTCCGTGCTGCTGGGCCCCTGCAGGTTCTACTGTGTGCTTAATTTTGATTTGATGGTCTCTGCTTTTGCCAGTGCTGCTGTTACTGCTAGGTTATGAGTGCTTGCTCCAGTGGAGGAGTTGAATATTAATCAATAGCAAGATTCTGGTCATCAAAATTTGAATATTTCTCATCACTTTACCTTGGTGCCAGTAATGTGTTAGAGTTAAAACTTTTTCTTTTTTTTTTTTTTTTTTTTGAGACGGAGTCTTGCTCTGTCTCCCAGGCTGGAGTGCAGTGGCGCAATCTCCGCTCACTGCAAGCTCTGCCTCCTGGCTTCATGCCATTCTCCTGCCTCAGCCTCCCGAGTAGCTGGGACTACAGGCTCCCGCCACCACGCCTGGCTAATTGTTTGTATTTTTTAGTAGAGACGGGGTTTCAATGTGTTAGCCAGGATGGTCTCAATCTCCTGACCTCATGATCTGCCCACCTTGGCCTCCCAAAGTGCTGGGATTATAGGCGTGAGCCACCGCACCTGGCCAAAAATTTTTTTTGAGGCAGAGTCTCACTGTGTCGCCCAGGCTGGAGTGCAGTGACATGGTCATAGCTCACTGAAGCCTCCGTTTCCTGGGATCAAGCGTTGTAGCTGGGACTACAGGCGTGCCCCACCATACCTAGCTTACTGTTTATTTTTAGTAGAGATGAAGTCCCAGGCTGGTCGCAAACTCCTGAACTCAAGCAGTCTCCCCGCCTTCACCTCCCAAAGTGCTAGGATTACAGGCGTTAGCCACCACGTCCAGCCTAAGTAAAATGTTTTTTGATATCTTGCCTTAGTGGAAAACAGTAATATTTTGTACACCTCTCAACAGTTATTAAAATGAAAAGGAAGTATGCAAATGGTAGTGTTAATGCTGAAGTAGAGTCTGTTTCTGGTGATTTCTCATTCCTCTCTTGGCTGGGTAACTGATGTAACAACTGTGTTCTCTGGGGAAGTTGTGGCTGGCAGGCCCCGGAGGTTTGTCCTCTTCTATCACTGGGGATGTGCACTTGAGGCCGAGTCTGTGCTGCCTCTTCTCCCGCCTTCCAGGGTACTGAATAAGACAATGGCTAAATCAAGAGATGCTCCACCATTCTATTTTATTTATGTAAAATGTTCATGTAAAAATTAAATTCGCTACTGTACACACATCCAAAGTGGACATCTTGTTGAATGTTTCCTTATGAAGATGTGTGCAAAGAATCCGAAACGTCCAGAAGCCCTGCAGGCTCTGTGCACCATTTTAAAGCCTAAATGCTCATCTCTCCTGAGACATTGTGCTCCAATTCTCTGTGCTCTGACTGCTTTCAGGGCAACCTTCGCCCAGAAGAGGCACTTCAGGCTCTCACCATATATGAGGGGAAGTTTGGTAGGCTGAAGGACGACAGAGAGAAGTGTGCAAAGGCCAAGGAGGCGCTGGAATTGACAGATACTGGGCTTCTCAGTGGCAGTGAAGAGCGCGTGCAGGTATGAACCACTGGGGAGTGGGTGGAGAATCCCGCTCCCCACCCGGACTCTGCCATTGACTTTGTTCATCCTCAGGGCCCTGCCAGATTCTGGGGTGATTTCTATTTCCAAAGTCAACTGCTTTACTATTCTCAATCGCAGGTGGCCTTAGAAGAATTACAGGACCTCAAAGGCGTTTGGTCAGAACTTTCTAAGGTTTGGGAGCAAATCGATCAGATGAAGGAGCAACCCTGGGTTTCAGTACAGCCTCGAAAGGTATATCATGAAATCGGTGTTTGTGTACGTCTATTTTAACAGTTACAGACTTTATTTAGGAACGTGACAAGCCAAGTTTGTGTATTTGTATTGTGAGTTCATAAGATGTCATTTAATGTCCTGCATGTCATTTACATTATTCGTCCAAAATACTGTAAAACTTATTTTGAAACCTTTTTTTTTTTTTTTTTTGAGACGGAGTTTCGCTCTTGTTGCCCAGGCTGGAGTGCAATGGCATGATCTCGGCTCACTGCAACCTCCGCCTCCCGGGTTCAAGCGATTCTCCTGCCTCAGCCTCCCTAGTAGCTGGGATTACAGGCATGTGCCACCACGCCCGGCTAATTTTGTATTTTTAGTAGAGACAGGGTTTCTCCATATTGGTCAGGCTGGTCTCGAACTCCCGACCTCAAGTGATCTGCTCGCCCGGCCTCCCAAAGTGCTGGGATTACAGGCATGAGCCACCGCGCCTGGCCTGAAACCATTTTTTAAAGAAATATTTCACCATTTAAAGAAATGTTGGCAAGCTAAATAGCATCTTATGTTTCTCTCGACAGCTTCGACAAAATTTGGATGCCCTCCTGAACCAGCTGAAAAGCTTCCCTGCCCGGTTGCGACAGTATGCGTCCTATGAGTTTGTTCAGAGGCTTCTGAAAGGTTACATGAAGGTAGGTGGCCAGTATCGCACGGTGATGAGTGTCCATTAGAAACGCACCTGCACAGATCACTTTGTTTACTTTCTCCACAGATAAATATGCTGGTGATTGAACTGAAATCCGAAGCACTTAAAGACCGCCATTGGAAACAGCTCATGAAAAGGCTTCACGTTAATTGGGTTGTTTCTGAGCTAACCCTTGGCCAAATCTGGGATGTTGACTTGCAGAAAAATGAAGCGATTGTCAAGGATGTACTGCTTGTGGCACAAGGGGAGATGGCTTTGGAAGAATTTTTGAAGCAGGCGAGTAATAGGACTGAACGGCTGCTTTACGTTGTGTTTCGGGCTGTTACATAGATCTGAGCTATGTAAAAATGGAGCCTTGTCATCTGTGGTCCTTTTGGTTCTTATAATGCTGGGTCCCTTGTGCAGGTAGTGAATGCCCACATATTGATAACATGCATCTTTCTGGTTTGAATTCAGATAAGAGAAGTGTGGAATACTTATGAACTAGACTTGGTTAATTATCAGAACAAGTGCCGCTTGATCCGTGGCTGGGATGACCTCTTCAACAAGGTCAAAGAACACATCAACAGCGTCTCGGCCATGAAGCTCTCTCCGTATTACAAGGTGCTGTTGCTGGGGAAGCTTTCCCTCCCCACCAGTGGTCTCCCACGCTTTCACTGTAATGCCTTTTCACTGACAGTTACTAGGTACCTGTTTTTTATTGTATTTTTTGAGACAGGGTCTCACTCTGTCTCCCACGCTGGAGTGCAGTGGCACCATCACAGCTCACTGCTGCAGCCTTGACTTCCTGGGCTCAAGTGATCTTCCCACCTCAGCCTCCAGGTAGCTGGGACCACAGGCACATGCCACCATGCTGGGCTAGCTTTTTATTTTTTGTAGAGACAGCATCTCACTATATTGCCCAGGCTGGTCTCGAACTCCTGGGCTTAAGCAGTCCTTCTGCACTGGCCTCCTAAAGTGCCGGGATTACAGGCGTGAGTCACCACAGCCAGTCAATACTTGTTTTTTTGTTTGTTTGCTTGCTTTTTTGTTTTTTTTTTTTCTTTTTTTGAGATGGAGTCTCGCTCTGTCACCCAGGCTGGAGTGCAATGGCACGATCTCGGCTCACTGCAACCTCTGCCTCCCGGGTTGAAGTGATTCTCCCGCCTCAGCCTCCCAAGTAGCTGGGATTACAGCTACCTGCCACCATGCCTGGCTAATTTTTGTATTTTTGGTTGAGACAGGGTTTCACCATGTTTGCCAGGCTGGTCTCAAACTTCTGACTTCAAGTGATCCACCCGCCTCGGCCTCCCAAAATGCTGGGATTACAGGCGTGAGCCACCACACCCGTCTACTTGTTGTTTAAAATGTGAATCAGATTACTTCATGAGATCCTGATCTGCGCTTTTTCAGTGAGTTTTGGCATATCTGTGAGTAGAAGGGTCAGCAGTTTACCTCTCCCTCCTGTCTGCCCACCAGGTTTTTGAAGAGGATGCTCTCAGCTGGGAAGATAAGCTGAACAGGATCATGGCTCTCTTTGATGTGTGGATTGATGTGCAGAGGCGGTGGGTCTACCTGGAAGGTATCTTCACAGGCAGTGCAGATATCAAGCACCTGCTGCCAGTGGAAACCCAGCGGTTTCAGAGGTATGGCCTCCAGCCAGAGAGCCAAATTTGCCAGCGGCTAGTGACTACTCTACACAAAGGCTGACGCATGTTTTAATTTCATTTGTAGCATCAGCACTGAGTTTTTGGCTCTAATGAAAAAAGTGTCCAAGTCTCCCCTTGTTATGGATGTTCTGAACATCCAGGGAGTACAGAGGTCTCTGGAAAGATTGGCAGACCTGCTAGGAAAGATCCAGAAAGCATTGGGAGAATATCTGGAAAGAGAGCGGTCATCTTTCCCCAGGTAAGATCCTTGCTTTGACTTGGCCTGGAGTCAAGTTGAATTTCAGTTGTGCATTTTTCCAGTGATCTTCTTTCCCTTCTGGGCCTGTGTTTGTTAGTTTTGACATCAAGGATTTTGTTAGCCAATAATACATATAATGATTACCATTCCCTTCCCTGTCATGCAGTGATTACTGATTGTACCTACCTTGGATTTTTTAAATTGTCCTACCTTGGATTTCTTAAATCCTTAATTTAACTATCATCTACCCTCCAAGGCAGCTTGCATTACATCTCTTCAGTGTTTATCTCTGGCAGTTTTCTTTTTTTTTTTTTTGAGATGGAGTCTTGCTCTGTCGCCCAGGCTGGAGCACGTGGTGCCATCTCGGCTCACTGCAACCTCCTCCTCCCAGGTTCAAGTGATTCTCTTTCCTCAGCCTCCTGAGTAACTGGGATTACAGGTGCCCACCACCACACCCGGCTAATTTTTATATTTTTAGTAGAGATGGGTTTTCGCCATGTTGGTCAGACTTGTCTAGAACTTCTGACCTTAGGTGAGCCGCTCACCTAAGTCACCTAAGTGCTAGGATTACAGGCATGAGCCACTGCACCCAGCCTCTGACAGTTTTCTAAGTGGCATCTTTTCCTTTCTGAATAGTTTGCTTAGGCTGAATTGGACAGATTCTTTTAAAAATGAGTTAATAGGCCGGGCGTGGTGGCTCACGCCTGTAATCCCAGCACTTTGGGAGGCCAAGGTGGGCAGATCACCTGAGGTCAGTTTAGGACCAGCCTGGACAACATGGTGAAACCCTGTCTCTACAAAAATACAAAAATTAGCCAGGCATGATGGCAGCTGCCTATAATCCCAGGTACTCAGGAGGCTGTGGCTAGAGAATCTCTTGAATCCGGGAGGCGGAGGTTGCAGTGAGCCACGATTGCGCCGCTGCACTCCAGCTGGGGTGACAGAGCAAGACTCCATCTCAAAAAATAAAAAAGAGTTAATAAAGTAACTTACTGGCCCGGCGCGGTGGCTCACGCCTGTAATCCCAGCACTTTGGGTGGCCGAGGCGGGCGGATCACGAGGTCAGGAGATCGAGACCATCCTGGCTAACATGGTGAAACCCCGTCTCTACTAAAAATACAAAAAAAAATTAGCCGGGCGTGGTGGTGGGCGCCTGTAGTCCCAGCTACTTAGGAGGCTCAGGCAGGAGAATGGCGTGAACCCGGGAGGCGGAGCTTGCAGTGAGCCGAGATCGTGCCACTGCACTCCAGCCTGGGCGACAGAGCAAGACTCCGTCTCAAAAATAAATAAATAAATAAATAAATAAAGTAACTTACTAAGGCAAATGACATGAAATTCTTTGCATTCATTGAATTCCTCTTCAAGATCTTGTTAGGTAAGTGTGTATCTTTTGCCAAGGGCTAGAAGAAATTCTGATGTGATCTGAATTTGGGCTGGAGATTGCCACCACCAGACACATGTTCTTTCCCTTCCTGCAGTTTGAAATCTTACCTTGATTCACCTTATATGTGTATATAATATTTTTGCAACTTGAGTGTTATTTTAATTTTAGGTTCTATTTTGTGGGTGATGAAGATTTGCTTGAAATCATTGGAAACAGCAAGAATGTCGCTAAATTACAGAAACACTTCAAGAAGATGTTTGCTGGAGTTTCGAGCATCATCCTGAACGAGGATAACTCTGTTGTTTTGGGTATTTCATCTCGGGAAGGAGAGGAGGTAAATTTATGTTCGTAACTTTTAAAACTTCTCTCACATTTTTGCATACCTCATTTCTTAAAATTGTATTTATTTCAGGTTATGTTTAAAACTCCTGTGTCAATTACTGAACATCCCAAAATCAATGAGTGGCTCACATTGGTAGAAAAGGAGATGAGAGTCACCCTGGCCAAACTGCTTGCTGAGTCTGTTACGGAAGTTGAGATTTTTGGTAAAGCAACTTCAATTGACCCAAATACCTACATCACTTGGATTGATAAATACCAGGTAATCTATAGTAGAAGTGAGTGGGCTCGTGGTGAAAACGCAGACCAATCTTTAAAATGATCCTTTGGGATCTTGTTTCTGTGTCTTTCAGGCCCAGCTTGTGGTTTTGTCAGCCCAGATAGCCTGGTCTGAGAACGTGGAGACCGCACTGAGCAGCATGGGCGGAGGTGGAGATGCCGCGCCCTTGCACTCTGTGCTGAGCAATGTGGAGGTCACCCTCAATGTGTTAGCAGACTCTGTCCTCATGGAGCAGCCCCCACTCCGAAGGCGGAAGCTAGAACACTTGGTTAGTCTCACACCTGACTCCTTCCTTACCAGTTAGACTCTTACACCCTCAACCACACAGTTAAATGGAAATCATGCTTGAAAAAGGTTTCAGGTAGTATCAAGGAGAACAGTGGATGGTGTATGGATATCCTCTGAGGGTGGGCATTTGGCTCCCTGTCCCTGTTGAAAGGTAATCTCAGGGGCATGCAGGGGTTACGCGACATCACGGTAGAGAGGAAGGGATCAACCTTGGTCAGGATCTCTTGCTCTTTCCTGTCATCTCCCCAGAGAGGTGGCCACAGCAGTGCTAAGCTGCACGGCACGGGCAGTGCTTGCTGCGAGCCCCATGGCGGCACGTGGCAGACTCCTAGGATAGACGTCAGAAAGCTAGTCTTCCATGATGTTTTAGAATGGTTGCAGAATTTTAAAATATTTAAAGCCAGGTGTTTCTGTTTCTTTGTTTTTGCTGCAGCTCTGGGTTCTGTGTAATACCATCTCATGAGTAACATTTCTCTCATCTCTGAAAGTGAATTTGCCTTTTGGAACATTTACTGAAAGCCATTGTAACTGGACCTAGAACCTCAATTTCAGTTTAACAGTCCACAAACCCGGAGAATGCACTGTATTGCTTTAGTGTAGATGAACTTTTAAAGTGACTCTCTTTCTTCAGATTACAGAGTTGGTTCACCAGAGAGATGTTACAAGGTCCTTGATCAAAAGCAAGATTGACAACGCCAAATCTTTTGAATGGCTCAGCCAGATGCGATTTTACTTTGACCCTAAGCAAACTGATGTGTTACAGCAGTTGTCAATTCAAATGGCAAATGCCAAATTTAACTATGGCTTTGAGTACCTGGGTGTTCAGGACAAACTGGTCCAGACCCCCCTCACTGACCGCTGCTATTTGACAATGACACAAGCCTTGGAGGCCAGGCTGGGGGGTTCCCCATTTGGTAAGTTCTTCCACAGATCTGGACAGATGGAATCATATATTAAAATGTTTAAAGATAAAGCTAATGATTTGAATGTACTTCTTTTTGAGATGGAGTGTCTGTCGCCCAGGCTGGAGCACAGTGGTGCGATCTTGGCTCACTGCAAGCTCCACCTCCCGGGTTCAAGCCATTCTCCTGCCTCAGCCTCCTGAGTAGCTGGGATTACAGGCACACGCCATCACACCAGGCTAATTTTTGTATTTTTCATAGAGACAGGGTTTCACCATGTTGGCCAGGCTGGTCTCGAACTCCTGACCTGGTGACCCCCTCACCTTGGCCTCCCAAAGTGCTGGGATTACAGGCATGAGTCACCACGCCCGGCCTGAATGTACTTCTTAATTATGTGGTGTGTACATTCTAAAATCTTAAATTTGTTTGCATTTATTACTACTTTGATTTTTTTTTTTTTGAGATGGAGTCTTGCTCTGTCTCCCAGGCTGGAGTTCAGTGGTGCAACCTTGGCTCATTGCAACCTCTGCCTCCCGGGTTCAAGCGATCTCCTGCCTCAGTCTCCCAAGTAGCTGGGACTACAGGCGCCCACCAACATGCCCGGCTAATTTTTGTATTTTTAGTAGAGATGGAGTTTCACCATGTTAGCCAGGCTGGTCTCGAACTCCTGACCTCAGGTGATCTGCCTGCCTCGGCCTCCCGAAGTGCTGGGATTACAGGCATGAGCCACCCTACCTGGCCACTACTTGGATTTTTTAAATGAGTTGCTTTTTGTAGTTCTTTTAAAGCTAAAGATATGTTTTCAGTTAGGTAATGGACTCAAGCACTCTGTTGCTTTTCTTTAAACAGGACCTGCTGGAACTGGGAAAACAGAGTCTGTCAAAGCTCTTGGCCATCAGCTTGGACGGTTTGTTTTAGTTTTCAACTGTGATGAAACCTTTGATTTCCAGGTGAGACACTTTATGGGATCCACCTAAAATGTAATGCCCTGCAGGGATCATTTGGGGAATATCAAGCTCCGTACCTCTCTCAAAGCCATTGGTCTTACAGCTCAGCGTGGTTTATATGGCCTCCTGAGTCCTGTAGTAGGGATAGGTGTTATTTTGAAGTGTTTGAGGTGTCCAGCATACATGCATTGAAGTTGACTTCAGTTTCATGTTTTCAAAGTTAGATCTTTAGTGTAATATTTTTCTAAAATGTCAGTTTTTTGACGACATTTTTAGTGCCTGTGTCTTGGAATAAGCACATTATGGAAGAGGTTTATCTTTAATCAACAAAAAGTGATAGAATAAAAACAGTAGCTTTGTCATTGAGATTTTTTTGGCACAGAAGGAAAGAAGGTGTTATACTTTACATCTGTCATGATAACGGCTGTTGTTCATGAAGTAACTGCTGTGTGTAGGCACTGAGCCCCTCACCTGAGGCGTGACTCTAATTTATCCTTCACAGCCACCGTGGGAGTAGGTAGTAGTATTCCCATTTCACAGATGAGGAGATGTGCATTTCAAAAAGATGTGACTTGCCCAAGGCCAAGCAGATTGTCAGAGTCAGGGTTTGAGCCCCGTGAAGCCAGCACTGAGGCAGGTGGTATGGTAGTCTGCTCAGGCCACCATATCCAAGCAGCACAGGCTGTGTGGCTTAACAATAGAAATGTATTTCCTCACAGTTCTGGAGGCTGGGGAGTCCAAGATCAAGGTGCCAGCGGGGTTCAGTTCCCAGTGAGGGCCCTCTTCCTGGCTTGCACGTGGCTATTTTGTCGCCACAAGGCCTTTCCTCGGGATACATGCAGGGAGAGCGCTCTGGTTCCTCCTCCTCTTCTTAGAAGGGCACCAGTCCTGTGGATCAGCGGCCCCAACCCTTATGGCCTCATTTAACCTTAGTTATGTCCTTACACGCTCTTTCGCTAAAGACAAACCCACTAGGGTTAGGGCATCAACATACTGATTTGTGGCAAGGGAGAGGGGAGACAATTGAGGGCACAGCAGGTGGTTTTAGCGCCTTTCTTCCTCTCCTTTCCAGGCAATGGGCCGGATCTTTGTGGGCCTTTGCCAGGTGGGTGCCTGGGGCTGCTTTGACGAGTTCAACCGCCTGGAGGAGCGGATGCTCTCGGCTGTGTCCCAGCAGGTGCAGTGCATACAGGAAGCACTGCGTGAACATTCCAACCCCAACTACGACAAGAGTAAGACACCTCTTCTTCAAAAATTACTTAGAGAATGTAGAGGGAAATTCCCTAGTGAACTAATTTTCTACCTCTTGGATTAGAAATAAGCAAGAATTTAGCTCACAGGAGCTCACTGTTACAGGCAGTGTAGTGAGCTGTGGTTAAAGACGGAAGGTAAGAAACCCAGGCCAGGCGTAGTGGCTCACGTGTGTAATCCCAGCACTTTGGGAGGCTGAGGCGGACAGATCACTTGAGGTCAGGAGTTCAAGACCAGTCTGGCCAACGTGGTGAAACCCATCTCTACTGAAAATATAAAAATTAGCCTGACATGGTGGTGCACGCCTATAATCCCAGCTATTCGGAAGGCTGAGGCAGGGAGAGTCCCTTGAACCCAGGAGGCAGAGGTTGTAGTGAACTGAGATCATGCCACTGCACTCCAGCCTAGGCAACAGAGCAAAACTGTTCCCCCAAAAAAAGAAACCCAGGACTGTATTGCATCACAGCTTTTAGTCCTCATTCTAGGGCAGCAGCATAGAGGTTTCTATGTCCTAGGACAACCAAAAACCTGAGCAGTCCTTCCTCAGCCAGCCAGATGCCCCCGTGCTCCCTTAGAGCTTGTGTGTTCCCTCCATGGTCTTTGCCACGGGATGAGCGTGTCCTCTGGTGCGGGCCCTTGGTGCCCCCTCTTCATTCTCACATCGTCAGAGAGCCAGCCTCCCCAGCCACCTGTCTGGCCAGTGTTCTGCCATCTGTCTTTGGAAACAAGCCCTTTATCACGATAGGAGCAGCTGTCGGAGAGGCCCCAGGGACCACTTCCCTTCCCAGTTCAACACAAAGTCCCAGCATGTGGGGTCAGGGAGGGTGGGATGCTGAAGGAGGCAAACATTTGGGTATTGGGTAAGTGTGAAATTCTGTCTTATGTGCACAGCGTAGCTTTTAATGTTTCCTTTTATTGCATAATAACAACTTGCCTTATGGAGAATTCCCCAGACCTCCTAAATAAAACAAAAGGAGTGTGGAGGAAAGCAATACTTGCCTTTGTGATCAGTATTCTCTTAAGGCGAGAATACACTTTGTTCCAAAGTGGCTCAGAGGTGCTTGGAGGTTTGGGTTTTTTTTATTTTGATGATGCTAGGAGCAGGTAATTCCCATGATGTAAGCCAGTCAGTGTCGCGGCATTTATTCCTTTTTTTTTTTTTTGCACAATTTGTTGGACTGCATCTCTATCTCGAGTTCTCCATGACACTCAGGTGTGGTGTTGCCCAAATAAAATAGTGGTCTCTGCCTCTGGTGGCTTGACCTGGGACACGTGCACATGAGGTACATGGGAATGGGTCCACCTGGGCTGGGAGAATGTGGCTGGTGGTCCCCGAAGAAAGGCCAAAGAGCAGCCCCCGAGGAAGCGTCTACTTCAGCTCCCTGGGAGAACGAGAGCTTTGTCTGTTGTTTTAGAGACATTTTAGAATGCATTTTGTTTTTTTTTTTTAACATTTCTAGTCTTAACGCTATCATCTCATTCTCAGCCTCTGCCCCCATTACTTGTGAGCTGCTGAACAAACAAGTCAAGGTGAGCCCGGACATGGCCATCTTCATCACCATGAACCCTGGCTACGCGGGCCGGTCTAACCTTCCTGACAACTTGAAGAAGCTGTTCCGGAGCTTGGCCATGACCAAGCCCGACCGGCAGTTAATCGCCCAGGTCATGCTGTACTCACAGGGTTTCCGCACTGCTGAAGTGCTTGCCAACAAAATCGTCCCGTTTTTTAAGTAAGTAGCCTAGAATTCTTCATAATCATGTTTCTTGCATATGTTAAATGTGTCCATTTAACCTTAAAATTTTTATATGTAATGATGGTACGTCTTTCAAAATATCCATCTCTGGTTTCTTGACACTTGACCCTATTATTGCTTAAAGTATACTGTTATTAAAGATAGCCTTTTTTTCTTCTTTTCTAGACTATGCGATGAGCAGCTCTCTTCCCAAAGCCATTATGACTTCGGTCTTCGGGCTTTGAAGAGTGTGCTGGTGAGTGCAGGCAATGTGAAGAGAGAGAGAATCCAGAAGATAAAGAGGGAGAAAGAGGAACGAGGGGAAGCAGTTGATGAAGGAGAAATTGCTGAAAATCTCCCTGAACAAGAGGTTCGTTACAAACGTTTTGATCACTCAAACCTTATACGTTATTTAAATTTACCTTTTTAACATTTAAGCCATGACTTGTGAGTTCTTCTTGCAGTTCACATGTCTTGGGATGGCTGAAATAGACTGTAATGTTGACCCAGTGAGTCGAGTGCACGAATGTGGGCGAGTGGTGCTCGCACCCTTTGTTCACCAACAGTTACTGATCACGCACCTCCTGGGGATGCAGCGGGCAGTACTTGAGCCATGCTGCGCTGCTCACAGCCCAGCCCTCTCCCCGTAGATTCTGATACAGAGCGTCTGTGAGACGATGGTGCCAAAGCTGGTGGCAGAGGACATCCCGCTGCTCTTCAGCCTCCTGTCGGACGTGTTCCCTGGAGTCCAGTATCACAGGGGTGAGATGACTGCCCTTCGAGAGGAGCTGAAGAAAGTGTGTCAGGAGATGTATTTGACATATGGAGATGGAGAAGAAGTTGGTGGAATGTGGGTTGAAAAGGTAACTTGGATTGTTTCACTGGCCACTGCCCTCACAGACCCTGCTGGCTTTAGTGTCTGGTAATGACAACCGTGGGCCCTTCGATGAAACTGTCCACAAAGGCTGTGGAGGTGCATAATATGCTTTATGAAGATTTGCCCAAGGCCTATTTGAATTTTTGTTGTTGTTGTTTAAATGAAGAGGAAACAATACTTAACCTGAAAATTTTACATGATACAGTTCAATTTCTGAAAATGCTAAGTGCATGACTATATTGGAAAGTTGTTTATACTGATAAAAATTCTGCTTACCAGACTTTCCAGTGCCAGAGATGAACAACCTGAATCGCTGATCAATACGTAGTTTACATTCTGTATTGGCTTCTTTCCTTCCTCTATGTGATTCATTTAAGAAAAAGTTTATTGTTTACACAAGCTGTGTGTGTTTGGCCTGAGAGATGCTGTACGGGATTGAACACATAGCTCATCCATTGGGTCTCTTGTTGTCCTCGGCGGGATCTGATGTGTCCTTGTTGAGGCTGCTCATTGGTGTCTCCTGTCCCACTGGCTCCAGCCTTCCTGACTTACTAAAGAACTCGCCACAGTTTGGAAATGTTTGTTTTACATGTGACCTGTGTAACATCTCTCCAGCTGGGGAGTTTCAGTACTTGCCTTTAATAATCCATAGATAGGCGCTTGTAAAGCCAGCTACTTGGGAGAGTGAGGAAGGAGAATCACTTGAACCTGGGAGGTGGAGCTTGCGGTGAGCTGAGATCGTGCCACTGCATTCCAGTCTGGGTGACAGAGAGAGACTCCGTTTCAGGAAAAAAAAAAAAATCCACACATAATGTTTCTTGCTCACTTTCACAAGAGGTGGCTGGGCGAGGAGCTGTCCCCATTCCTCCTCTGGGATGGTCACTGTGCTGGTCTGTTGGGCCCTGCAGGTTCTCCAGCTCTATCAGATCACCCAGATCAATCATGGCCTGATGATGGTGGGGCCCTCGGGAAGTGGGAAGAGCATGGCCTGGCGTGTCCTGCTGAAGGCATTGGAGAGACTCGAGGGTGTGGAAGGTGTGGCCCATATCATCGACCCCAAGGCCATCAGCAAAGACCACCTCTACGGAACCCTGGACCCCAACACCAGGGAATGGACAGATGGGCTCTTCACACACGTGCTGAGAAAGTACGTCTTCTTTGATCTGTGTTTGTGTTCTCCTGGATATGGGCGCTAAGTACTTTGCTCTCACAAGAGCAGAGTATACGTTATTTTTCAACCAAAGTCTGAGCAAATTAAAGGTCATTTCAGAAACCATCATCGGTAAACATGCCTAATGTTAAAATCTTGATTTAATCAGCAGCTATTTTAAAATCCTTCCCAACCAGGATCATCGACAGCGTGAGAGGCGAGCTGCAGAAGCGCCAGTGGATCGTCTTCGATGGCGATGTGGATCCAGAGTGGGTTGAGAACTTGAACTCAGTGCTGGATGACAATAAGCTCCTAACTTTGCCCAATGGAGAGCGCCTCAGTCTTCCACCCAATGTAAGTAGCCTTTTGTATGTCGTCAACTGAATAATTCCTTTTGGCCAACTAAACTTCGTGTGCTAGCTAAGTGCAGCTCTGGAGTCATGGACCCAGATTCCATGGAGTAGTGATCATTGTGTAAGTAATTTTCAAAGATAGCATCTCAACTGCTAGATTTTTTTTCCATTTCCATGGCTAGTGAGAAACATTTTAATAGGTTTTATTGATGGCTTTCTATCATTTATTGAGTAATAAGCACACTCTATGATTATCAGTTAACCCTGTATGGTGGGGTTGTCGTTAAGGTTTCTTAAGCTGTTATACATCTAGAGAGCTGGGAAAATGAGAAATTTGGAATGGGGCTTTCTAGGCTGTCCCTTGGAAAATGAGTGCATGATGCAGGTGCCTGACAACACCTACTGATCAGTAAACACAGTCAGGCCCGGTATGGATTTGCACTGAGTCAGACCCTGTTCTAGATGCTGAAAATACAGCAGTAAGAAAGCAAGAAGACAGGCCGGGCGCGGTGGCTCACGCCTGTAATCCCAGCACTTTGGGAGGCCGAGGCAGGCGGATCACAAAGTCAGGAGATTGAGACCATTCTGGCTAACATGATGAAACCCCATCTCTACTAAAAATACAAAAAATTAGCGGGGCATGGTGGTGGGTGCCTGTAGTCCCAGCTACTCAAGAGGCTGAGGCAGGAGAATGGCATGAACCTGGGAGGCGGATGTTGCAGTGAGCCGAGATCGCGCCACTGCACTGCAGCCTGGGCGACAGAGAGAGACTCCGTCTCAAAAAAAAAAAAAAAAAAAAAAAAGGCAGGAAGACAAAAGCCCTTGCTCACGTGTGATGCAATTGGACAAACAAAATGAATAGTGATTGGTGCAAAGAAAAAAATGGAAAGCGAGCTGTCAGGTGTTGGTGGGGGTTGGAGGTTAAAATGTGAAGCCTTCCCTGAGAACGTAGTTTGAGCAGACACTTAGGGGAGTGAGGGAGTAGGTCCCAAGTCTCCCAAGTATTCTGGGCAAAGGAACACACAGCAGGAGTAGCAGGTCTGGGACAGGGGGCCGGTGTACTTGAGGACAGCAAGGGGCAGTCGGCTGAAGCGGAGAGGACTGGGGAGGACAAGTCAGGGCTGAGACTAGAGAGGAAACGAGCCAGGTCAGGGGCCTAGGAGGTCATTGTCGGGGGTGTGAGTTTGTACACTGGGCAAGCTGGGATCCATGGAGCAGCCTGGACAGGAGCGATGTTGCCTGATGTATGTCCATGAAGATCCGTCTGGCTGCCGTTTGGAGAATGAAGAGGGCAGGGTGAAAGCCAGGAGGCCAGTTGGAGACTGCCTCAGACCTCCAGGCACCAGGGACGGGGCGAGCTGGCAGCAGCGAAGGTGCTGAGAGGTGACTGACTATGGCTGGAGTTTAAAGCATGCGTGGGATTTGCTGATGGACTAGATGTGGGTGTGAGGGAAAGGAATCAAGGATGATGCGAGGTTTCTGGCCTGATCAGCTTATGAGCCTTTAACAACAAGGCTTAGGATTGGTATTTATCTCAGCTTCAGGAGCCAGCCATGGATTCTTAGTACTGTCTGAAAGTGTGCACTTACTCCAACAACTCAAGTTCCTCTCTGACAGCTGATCCAGTAGAGTCTAACTTGTCAGAGGAGATTAATCTCCTTGTGAGGCAATTACAGCTCCGAGGTTAAGGCTCTGGAGTCCGACCACCTGCTTTGAATCTCAACCACTTACTAGCAGTGGGACCCCAGCAAGTCACCTGCGCCATCTTTAAACTGGAGGTGAGGCTGGGCATGGTGGTTCGTGCCTGTCATCCCAGTACTTTGGGAGGCCAAGGCAGGTGGATCATCTGTGGTTAGGAGTTTGAGACCAACCTGACCAACATGATGAAACCCCGTCTCTACTAAAATGACAAAAAATTAGCTGGCGTGGTGGCGCATACCTGTAATCCCAGCTACTCAGGAGGCTGAGACAGGAGAATTGCTTGAACCCGGGAGGCATTGCAGTGAGCTGAGATCACGCCATTGCATTCGAGCCTGGGCAACAGGAGCAAAACTCCATCTCAAAAAAAAAAAAAAACACCAGAGACGACAGCGTGCCTGCCTGGTCAGGTTATGTGAGACTGGAGGGATCCACGCCCGGTGCGCACCCAGGACACAGTCACTGCTGACATCACACTTGGAGGGGCTGTTGCTTCTGTGCCCTCAAGAACAGTGGGAAACCTTAAACAAGGTGGTTTGCCCTATTCTTCTCCCTGCCACACACACTTGTCCTGCCCAGATTCCTGTAGAGAGAATGGTGAATACTGTAGTGATGTGAGCTGTAGGTGTTTTTTGTTTTTTTTACATAAGTGCAGAAAAAATTTTTTTGAGACAGGTTTTCACTGTAACCCAGGCTAGAGTGCAGTGGCATGATCTCAGCTCACTGCAGCCTCCACCTCCCAGGCTCAAGTGATTCTTCTCCCTCAGCCTCCCAAGTAGCTGCAATTACAGGCACACGCCACCATGCCTGGCTACTTTCTGTATAGGAAAATTAAGTTTAAAGTCACCCTTTCAGTGTATATATAGGTAAAAGAATCTTAATGTCCAGGTTTCTTCCAAACCTATGTCATTAAATCTGCTTAATGTTTTCTTTCAAGGTGAGAATAATGTTTGAGGTACAGGACTTGAAATACGCGACCTTGGCCACAGTGTCGCGCTGCGGCATGGTCTGGTTCAGTGAGGATGTGCTGAGCACCGACATGATCTTCAACAACTTCCTGGCCAGGCTGCGCAGCATCCCGCTGGATGAAGGGGAGGATGAGGCACAGCGGCGGCGTAAGGGCAAAGAGGATGAGGGGGAGGAGGCCGCTTCCCCCATGCTGCAGGTACGCCCAGGTGGGACCCCACATATCATGACCTGAGGGTGCTAGGATATTCAGATGTGGTCTCGCTGTGTTGCCCACGCTGGTCTTGAACTCCTGGGCCCAAGCAATCCACCTGCCTTGGCCTCTCAAAGTGCTGGGATTACAGGCATGAGTCACTGTACCCAGCCAACTTTTGTGTAATCAATGTTGTCTTCTGCCAGCTTAAACAAGGAAGCCCAGCTGTAGCAGCTACAAATGTTAAAAGTCACGTATGGGAAAATTTAAAGAATTCTTTTCATTATCTTACTTTTCTCTACAAATTGATGAAAGACTGCCCTTTTCCATGTTCAGTGGGAAAACCAAAGTTCCTGGGAAGCAGGGTTTTTGAGAACCACCAGGGTGAAGGAATGAGGACTGGTCATTGAAGCTTCATCCAAAATGAGTTTTCCAAGGTCGTATGACCTTCTCCTGGGACCAGGTTAGAATCGATGAAACTCGCCTGCCTTTTGAAAGATAGTTAAGTATCACTCCTTCCACTTTCTAGATCCAAAGAGATGCAGCTACGATCATGCAACCGTACTTCACGTCCAACGGCCTGGTCACCAAGGCGCTAGAGCACGCCTTCCAGCTGGAGCACATCATGGACCTAACACGCCTGCGCTGCCTGGGCTCGCTCTTCTCCATGCTGCACCAGGCCTGCCGCAACGTGGCGCAGTATAACGCCAACCATCCCGACTTCCCCATGCAGATCGAGCAGCTGGAGCGCTACATTCAGGTCAGGGGGCATCAGGGGCTTCACAGAGCTCACCACTGCGCCAGACCACAGGTCTGAGGACCTCTGAAATGCTGCACCTGTGGGGATGTGCGCTCTCTCCTAGGCGAGGCAGAGCCTTCGTTGAGGGGCTAGGAAAGGTGCAGTGGGTGTCTGTGATGCAAGAAGACTGGGAACCACTGTCTTTAGGTTAACTTTGCTGTAAGTGTCTTTCTTTTGTTGTTGAAATTTTATAAAAATCAAAGTTTAATTCCCTTTTTAATAGCGATATCTGGTTTATGCCATACTCTGGTCCCTGTCTGGAGACAGCCGGCTAAAAATGAGAGCAGAGCTGGGTGAATACATCAGAAGAATCACGACCGTGCCTCTGCCCACTGCGCCCAACATACCCATTATCGATTATGAGGTGAGCATGCAGCTACCACCCGTGTTTCTGATTCTCGCCTTGTTGATTTAACTCATCCTGGAACAAGCTGACCATGGACCTTGGCTTCGTCTTTTCATTTTATTCCATTTCATAGAAGGACTTTATCCTTTTAGTTCCATGTGTTAGCAAAGAGTGCAGATTAACCTGACCAATTACTTCCTTGTTCTGAAAGTTCAAGTTTGTGTTCAGGTAAACAAACCTCGTGAGGAGGCACCTTGGTTGCAGCCGGACTCACACTTCCATCTCCGTGTGTAGGTGTCCATCAGCGGAGAATGGTCTCCGTGGCAGGCCAAGGTGCCTCAGATTGAAGTGGAGACGCACAAGGTGGCAGCCCCTGATGTCGTCGTGCCAACGCTGGACACAGTCCGCCACGAAGCCCTCTTGTACACTTGGCTGGCCGAACACAAGCCCCTGGTCTTGTGTGGCCCTCCTGGGTCTGGCAAGACCATGACACTCTTCAGCGCCCTCCGGGCCTTGCCTGACATGGAGGTAAAGAGGCCAGGAGGTGGGCAGCAGACCTTTTGGTGCTGAGCATGGGGTTGGTCTTACAGTGTGGTTTTGTGTCTTCCCTCCAAAGGTGGTGGGTCTCAACTTCTCCAGTGCTACTACTCCAGAGCTGCTTCTGAAGACTTTTGATCACTACTGCGAGTACAGGCGCACACCTAATGGGGTGGTTTTGGCTCCTGTTCAACTTGGAAAGTGGCTGGTGTTGTTCTGTGATGAAATCAACTTGCCAGATATGGATAAATATGGGACCCAGAGGGTCATATCCTTCATCAGACAGGTTTGTTTCTATCCACAAGGCCCTTCCTGCCCCACAATGTTTCTTGTTCAAGTTTTGCTCTTAATGTGGTACCTGTCCCTTCCTTCAGATGGTGGAGCACGGAGGCTTTTACCGTACCTCAGATCAAACATGGGTGAAGCTGGAGAGAATCCAGTTTGTTGGGGCTTGTAATCCCCCCACAGACCCTGGAAGAAAGCCCCTCTCACACAGGTAAAACAGCTCGGTAGACTGCTCTGCTTCACACACGCACAGCTCCAGGATTGCTGTAAACACAGCGCCACAAAAACCTGGTTTTGATAATAAAGACAACAATACTGCTTATTGTGGATTCCTCTTGGGTTACTTCTCTGTGCTGTAATGCCAGGAAAACATGTTAAAAATAAAAGCATTGGCCGGGCGCAGTGGCTTACGCCTATAATCCCAGCACTTTGGGAGGCCGAGGCGGGCGGATCACGAGGTCAGGAGATTGAGACCATCCTGGCCAACACAGTGAAACCTCGTCTCTACTGAAAATACAAAAACAAAATTAAGGCCGGGCGTGGTGGCTTACGCCTGTAATCCCAGCACTTTGGGAGGCCGAAGCGGGCAGATCACGAGGTCAGGAGGTTGAGGCCATCCTGGCTAACACGGTGAAACCCCATCTCTACTAAAAATACAAAAAATTAGCCAGGCATGGTGGCAGGTGCCTGTAGTCCCAGCTACTTGGGAGGCTGAGGCAGCAGAATGGTGTGAACCTGGGAGGTGGAGCTTGCAGTGAGCTGAGATCGCACCACTGCACTCCAGCCTGGGCAACAGAGCAAGACTCCATCTCAAAATAAATAAATAAATAAAATAAAATGAAATAAAAGCATTGATCTCTTGGTAGTGATGAACTGCTCCAGACTCATCTGTAGAGCCAAGATGAGCCTGAAATAAGCCTTGGTTATTTTTTCATCTTTGCTGGTTTTTCAAGTGTTTTCCATCGACTGTTGTGTGTCAGACCCCAAGCCTGAGCAGCGTGTGTGTGATCTCAGCTAACACTGATGTCAAGTCTGCATAGCTGGGTTAGGAAGCGACCTCCAGACAGGGCCCTGGACAGGGCGACTCCACTGGCACACTGCCCCTTCCTGGGAGGCGCTGTCAGGGAGGGGCGCTGAGCGGGGCTATCTGTGCACAGGTTCCTGCGCCACGTGCCTGTCGTGTATGTGGATTACCCGGGCCCCGCCTCCCTCACACAGATCTACGGCACCTTCAACCGCGCCATGCTGAGGCTCATTCCATCCCTGCGGACGTATGCAGAGCCGCTCACTGCTGCCATGGTGGAGTTCTACACCATGTCTCAGGTACGCAGAGTTTCTTTGCTCTTCCAGAAATTGTTTTCCTCTCATAATTAAGGCACTCGATTGGTCAGGTGTGGTGGTTCACACCTGTAATCCCAGCATTTTGGGAGGCCAAGGTGGGTGGATCCTTTGAGCCCAGGAGTTTGAGACCAGTCTGGACAACATGGCAAAACCCTGTCTCTACAAAAAATAGGTGGGCGTGGTGGTGCATGCTTGTAATGTCAGCTTCCCAGGAGGCTGAGGTGGGAGAGTTGCTTGAACCTGGAGGCAGAGCTTACGATGAGCCATGATTGTGCCACTGCACCAGCCTGGGTGACAGAGTGAGACTCTACCTCAAAATAAAATGAGAAGTTTATTGAAATAAAGATTGGACTTTATTCAGAGATGTTATTGAGCCGAGAGACTTTCTCCAAGGTCTGTCATCAAAGTCACTTTTCTATGCAGGTGCTAAGACTGCTGACATTTCCATGCTTAATCATTATCCTATGCATGTGTATGTATGTGTATATGATGAAAATAGAGCCATACAGTTTCTAAATGTATATAAAGGCTGCATATCTGCCAGATTGCTCTCAAGATGGTTGGACCAGCTACGCCTCCACCAGCAGCACCCGCTTCCCTGTATTCTGCAACATTTAAAAAATAGTCATTAACAAAAATGTCTTTGCCCATTTGGTGAGAAATGACTCTCGTTGCTATTTGCATTTCTCTGTTGAGCCTCCCATGGAGCCGCTGGCTGCGGGGGATGAGTGGGAGCCGCCAACTGCCCTGCTGTGTCTCCCTCGCTCTTCATGCTTTGGGACAGCTTTCTTGTCATAGGTGGCAGATGCTTTTTCCCAGTATTTAATTTGCTTTTAAGTATTTTCAGAAGGATTTTTTGTAGTTTCATTGTTTAAATATTTAAATCGTTAAATATAATGTATTTCAGCATAAAGTGAGCAGCTTGAATCTAACTTTGTTCTGGACAGTTATTTATCCAATTGTTCCAACATTGTTTACTCATTTGGAGACGGAGTCTCACTCTGTCGCCAAGGCTGGAATGCAGTGGCGCAGTCTCGGCTCACTGCAACCTCCGCCTCCTGGGTTCAAGCGATTCTTCTGCCTCAGCCTCCCTAGTAGCTGGGACTACAGGCACCCACCACCATGTCCAGCTATCTTCTTAAATATTTCAGGGTCTAGGTTCTTTAATGTAAACATGTTTTGCCACATTTTACCTTTTGACCACTTCTCTGTGTCTTAAGATATTTACGTGTACCTTCCATTTTTCTCATTGCCATAGGAGAGATTCACCCAGGATACACAACCTCACTATATCTATTCACCCCGTGAAATGACTAGGTGGGTGAGAGGCATCTTTGAAGCGCTGAGACCTCTGGAGACCCTGCCTGTTGAAGGCCTCATTCGGATTTGGGCACATGAAGCTCTGCGTCTCTTCCAAGATAGGTAAGGGAAGCCGAGGATCCAGTTGGTCCCATTCTCCCCTGCTCTGAGTTCTTACAGCTGTCGAAGCTGGGGTCTTTGCAGGGGTGGTCTGCCTAAGTTAGAGCCAGGTGGTGCCAGTGGTGGAAGGAGCAGAGTCAGCCAGGGCAGCCTCCCGTCTGGACACTGGTCACAGTTGCCCCAGGGTAACAAAGTCACAGTGCGCTGAATGCACCGGCTGGCCCACCACTGTCTGCTTACACAAGGCACTTTCATAAACCTTGTGGCTGTGAACAGGGTACTTTTTTTTTTAAAGATACATCATAGAAGTCAAAAAACGGGGCACTTTAATAAACCTTTTAAACTGTCAGGTGGGACCACAAAAGGTAGCAGCTGCCTGTGATAACCTTACCAGAGCACGGGTTCACTGCTGAGTTAAAAGGTCTCCCAACAACTGCCCAGTGTGCGTGTTCCGTAACCACCACCCCTCTTCCTGTTTCTCAGTCTGTGTTCTCATCAAAGGCTTTGCAGCTGCAGCTCTGGGGCACTGGTTTTCTCTTTTACCTGTTGCCCACTTGGATCAATTCTTGTCTTGTAAGTTTTGAGTTTTTCTAGTTAAGTGACCAATACTTAAGGGAAAAAATTGCTAACGGATGACTGATCGGCATCAACTGTGGAAGGTTTTGTGGTTTGAATTGCAGTAAGATGACTTGGCAGATGGTTCCCTCCAGACTAAGAAATGCTTAAGTGTTTGGCAGCTGTGCCTCTGGACCAGGTGTCATCCTGCAGTTTTTCCTGTCATTACTGTACAAGGAGTCTCAGAATACTGCCTAGTTGTAATCACTGGGTTTCCAACCCGAGTCCTTGGCATTCTTGGGCAACACCGGGTACATTACTGACAGCCACTGTAAGAGATGAGCAGGCAAGGCAGAGTGCAGAGTATGTTGGCTGTGGCAGCCCTGTTTTTATTTCTTATTGGAGTTCTGCTGCTTTTTAAACAGTCTTTTGTTATTGTTGCTATGTCAGCTACCTTCACTCTCCCCTTTTCAATTAAAAAAAAATTGGCTGGGCATAGTGGTTCACATCTATAATCCCAGCACTTTGGAAGGTCGAGGCAGGAGGATCATTGAGCCCAGGAGTTCAAGGCCAGCCTGACCAACATAGTGAGACCCCCATCTCTACAAAAAATAAAAAATTAGCCAGGTGTGGTGACGTGTACCTGTAGTCCCAGCTACTTGGGAGGCTGAGACAGGAAGATCGATTGAGCCTGGGAGGCTGCAGCTACAGTGAGCCATGATCGTGCCACTGCATTCCAGCCTGAGTGACAGAGCAAGACCCTGTCTCCCACAATATAGTTTTCACAGATTTCTAGTACCACAGAGAATTTTGTTTAAATTCAAATGTCGCAACAGCAGTTGTGCTTACAAATTCAGATTGGCTTCAGTAAGTATATACCTGCCTTCACTAGACCCTCACCTGGTAGCCTGCATAGGAGATCTTACAGTCAGCTTCTCAAAAGGTCCTCACACAGCAGCGCAGTCACAGTCTCGCCTGCTTGCCTTGTAGTAAGTCTTACACCTCTAAAACTACACACATCACAGTTCCCATTTCTTTTTTCTTTTTCTTTTTTTTTTTTTTTTTTTTGAGACAAGAGTCTCGCTTTGTCACCCAGGCTAGAGTGCAATGGCATGATCTCAGCTCACTGCAATCTCCGTCTCCTGGGTTCAAAGCAATTCTTGTGCCCCAGCCCCCAGAGTAGCTGGGATTACAGACATGTGCCACCACGCCTGGCTGATTTTTATATTTTTAGTAGAGACAGGGTTTCACCACATTGGCCAGGCTAGTCTTGAACTCCTGACTTAAAGTGATCCGCCTGCCTCTGCCCTCCCAGAGTGCTGGGATTACAGCTTGAGACCAGCATAGCGAAACCCCATCTCTACTAAAAATACAAAAATTAGCTGGGCATGGTAGCATATGCCTGTAATCCCAGCTACTGAGGAGGCTGAGGCAGGAGAATCGCTTGAACCTGGGAAGCAGAGGTTGCAGTGAGCCAAGATCGCGCCACTGCACTTCAGCCTGGGCAACAGAGTGAGACTCTGTAAGTAAGTAAGTAAGTAAGATCGCGCCACTGCACTTCAGCCTGTTGCCAGGCTGTAAGTAAGTAAGTAAGAGTGAGACTCTGGGCTGGGCGAGGTGGCTCACGCCTGTAATCCCAGCACTTTGGGAGGCCGAGGCGGGCGGATCACGAGGTCAGGAGATCGAGACCATCCTGGCTAACACGATGAAACCCCATCTCTACTAAAAATACAATTAAAAAAAAAAAATTAGCCAGCCTTGGTGGCGGGCGCCTGTAGTCCCAGCTACTCAGGAGGCTGAGGCAGGAGAATGGTATGAACCCGGGAGGCGGAGCTTGCAGTGAGCCAAGATAGTGCCAGTGCACTCCAGCCTTGGCGACAGAGAGAGACTCCGTCTCAAAAAAAAAAAAAAAAGTGAGACTCTGTAAGTAAGTAAGTAAATAAATAAATAAATAAAATTTCAGGTTGCCTAAGCTGTCATGAGTTCAGCTTTTAGGTTCATCCATGCATAGTAAAGGAAGATGTGTGATAAAGACTGACTGCATCCTTTGGAAGAGCCCACAGCACCCACAAACATGGTGAACATGGTGCTTCTTCACCGTGCCCTCTAGTTACCTAAATGCACATGCTGCTCTCCCCACAGACTCGTAGAGGATGAGGAGAGGCGTTGGACTGATGAGAACATCGACACGGTTGCTCTGAAGCACTTCCCTAACATCGACAGAGAGAAGGCAATGAGCCGACCCATCTTGTACAGCAACTGGCTGTCAAAGGTAGCAAACTCGCATCATTTCAGACATACTTCTTTTTCTGCCATCCCTTTCTAACACTAACGAATTCTAACGAATTATCTTCTACTCAAAAATATCTTTAGGCTGGGTATGGTGTCTCACACCTGTAATCCCAGCACTTTGGGAGGCTGAGGCAGGAGGATCACTTGATCCCAGGAGTTTGAGACCAGCCTGGGCAACATAGTAAGACTCCACCTCTACAAAAAAATTTGAAAATTTAGCCAGGCAAGGTAACTCACGCCTATGGTCCCAGCAACTTGGGAGGCTTGAGCCCAGGAAGTCACAGTGAGCTGTGGTCACACCACCATACTGCAGCCTGGGTAAAAGAGCAAAACCCTGTTTCAAAAAATACTTCAGAAAACAAAATATCAGCCGGGCGCGGTGGCTCATGCCTGTAATCCCAGCACTTTGGGAGGCTGAGGCGGTGGATCACCTGAGGTCGGGAGTTCGAGACCAGCCTGACCTACATGGAGAAACCCCATCTCTACTAAAAATACAAAATTAGCTGGGCGTGGTGACGCATGTCTGTAATCCCAGCTATTTAGGAGGCTGAGGCAGGAGAATCTTTGGAACCCGGGAGGCAGAAGTTGCGGTGAGCTGAGATCGCGCCATTGCACTGCAGCCTCAGCAACAAGAGCGAAACTCTGTCTCAAAGAAAAAAAAAATACAGCGAGGTGCAATGGCACACGCCTGTAATCCCAGCACTTTGGGAGGCCAAGGCAGGCAGATCACTTGAGGTCAGGGGTTCGAGACCAGCCTGGACAACATGCTGAAACTCCATCTCTACTAAAAAGACAAAAATTAGCCAGGCATGGTGGCATGTGCCTGTAATCCCAGCTACTCAGGAGTCTGAGAATCGCTTGAACCCGGGAGACAGAGGTTGCAGTGAGCCAAGGTCACGCCACTGCACTCCAGCCTGGGCAACAGAGTGAGATTCCGTCTCAAAAAAAGAATAAAAACTTAAAAAGAGTCCAGCTTGGGTAACAAAGTGAGACCTTACCTCAAAAAAACACTTAAAAAACAAGAAAAATCTCTTTGTCCTAAAATGCACTATAAAATAGGCTGCGGTTACAGCAGTGATGTGCTACGGGTTTGCAGTCACTGATACTTTAGGGCAGGAATTCCCAGGAGTATGGCTGGCTGGCTGCTGTTGGGGTTCTGACTTCTGTGTGAGGGTCGAGCCATTGGATTTCCAGCCGGTGGAAGGTGTTGCTTCAGCGGGTTTGCAGTGAAAGAAATCTTTGCTTCACAAATTTGTTTTCACATTCCTCACACTGAAAATAGGACAATTGTGAATAACTTGTGTGAAAATGTTTCATATGCTAAAATGCTAGATGGAGTTCACCTCTCCAGAATAGCTGTGAGTTGTCCTTTTTCTCTGCAAAGGATGAGGACGTTTACCGAGTTACAGTCTTGACATGCATTTCATTGAGGAGCCCCAGGTGATAGACGTGAGTAAGAGCTTCCTTTAGGCAGCTCCCACTCCAGTGGAGGAAAGAGCAGGACAGAGGGAGATAACTCAGGCTGGGAAGAGATTTCTGGGAGAATGACCCTTGCACTGGTCTTCGTGTGTTTAGGTCTTCTGAATGGCTTTCAGTGAAGTTCAGCTTTCTCCAGAAAGGTTCACCACGTCAGGGAGGGCATACAAGGCAGAGCGCCTGATAGGAGCTGGGAGTAGTAAGGTGGGTGTGTTCAATATTGGTAGAATTTTCTATATATTTTAAGACTCTAGGTACCCATTCTTTTTCATTTACAGGAAACTTCTCCCTGTGGCTTATCTTTTTTTTTTAACTCTTTTTTTTTTTTTTTTTTTGGAGATGGAGTCTCGCTCTGTCGCCCAGGCTAGAGTGCAGTGGTGCTTTCTCGGCTCACTGCAAGCTCCGCCTCCTGGGTTCACCCCAGTCTCCTGCCTCAGCCTCCCAAGTAGCTGGGACTACAGGTGCCCGCCACCACGCCCAGCTAATTTTTTGTATTTTTAGTAGAGATGGGGTTTCACCGTGTTAGCCAGGATGGTCTCGATCTCCTGACCTCGTGATCAGCCCATCTCGGCCTCCCAAAGTGCTGGGATTACAGGCATGAACCACTGCACCCAGCCATTTTTTTACTCTTTATAAGGTCTTTTGAAGAACAAACGTTCTTAAAGATGTATCTTTCAGGCTGGGCACAGTGGCTCACGCCTGTAATCCCAACACTTTGGGAGGCCAAGGTGGGCGGATCACCTGAGGTCAGGAGTTCGAGACCAGCCTGCCCAACGTGGTGAAACCCCGTCTCGCCGAGGCAGGTGGATCACGAGGTCAGGAGTTCAAGACCAGCCTTACCAACATGGTGAAAACCCATCTCTACTAAAAATACAAAAATTAGCCGGGTGCGGTACTGCATGCCTGTAATCTCAGCTACTCAGGAGGCTGAGGCAGGAGAATCACTTAAACCTGGGAGGCAGAGGTTGCAGTGAGCCGAGATCGCGCCATTGCACTCTAGCCTGGGCGACAGAGGGAGACTCTGTCTCAAAAAAAAAAAAAAATTGCCAGGTATGGTGGCGTGTGCCTATAGTCCCAGCTACTTGAGAGGCAGGAGAATCACTTGAACCCAGGAGGCAGAGGTTGCAGTGAGCTGAGATCAGGCCACTGCACTCTAGCCTGGGTGACAGAGTGAGACCCTGTCTCAAGGAAAAAAAAAAAAAAAAAAAAGATGTATCTTTGAAACTCTTAATCACATTTCTAATTGAGTTTGTGTATTGAGTGAGCAGTGGGTCCGTTTTCAGTTCTTTCCTTATGGACACCCATTATCCCAGCAAAGTTTATTAAATAATAATTTACTCTGCAGTATCTGTCTGTCATCATAGTTTCCCTGTGTGCATAGGTATCCGTTAGTTGTTCTCTGTGCTAAAACCACATGGTCCTGATTATGGTAATAAGTCTGTTTAATAGGGCAGGCCCAGGCCAGGTGCGGTGGCTCACGCCTGTAATCCCAGCACTTTGGGAGGCCGAGACCGGCAGATCACAAGGTCAAGAGATCAAGACCATCCTGGCCAACGTGGTGAAACCCGTCTGTACTAAAAATACAAAAATTACCTGGGCATGGTGGTACGTGCCTGTAGTCCCAGCTACTTGGGAGGCTGAGGCAGGAGAATTGCTTGAACCCAGGAGGCGGAGGTTGCAGTGAGCTGAGATCGTGCCACAGCACTCCAGCCTGGTGACAGAGCGAGGCTACAAAAAAAAAAAAAAAAATAGGGCAGGCCCTCACACCTGGTTCTTTTCTGGAGGGATCTTTCCTGTTCCAAATGAAATACAGAAATGGCTTGTCAGGTTGCACCAGGACAATAAGCACCTCCCACCACTGAGATTTTGACTGGGATTACATTGAACTTATGGATGAGTTTGATGGAACTGGCATTTTTATAGTAGAGTGTTTTTTTCCTCCATGATCATGGTATGTCTCTTCATGTATTGAGGTCCTCTTCATTGCCTTTTGGTGAAGTTCAGTTTTCTCTATAAAAGTTTTTCATGTTTTTAGATCCATTCCTAGTGAATTTATATTTTTTTGCTATGTTATAAATGATACCTTTTTTGTTGCATTTTTAACAGTTTCTTCATGGTATGTGGACATACAGTTGACTTTGGTCTAATAACTAACATTTTTTTCTAAGTAATTTGGGTATTACCTTTTTTTCTATAGGATTACATCCCAGTAGACCAAGAAGAGTTAAGAGATTATGTCAAAGCTAGGCTGAAGGTCTTTTATGAAGAAGAACTTGATGTTCCGCTGGTGCTGTTTAATGAAGTCCTAGACCACGTGCTGAGGATTGACAGGTGGGCTTTTTTGTTGTTACAGCCCCACCTCTCGCCTAAGCTGCTCTTGAGTAAGTGTGTGTGCCGGGTCACACCAGGCCTCATGCTGTCCTACCACCTCCACCTCAGCCTTCTCCACCAAGCAGCTTCCCCCTTCTCTTCTTTCTAAGTCCAGCTTAACCATCCTCAGTTTATCCTAAGCAGAACTTCATTCTTCCTCCCCCAGCACTGCATACCTGCCATAATTATGGCCCTTTGACCTTCTGCTGGAATTGCATTAGTCTCTCATGTCAGTCTAGAGGACAGGACCGTGTCTTACTGGTCTTTGCATTCCTCCTGGACTTCACAAATAACAGTTGCTCAGCAAATGTTTAATATACAAGTTCAAGTTAAAACATGTCCAAAATACTGTAGACACTAGATATGAGTCAAAAGGGGAATGAGGCATTATAAGCCTTAACATTGATCAGTTCTCGTAATGTTTCAGAATATTCCGTCAACCTCAAGGCCACTTGCTTCTGATTGGTGTTAGTGGAGCAGGAAAAACTACCCTGTCTCGTTTCGTCGCCTGGATGAACGGTTTGAGTGTGTACCAGATTAAGGTGCGTCTGGTCGGTGGCCTCTTAATCCCAGCAACAGATGTGTGTGCAGAGCTCAGTGAGTAGGAATGGACCTAACTTGCCTCTGCTTCTGTAGGTCCATAGGAAGTACACAGGGGAAGACTTTGATGAAGATCTACGGACAGTGTTGAGACGTTCTGGCTGTAAAAATGAAAAGATAGCATTTATAATGGATGAATCTAATGTGTTAGATTCTGGATTCCTGGAGCGAATGAATACCCTTCTGGCCAATGGAGAGGTAATTAGGTGACGTGTTGCGTTGCATTACGTGTTACCGGGGGACCAGTAAGTCAGCACTGTGCTGTTTCCCAGGTGCCTGGTCTCTTTGAAGGAGACGAGTATGCCACCTTGATGACGCAGTGCAAAGAGGGGGCACAGAAGGAAGGCCTGATGCTGGACTCGCACGAGGAGCTCTACAAGTGGTTCACTAGCCAGGTTATCCGCAACCTCCACGTCGTGTTCACCATGAACCCGTCCTCGGAGGGACTCAAGGACCGGGCAGCTACATCACCAGCACTTTTCAACAGGTACGTGGGCCTTTACTTGGCTCTGGGTCAGGAAAGTCGGTGTCCTTCCAAGGGACAAAGCCTGCCCCTCATAGCTGTCCTGAAACATGGGCCTCTTTCTCAGGTGTGTGTTGAATTGGTTTGGAGACTGGTCCACCGAAGCACTGTATCAGGTTGGCAAAGAATTCACAAGTAAGATGGATCTGGAGAAGCCAAATTACATCGTGCCTGATTACATGCCAGTTGTGTATGATAAGCTGCCGCAGCCACCATCCCATCGGGAAGCCATTGTGAACAGCTGTGTGTTTGTTCATCAGACTCTTCACCAGGTGGGTTCAGTTTTGAGATCAACAGATAAACCACAAAACTAACCATCATGCTAATATAAAACTAAATTGCTATAAAAATAGACCTTAAGGCCAGGTGCAGTGACTCATGCCTGTAATCCCAGCACTTTGGGAGGCCAAGGCGGGAGGATCACTTGAACCCAGGAGTTCAAGACCAGCCTGGGCAACATGGCGAGACCCCATCTCTACAAAAAATACAAAGAAAATTAGCCGGGCATGGTGGTGGGCACCTATAGTCCCAGCTACTCAGGAAGCTGAGGTGGGAGGATCACTTAAGCCCAGGAGGCAGAGGTTATATTGAGCTGAGATCACGGCACTGCAATCCAGCCTGGGCAACAGAGCAAGACCCAGACTCAAAACAACATAAATAGACCTTAGGGCACTTCATGTTTGACATTGTACTGTTATTTGTAAAGGAAATACTTGTTTCTTACCTCTTACCTCTTTAGTAACATCTCATTCTTGTCACTGGGCTGTAAATTCTGGAGCCGTCTAACACTTTAGTGCCCCCACTGACTCTGCCTCTGATAAAATGATCTCCTTTGCCTTTGTCTCCCACTGCTGCTGTATGTTCAGGCCCTTACTCTTTCCTCTAGATCAGGAATCAGCACGCTTTCTCTTTAAAGAGCCAGATCATAAATGTTTTAACCTTTACAGGTGGAGTAGTCTCGGGCACAGCTACTCAGTGCTGCCATTGTAGGGCAAAAGCCTCCAGAGACCATATATAAATGAATGGGTGTGGCTGTGGCCAGTAAAACCTCATTACTGAAAAATGCAAGGCTTGGCCTGCTAACCATGTTTTGCTAATCCTTGCTGTAGATTCTGTGTGATAGAAGAATTCAGTCTACTCCTCCCTCCCAGAAGAGCTTTGTGAAATCCACTCTGAGCTTGTAGGTGTCCTGCTGCCCAGCCCCTGCAGGCCATCTCCATTGCCCTTGGAATGTCGTCCAGCCCTGGCTTCCCCTGGTAGTCTGATCATCTTGCTGTGCTTCAGAAATCAAGGGACCAGAGCAGTTTCTCACATCAGGCCTGCCTTGCCCCTTTCTTGTCATTTCTTACTAATAAAAGGTGGAAGCAGGCTAGCTAACCTTTCTATAGTAACTGACATTTGTGATGCCTTTTCACATAAGTACACCTCTAAAGTTGGTGTAATCACCATCCTCAGTTTAGAGAAGTTAAAGGGCTTAGAGAGGTTTGGAAGTGTAAGGGGTATCTCGAAAGCTCTAAGTGGCTAAGCTGAGGCCCGACTCGAGTGTTCTGGCCCCGAGGGCCAGGCTCCTTCTATCATGTCACACCCATCTGCCAAGGCCAAAATTGTTTTCTGAGGTTAAGTCACAGAGTTTCCTGAAGAGTGAGAAGATGTAACTATTTTCTGAAAGGCGAATGCTCGGCTAGCAAAGCGAGGCGGCAGAACGATGGCCATCACCCCTCGCCACTACCTGGACTTCATCAATCACTATGCCAACCTGTTCCACGAGAAGCGGAGCGAGCTGGAGGAGCAGCAGATGCACTTGAACGTGGGGCTCAGGAAGATCAAAGAGACAGTCGACCAGGTGCGTCACAGGCACAAATTCCTCACGGGAGTGAGCTGCAGTGAGGACCCCTTTCCATATAATTTCTGCATGTTTCTCGTCTCTGAGTGTGGGCTTTGCTCTTTAGGTAGAAGAACTGCGTCGTGACTTGAGGATAAAGAGCCAAGAGCTGGAGGTGAAGAATGCAGCAGCCAATGACAAGCTGAAAAAGATGGTGAAAGACCAGCAGGAGGCTGAAAAGAAGAAGGTATGGTGTCAGGGAATTCTGGCCTGTAAGGACTGAGCATTTTCAGTCTCCAATGAGAGAGTAGGAAATGTAGTTCCAAATGGGTCTTAGGGTTAGAGAGAGGGAGGGAGGGAGAGAGAGTGTGTGTGTGTGTGTGTGTTGGCAGAGTGAAGAATGTTGTTTAGAATTTAGTCAGCAAATTAACCAATGCTTAACCCATACCTAAGCCATCCCTCCTTTCTAGGTTATGAGCCAAGAAATCCAGGAACAGCTGCATAAGCAGCAGGAGGTAATTGCAGACAAACAGATGAGTGTCAAAGAAGATCTTGATAAGGTGGAACCTGCCGTCATTGAGGCCCAGAATGGTATGTAAAGACTGTCAGAGCTTTGATGTCTAGGAAGGGTGGTCTCCGTCAACATTACTGTGGAGTTCAGGTCACTGAACATTGCACATATGCTTCCCTCAAAGGTTCTGGTTTCCAAAAATATCATTAGTAACCATCTGAAGCTTTTTCTGAATGCTTGAGATTGTCTTCATCTCTCAAAGCAAAGTTCCTACAAAGCTAGATTGTATTTACCATAGTGAAACCCCTCTCATAAAAGAAACTTCACAATATAAGCTTTGTGTCAATATACGTTTTTAGAGATCTGTTGATAATTACGTAAGTATGCTATTTATCAATCCCTGACTTGAATTTCACCCAGAAATATAAAATATTCAGTGTAACTGTCTTGTAATTGTTTCTGAGTGTTCTAGCTATGACCCAATTGCTAATTTAAGTATTGATAGCAGTCACTTCTCTTTTTCCATTCCTTACATGCCTATAAGATGCTATAGAAATAGGGCAACAACCTGCCATCCTGTTTTAGTTTGCAATTTACACAGTGAGTAAGACTGCTCTCAGCCAGGCGAGGTGGCTCGCACTAATCCCAGCACTTTGGGAGGCCGAGGCAGGAGGATCATTTGAGGCAGGAGGACCATTTGAACTTAGGAGTTTGTGACCAGCCTG
Organism: Homo sapiens; assembly: GCF_000001405.40. NCBI lineage: Eukaryota > Metazoa > Chordata > Mammalia > Primates > Hominidae > Homo > Homo sapiens. The sequence goes on from NC_000014.9 coordinate 102,030,928, forward strand.
GGCAACATAGCTAGACCCCCATCTCTATTTTAAAATAAATGAATAAATGAAAACAAAAGAAAAAAAAGAGTGCTTTCTTCTTGCCCACTGTATTTAACCTGTTTCAAATAACCCAATTATCTGTAGTTTTTACCTTATACAACAAGATGAATTCAAATGCACCACTCAACCTATATATTTTCATTCAGAGTTGGATTTGGATGATAATTTAATGTAGTTCTCACCTTCTAAATATTACTTAAAATTGTTTTACAAAAATTTCAGCCTAGAAAACTATTTTAGTGTATAGAAGTCATTGGCCATTGTTTTTGTTTTGCTTTGTTTGAGACAGGGTCTCACTCTGTCCCCCAGGCTGGAGTGTAGTGGTGCAACCATGGCTCACTGTAGCCTCAGCCTTCCCTGTTTCAGATGATCCTCCCACCTGAGCCTCCTGAGTAGCTGGAACTATAGGTGCGCGCCGCCACACCCAGCTAATTTTTGTATTTTTTGTGGAGTCAGGGTTTTGCCATATTGCCCAGGCTGGTTTCAAACTGCTGGGCTCAAGCGATCCACCTGCCTCAGCCTCCAGAAGTACTAAGATGTGTGAGCCACTGTGCCTGGCAGCCATTGTTTTAGAACTGTTAACTCCACGTCTTTACGCATCCCTCTAAATTGTAGCAAATTTAAAATGTCTGTTGAAATTATATAAAATAAATGCACAATTGCACTTAAAATATTTTGTAAAATATTTTTTTAAAATATTTTTGGCCAGGCGCAGTGGCTCACGCCTGTAATCCCAGCACTTTGGGAGGCAGGGGCGGGTGGATCACCTGAGGTCGGGAGTTCAAGACCAGCCTGACCAACATGGAGAAACCCCGTCTCTACTAAAAATAGGAAATTAGCTGGGCGTGGTGGTGCATACCTGTAATCCCAGCTGCTCAGGAGGCTGAGGCAGGAGAATCACTAGAACCTGGGAGGCAGAGGTTGCAGTGAGCTGAGATCGCACCACTGCACTCCAGCCTAGGCGACAGAGCTAGACTCAGTCTCAAATAAATAGTAAATATATTCTTAATCTTTATGGGGATAAAGAAATTAGGACTTGTGAGACATTTTAAAGGTAATATCCTGCTTTTTAAGGAATGCTAGCATTTTGTAAGATCTTCATAATCATTTAAGAGATCAGCTACTTACCCTATTCCAGAGGGTTTAATACAGAAAAGTCTCTCATTTCTTAGCTCTTCTAAGCAGCTAGCTGTCCTTTCTCTCATTGGAGTTGGAGCTCCTGGCTGTTTTGGTTCATTCTCACCATGCTTTGCTCTATCTTCTCCCACCCATCGACCCTCATCCACTCCTGCTGCCACTCAGCTGTGAAGTCGATCAAGAAGCAGCACCTGGTGGAGGTGAGGTCCATGGCCAACCCTCCTGCTGCTGTGAAGCTGGCGCTGGAGTCCATCTGCCTGCTGCTGGGGGAAAGCACCACAGACTGGAAGCAGATCCGCTCCATCATCATGCGGGAGAACTTCATCCCCACCATCGTCAACTTCTCTGCAGAGGAGATCAGGTGAGAAAGTGGAAGTGCCAAGGTATTGCCAGAAATTGAAATCAGTTGTTCAGGCCAGGCACGGTGGCTCACGCCTCCAATCCCAGAACTTTCGGCTGTTCAGGCCAGGCACAGTGGCTCACGGCTCCAATCCCAGAACTTTGGGAGGCTGAGGCAGGTGAAGTGCTTGAGCCTAGGAGTTAGAGACCAACCTGGGCTACATGGCGACACCCTGTCTCTACAAAAAAATACAAAAATGAGCTGGGCGGGGTGGCATGCGCCTGTAGTCCTAGCTACTTGGGAGGCTGAGGTGGGAGGATTGCCTGAACCCAGGGGATCAAGGCTTCAGTGAACCGAGATCACACCACCGCACTCCAGCCTGGGTGACAGAGAAAAACCCTGTCTCATTAAAAAAGAAGAAAGAAAAAAATTGTTCAAGTGTTGAGCACATTTTCAGCTTTCACCTGAGAACCAAGGGTCAGTCTAGCTCATCCCCAGTGGTCAGTCACTGGGGCAATGAGATGGGAGCTGGCTCTGGTCTCTTCCATTTTAATTTTATGAAAACTCTTCCTTGCTTTTGTCCTGCATGTGTTTAGAAATATCATTCGTCTTTTACAGTGACGCCATAAGGGAGAAGATGAAGAAAAATTACATGTCCAATCCAAGTTACAATTATGAAATTGTGAATCGGGCTTCCCTGGCTTGCGGCCCTATGGTGAAATGGGCAATTGCACAGGTGATTAACACAGCCAGGAGCTCCCGTGTGAAAGGTGACCTCTTTTCCTGTCACTTAAATAACAGTTATCAATTGGTTCTTCCCAGCTTAACTATGCAGACATGTTAAAGAGAGTGGAGCCCCTACGCAATGAGCTGCAGAAGCTGGAAGATGACGCCAAGGACAACCAGCAGAAGGCCAACGAGGTGGAGCAGATGATCCGAGACCTGGAAGCCAGCATCGCCCGCTACAAGGAGGAATACGCCGTCCTGATCTCAGAGGCCCAGGCCATCAAGGCAGACCTGGCAGCTGTCGAGGCAAAAGTAAGATTATCATCATTGATCCTCAGCCTTTCCTGCTGTGGAAGCAGAGATTAACACACTTCAACATGCGCTGCATGCACCATGCTGGCCTCGGTGAATTCGCTCTTTAACATCTGTAAGGCCCCGGAGGACTTTTTTCCTGGAAAATAATACACACTGAGTAGTCACTAAGTGTTGTTAATTAGGATAGATTGATACAAACTGGACACTTTTCAGCCGTTGAATCCCCCACCAGCAGCTCCAGACCTGTTTGCTCTGCTGCCTGAGGGCCTCGCTCCGTACCCAGCTTCTGCCCCGCTGAGATTCTGAGTCGTGTGTGGTCATTAGTTATATATGATCTGGGTCTCATCTCCTCTGGGACTGTGAACAACTTGGGCACGTTTCTAACCCACCCAAAACCCTGCACATAATGTGGATGAACCGATTTGCAGGATTCGGTATAAATCCTGAAAGGCCTCATCCCTGAGCATCTTGTTCGGTTTTCCTTTTAGGTAAACCGGAGCACTGCTCTTCTGAAGAGCTTGTCTGCTGAACGTGAACGATGGGAAAAAACAAGTGAAACTTTCAAAAACCAGATGTCCACCATTGCTGGGGACTGTCTCTTGTCAGCTGCGTTCATTGCCTACGCGGGTTACTTTGACCAGCAGATGCGTCAGAACTTGTTCACTACCTGGTCCCATCACCTACAGCAAGCCAACATCCAGGTGAGAATCACGGGGAGTTCAAAAAGGATGTGCGAGCAGTGTGAGGCAAGCTGGTGTTTAGTGCACAGTTAGAGTCTTGAGAACAGTCCCATCTGTGGCTGTGAAGAGGAGGAAAGGTAACGGCCTTGCCTTTCAGTTCCGTACAGATATTGCCAGGACGGAATACCTTTCCAATGCTGATGAGCGTCTTCGCTGGCAGGCCAGCTCCTTGCCTGCTGATGACCTTTGCACAGAAAATGCCATCATGCTGAAACGATTCAATAGGTATGAGCTCGGGTGCCAAGGAGAGGCATGGGAGGAATGTGGGTGGTGATCTTGAATTTTTTTCAAAATACACCCTTGTTTGAAGAGAGGAATAGAAAATGGGGCGTGGGCATACAGTGCTGGCAGCTTGGTGCTCCTCTGATGGTGGGGCGTGTGCTGTTCTCGTTATTGTCAAGTGTCTGAGTTATTCTGCAGTGAATGCTTCTTGTAACCTTCTAAAATCGATTGGCAGGGGCCAGGCACAGTGGATCACGTGAGGTCAGGAGTTTGAGACCAGCCTGGCCAACATGGTGAAATCCTGTCTCTACTAAAAATACAAAAAAATTAGCCAGGCGTGGTGGCATGCGCCTGTAATCCCAGTTACTCAGGAGGCTGAGACAGGAAAATCTCTTGAACCCAGGAGGCAGAGGTTGCGGTGAGCCGAGATCACGCCACTGCACCCCAGCCTGGGCAACAGAGTGAGAATCCATCTCAAAAAAAAAAAAACATAAAAATAGGCCGGGCACAGTGGCTCACACCTGTAATCCCAGCACTTTGGGAGGCCGAGGTGGGCAGATCACGAAGTCAGGAGTTTGAGACCAGCCTAGCCAACATAGTGAAACCCTATATCTATTAAAAACACAGAAAATTAGCTGGGCGTGGTGGCAGGCGCCTGTAATCCCAGCTACTCAGGAGGCTGAGGCAGGAGAATCGCTTGAACCCGGGAGGCAGAGGTTGCAGCAAGCCAAGATGGTGCCACTGCACTCCAGCCCGGGCGACAGCACAAGACTCCGTCTCAAAAAAATAAAAATAAAGTGGATTGGCAGGGTTGTGTTTGGGGGTGGACATTCAAACAAACAGTCCTCTGTTACAAGAACTGAAAATAGCTAGTTAAAGGGGAAGTACTACCTGTTTTTCTGCTTAGGAAAGACAGAATAAGAAATGGGATGTAACTGCAGTGAAGATGGGCTAGGTGCCGAGAGGGTTCCACGTCTCACCGGGTGGTGCCAGCAAGAGTATGAATCAATCAGTACAGCCTGTGCGCAGGGCTGGATTTGCCTAAATGACCCTTTGACCTAGGAGTTCCACTTCTAGGTGTTCATTCAACAGTAGCCTGGCCTAGGTACAGAATGTGTGTAGGTACCAAGTGTGTACCAGCTGAAGACTGGAGATAACTCAGATGGCCCTCCTGAGGGCCCACCACGCCGTGGTGCTGGGTAGTCTTTGCCAACACAGGACATTCGAATACAGGCTGGACAGGTGCAGAGCGGACAGTAGAGGCC